>NC_000023.11:149324090-149627121 GCF_000001405.40 Homo sapiens
GAAGGAGCAATGGTGGGTAGAAGCATAAGAAAAGTCAGAGCTGGAAAAACCCTAAACATCAGCGCAAAGGAAACACCTCAGTCTGCCATCCCAAGCTCTTGCTGTCTTCACCCCTGCTTCCTAGCTTTGGTTCAAATATGCATACGTTGTATCCTCCATTCTATTCATTCAACCCAGAAATCCTGAGCACTTCTCATGTGCCAAGTCCTTCTTAGATCCTAAGAGGAGGAGACATCAGAAAGTCAAGGTCATTGTTTCTTAGGGGTTCAGGGAATGATCTTGGCTCCCAAAGGGAACTGATTGAGACAGGATGCTTGTTTAAAATGCAATCTCCCGGGCCCTACCAGCAGAGATTCTCAGTAGGTAGGTCTCAGTCAGGGTACAGGCATTCATACTGTAAACACACGTCTCAGCTGATTCTTATGCAGGTAGTCCAGAGTCAATACATTAAGATTAAACACTGACCTATAGGGCCATCTGTGGGTTTCCAATAGAAGAATGACAAGATATAGCTTACATTTTAAGAGGCTCGTTTTGGCTGCTGCATGGAAAATGAACTGATGGGGATAAGGGTGGAAGCATGGGACAAGCAGGAGCTATGACCATGGTACAGGAGAGAAAATAGTGGCTGGACCAGGATAGAATCAACAAGGTTAGAGAGAAATAGATGGATATAGGCCATATGACAGAGGTGGAGCCAACAGAACTTGCTGTTGAGTTGAATGTGAGGAGTGAGAGGGGGAAGAACTGAGGATGATGCCATTATTATGATTATAACTACCAAAGTTACAAGTCTATTGTAGTCATCCCATAGTACAATACTTATGAAAGGGAACAGGTAAATACAAAATCAATTTTTCCCATCATAATAATTTAAGTAACTGATTGCAACACATTGATTTCCTTAAATCAATAGCTGTGTCCATCATCATGACTGAATCAATTGTTTAAATATCATTCCTCAGACAAAATACCTTGTTTATGAAGTGTATGACTTCTTTCAGAGAAGTCTACTTCAAATTGTTTCAAACTGTTCATAAAATGTTTCAAGAAGGGATCATAAAACTCTAAAGGCTTTCAAACTGGATAAGGATGCCCTCTTTTCTAAGAAGATGAGAAAACAAGTACAAAAGAGTTAAGTATGCACACAATTGCCATAGAAACATTTCCTGAGTGGTGTAGACTGATTTGGGAAGCAATAATTTCTGTTGGGTACCTACTTTGTATGTGTGTGTGTTTAAAAAAAATTTAATCTCACTTAATCTTTATAATGACCCTGTGAGGTAAAGACCATTATTATCCCCATTTTATTCTCAGTACTTCATAAAGGTGGCAGAATGTCAAGGAATTATTAAACAAATAATAACTTTTACCTCACCTCTCCCATCCAAATAAATTCCAATTAATTAAAAAGTTACATTTTGGAAATAAATCTATTAAACAGTACATCAAAATATAGGTAATGTCAGATCATGGGGTGGAGAAAAAGTTTCTATACATGAAAAAAAGGTCATTTGTTTCTTAAGTTTTTCTTATGGAATGTTTAGGTGCAGATATTTTAAATATATATCTGTAGTCAAATTTAATAGTGTTTTTCAAATGCTTCTTCAAAGTGGGAAAATATACAGCCACTATAACACAGAGCTAATAAACTCTTTACTGTGTGGTGGCTGCTTCAGTGTCAGACTGCTTCAAGCATGTTGGCCACTTGCTAGCTGTATGACTTGGAGCAAATTATTCTAACTTCCCCGTTCCTATTTTCAGCATCTGTAAAATGGGAATAATAATAGTACCTACCTATTTGCATTTTATGAGTATTTAAAAAGTTAATAAATATAACATGCTTAGAACTGGGCCTACCATGCCATAAATGTTCAATGAATGTTATCTATTAGTCTTTTTTTATTATGAAAATTACTACTACAATGCATTAAGAGAATAATCACAATCTCCAAAGAAAAATAAGCATACCTCATAAGAAATAATTTACAACTAAAAAATATAAATGACCAATAAACAATTCTAAATGTTCAACCACACTAGTAATAGAAGAACTGGAAATTTAAAAAGTAAGTAACATTTTTCACCTATCAATTAGACAAAAAAGAACATTTAATTATAATATTCTGGATTGGCACACACCTATAGAAACATTCACCTATACTGCTGGCCAAAGTGAAAACTGGTACAATCATTCTTAAAAGCAATTTAGGAGTAAGAACCTATACCCCTACAAATGACCAGGCCCTTTGGCTGAATGGCCTGACATCTAGGAATCCAGTCTAAGGAACTTATTACATAAACAAATATTCATGTGCAAGGAAGTCCACTGTGGCAGTTTTTCCAAAAATTTGAAAACAGCCAAATGTTCAACTGTAGAAAAAGATATTATGGTACCGCCATACATGAGAATAGTACGTTGCTGCTAAAAATCACATTTTCAAAAAGTATTTCATGATACATAGAGATATTCAAGATACAGTGAGTCAAAGAAGCAGTATACAAACCAGTCTGATCCCATGCATGGATGCACACCTGTGTGTACAAAATATTCTGAAAGAAAATACGCTGTAACATCAACTATGGTTATCGCTGAGAGGTGAGATCAAGAGTAATTTTTATTTTCTTCTTTATGCTTATCTTTAACACATTTCACACAATAATCATGTATTATTTTATCAAGGAAAACATAATTAAAATAAATTTGTGTTTGGTGCTAGGATATTTGGAATCTTAAGAAATTCCAGGAAACCAGAACAGGTGAAACTTTATTAGATAAAGTTTTCTTCTTTGTAGTAAGTAATATGTTTAACTGATCTTAGTTCCAAGATCATCAGAGGTTATAGAGGGAGACTTGACACTGACTTCTCCTTGGTGATCACATCTTCTCTGGAACCAGGGAAAAAGAAGGGGGATCTTCCTGGAAGTAGTTTTTTTTGCATGGCAACTTTCTTCCAGGCTTCTAGGCTTTTCCTCCTGTCTGCATGCTCACTTCCTTTCTACCATGTTGTAGGTAGTGTGTAGCCCTTTCCCAATCTCTCTAGAAAAAAAAAAATCTGAACTAGGATGCTGAGAAGCTTACTCTTGCCTTTATGTTGAGATTATTAAATTTGTTCTTTGCTATGTTTGGGGGTTGGTACTTGGATCTGATATCTTGGCTGTTCCTGATCTTAGCTCTGTCTGCTCGATCCAGGGAGTCTGTACCTTGAGTGATGTCCCTTGGAATAACAGAAACATTATTGCTATGGTTTGAATGTTCCTCTCCAAAATTTAGGTGTTGCCAATGTAATAGTGTTAAGAGGTGGGGTCTTTAAGAGGTGTTTGGGCCATGAAGAGTAATCCTTCATAAAAGAGATTAAGGCTCTTACAAAAGAGGCTTCATGCAGCATTCACTTTGCTTGGCTTTTTGCCTTCTTTTCTCCAGATGATGCAGCAAAAAGGCATCATCTTGGAAGCAGATGGCAGCCCTCACCAGACAACTGGACCTGGAGGTATCTTTCTCTTGGACTTCCTAGCCTCCAGAACGGTGGGAAAATATAATACATTTCTGTTCTTTATAAATTACCCCATCTCATATATTTTGTTATAGCAACACAAACGAACCAGGCAACTATTTTTCTATGGTTTCTCTCGGCAAAGAGGTAGCCATTTGGCTACTTGGTAAGGACCCAGATTCTGTTTTCAACATTAACTATATATTTTCACTCCCTCAGGGATCCTTCTAGACTAGGCAAAGCCTTGGGCCAGGCTGGGACTAGGGCAGCATAAGTGTGGCACCTACTGGCTCCTTGAATTGTATGCTCTAGGTGCTTCACTTACCACACACATCCTAGTCCCTGCCCTGCCTGAAACATAAGACTAACATTTATCCCTAACAAAAAATGTTCAAAGGTTTAAAGTTAGAAAAACATTGATGGAAGACAGCTATTTTGTTTCCTTTTTTCAACTTTATTGAGGTATAAACATTATATATATTCAAGGGTACATTGTAATGTTTTGATATACAGGCATATCTCATCTGCACTTCACAGATATTGCATTTTTCACAAATTAAAGGTCTGTGGCAACTCTACATCCAGGAAGTCCATCAGCACCATTTTTCCAACAGTATGCCTCACTTTTCATCTCTGTGTCACATTTTGGTAATTCTCACAATATTTCAGACTTTTTATTATTATATCTGTGATGAGTTATCTTTGATGTTACTATTGTAACTGTTTTGGGGCACTGCAAACCATGCCCAAAGAAGTTGGCAAAACTTATTGATAAATAATATGTGTGTTCAGACTCCTCCACTGACCAGCTTTTTCCCCATCTCTCTCCTTCTACTCAGGCCTCCCTGTACCCTGAGACATGCGATATTGAAATTGGGCCAATTAATAACCCTACAGTGGCCTCTAAGTGTTTAAGTGAAGAGAAGAATCATACATCTCTCACTTTAAATCAAAAGCTAGAAATGATTAAGTTTAGTGAGGAAGACATGTTGAAAGCTGAGTGATAGAGTTTAGATATGTGTCCCCACCAAAATCTTATGTTGAATTATAATCCCCAGTGCTGGAGGTGGGGCCTGGTAGGAGGTGTTTGGATCATGGGGGTGGATCACTCATGGCTTGGTGCTGTCTTCACAAGAGTGAGTGAGTTTTCATAAGATCTGGTCATTTAAAAGTGTGTGGCACCTCCACCCCAACTCTCTCTCACTTGTTTCCGCTTTCACCATCTGATGTGCCTGCTCCCCCTTCACCTCCTTCCATAACTGTAAGCTTCTCAAGGCCTCCCCAGAAGTCAAGCAGATGCCAGCACCATGCTTCCTGTAAAGCCTGTAGAACTGAGTCAATTAAAACTCTTTTCTTTATAAATTATCCAGCCTCAGGTATCTCTTTATAGCAATGCAAGAATTGCCTAATACACAGAAATGAGTCAAAAGCTAGGCCTCTTGTGTCAGTTAGCCAAGTTGTGAATGCAAAAGAAAAGTTCTTGAAGGAAATTAAAAGTGCACACATGAATGATAAGAAAGCAAAATAGCCTTATTGCTGATATGGAGACAGTTTTAGTGACTTGGATAGAAGTTCAAACCACTCACAACATTCCCTTAAGCCAAAGCTCAATCTAGAGTAAGGCTCTAACTCTCTTCAATTCTATTAGGGCTGAGAGAGGTAAGGAAGCTGCAGAAGAAAAGTCTGAAGCTCACAGATGTGGGTTCATGAGGTTTAAGAAAAGAAGAAGACATCTCCATAGCATAAAATTGCAAAGTGAAGCAGTAAGTGCAGATGGAGATGCTGCAGCCAAGTTATTCAGAAGATCCTGCTTAGATAATTAATGAAAGTGGCTTCATTAAACAATAGACTTTAAATGTAGGTAAAACAGCCTAATATTGGCTACTTGCCCATTTCACAGATGGGGAACTCAGACATAGAGAGGTTAAGTAATTTGCCCAAGAATGCACAGCTACTTAGTAGCAGAGCCAGGATTTGGGATGCAGGCAGTCTGATCCCAGAGCCTGTATGTCTAACCACTTTCTCTACTGCCTTGTACTATAAACACTTGCTATTGGCTTTCCACTACAGATAAAGCATGGAAGGGCAAATTATAGCCATTAGAGAGAATAGAAATGCTATAAGCCTTGCTGTTGGAAATGCAAAATGCAACCCCTTTATGGAGAAAATTTGGTAATATTTAGCAAAAGTATGTGTATTTGCCTTTTGACCTGACAATACCAATTCTATGAATCGATCCCACCGATATACTGGCCAAAATATGAAAACACATATATACAAAGCTATTCATTACAGAATAATTTGTAACAGCAAAAGTCTAGTAACAGTGCAAACGTTCAATAGGGGATCAGTTGAACAAACTACAGCGCATCTACACAACGGAGCACTATGCAGCTGTTAAATGAGGAAGAGCTCTATAAATAAATAAAGTCAGTGGAGAGAAATTTGTGGAGGTAATAGATAAGTTTACGGCCTTGACTGTGGTGGTGATGAACTAAGTAGGTGTGTACTCGTCTCCAAACTCATCAAGTTGCATATATTAAATATGTTCAGCTTTTAAAACATGAAGAAGATCTCAATATACTGCTGTAAAGTGACTTCCAGGAAATTTTGTTAAGCTAAAATAAGGTGTAGAAAAATGCTAACATCATTGTGTCATTGATCCAAGAATAGAGGGATGCAAATATAATATATGAATATTCTTCTATTAAAACATTAAACAATAGAAGGATGAAACTTAAAATTTTTTGAAATGGTTGCCTCTAGAGTTGGATGGAAACAAGGTAGAGAGGAAAGAGATAGAAGCTAGACTTATTCGAATATATACTGGCTTGTAGATTTGACTTTGGAACAATGTAACCATGTTACATAATCATAAAACAACATTATAAAATAGCAATTCCTAAAAATTGAAAGCAAAATGACGTAAACTAATCTAAATGTATATGTAGTTGATGACAGAGAGAAACTATTCCACATGACTTCTAAACACAGGAATTTGATAGTATATCCCTAGAGAGATTTATTTTAAGGACAAAAATAACTTTAAAAAACGTAAATTATTTACAGTAATTATGTTGGCAGTGGTAGCATTAGTACTGTTATTCTGAAACAGTTCTATTTGTAAGGTGAGATAAATTGAATAAGTAATTGTGTGATATTTTAATTCTATCAGTCCCTGTGGCCTTGAAAACTGGGATTCTTAGTGTGGGAGTAAGATGATATGGATGTAAGACTGCAGTTACATAAATACCCTGTAGCACTGAATTTGAATTGATATGAACTCATGTTATATTTAATCTTAAAAATACATTTCCTACTGTTACAATTTGTTTAGAATTTGTCTAGCCAATTTCCCGATTTTCACCAGAAATCCACCCCCATGGAAAAAAAAAATACATTTCTAGCATTTCCACTGAAATGCTCTAGAAACACTGACTGATCCAATATAAATGTATCCCCTTAAAATGCAGATTCTGGCCTTGAAATACCATTTCCCACTAAAAGAAATGAAATACCCTTAGAGAAATGGCTAATTCCAGATCTGGGTCAGGAAACGCGCCAGATGAGCATGGCATATCTTGTCCTACCAGATAACAAGGAAACTATAAAACTACTAGGGCTGTGGCAAAAGGACTCAGGAAATAACTTACTGGCCAAAGATGGCACAATTTAAGTATCAAAAATGACTGCAATTTAACACATTTAATATATTTAAATCCATAATTTTATTATAAAAAAATCTAGTTGGTCCCTTTTTTTCTGATGATAGGGAATCAACTTATTATTTTGAAAATTCATAATTAAAAGGAAAGAATCAGGTATTAGATCTGTATTCCCCATATGAACTATACTACTGGGCAACCAAATCATAGATGAAGGAAATTTATTTTTATAGAAGTATTCTAACCAATAAGTGAAAATATAACTAGAATTAGAATATCACCATTTTGCAATCACTAATGAAGTGATGGATCTAAACACTGACAAATAATGTTTGCTATTATAACAAAACCTAAAGATCTACCTGCTGAAGGCGACAACCAACACTATATATGACACATTACTTTTGCCTCCTCCAAATCAAATCTGAATCAGATCAAGCCTATAGATCCAACTACCAATTCATATGAAATACAAAGGTCAGAGGAACATCTTAACCTATACCATGGGGATTCAATCAACAAAATCCAGATTGTGAGAACCTCTACAGGAAAAATGTTAACTTTTTTTCAGAAAATAAATTATGAGAACAAAAAGATGGAAGAACTTCTTATAGTTTCTAAATATTCTAAAAGACAAATCAATCAATTATAATATATGGACTTTATTTGGATCCTGATTCAAAAAAGTGTATACTGTGTGTGTATATGTGTATATAATTGAAAATTTGAACACTGACCAGGTATTTGATAATATTAAGAAATTTCTGCTATATTGATATTTGATAATTGCATTTTAGTTATGTTATAAAATATTTCATAACTTTTATCGATACATGCTAAAATATGTATGGATTAAATTATACAAAGCGTGGGATTTGCTTCAAAATAATATAGGAGGGAGGAAGTAGGTGGAGCCAGAGATGCAACAAAACTGGCCCTGAATCGATAATTATTGAAGCTGGATAATGGGTATGTGGTGGTTTTTCATACTATTCTCTTTACTCCTGTGCATTTAAAATCTTTCTAATTTTAAAAATAAAGGTCAAGCTGTCTGGCATTAATTGGTAGACAAAGAGAAGGAAAGGTGGAGGAAGAGGTAGGGACACTACAATATTATTCTCATCCCAGAAAATAGAAAGCTAAGAAACTCTTTTTAAAAATGACAACCGTTTAGTGGTTGTCAACCAAATAGAGGTCTACTATTTAAAGTTACAATGTAACTAATAAGAAATGTTATTATTTAAAGTCATAATGTAACTAATGAGAGAATTAAACAATAAAATATCCATGAAATTGTGGAAGATATATTAGTTATCAATTATTGCATGATAAATTACCCCAAAACTTATTTGCTGAAAGCAACAAACATTTTTTTGCTATTTCTGAGGGTCAGGAACCTGAGAGCAGCTTAGCTCAGTGGTTCTGGTTCAGAGTCTTTCAAGAAGTTACAATCAAGCTGTTGGCCCTGGCTGTCATCTGAAGGTTTGACTGGAGCTGGGGGATGTTCTTCTAAGATAGCTTATTCACATGGCTGTTTGCAGGAGGCCTCAATTCCTTACAGACTGTTGACTGTAAGTCTCAGTTCCTTGCCATGTGGACCTCTCCACAGGACTATTTCAGTGTCCTCAATACATGGCAGCTGGCCTCAGCCAGTATGAGTGATGGGGGGCAGGGAGGGAGTGAAAGAGACCAAGGTAGAATCTACAATGTCTTTTATAACCTAACCTCAGAAGTGGCATACCATCACTTCAACCATATGATACTGGTCATGCAGCTCAACTATGGACCCTGGTACAATATGGGAGGGAATTATACAAGGATGTGAATAATAGGAGGTGGAGATAATTGAGGGCCATCTTGGAAGTTGACCACCTCCAAGAAGTGAAAGGTAGTATCCATAAGTGATTGTCTTTATAAATATATAAATAGATAGATATCACAATATGAATATATTCTTTACAGCTATAGAGTTAGCCAACAGAAAAGCTTAAAGCAGGTATAATTAAAGATGTCCACTACTAGGGTGGGGCAGGAGAGGGATAAGGTGTAGAAATATTGCTTTTTGTTTTAGTCCCCTTTATGCTACTTGATTTTTACCATGTTTCTTCATTCAAGTGTAATTACAAAATCAAAGTGACTTGAAAGGTGCTCCCTTACAAAGATAGTACTAAGTAAGTATCTTTGTATATACTTTCTTGATCTGAATTCAGAGGTCAGCGAGGGGCAAGCTCAGGAGTCTGGACCATAAATGGTTCTAGCAAAGATTAGGCAATAGGTTCAGGCAACAAGGATCGAGAGCCGGGCTCAACATAGAGCCACAGTCTTTGTGAATCTACCACTCCCAGGCACAGGGAACAAAATACCCCGACTGTCAAGCTACAATAGGCATCCCTCAGAGGCCAACGTGGCCCGAGAAAGGGTCATCTCACAAAGCTTTGGATTTCAGATCAAGCCCACAGTAGCCTCTCTAGGTTAGGTGCTTTATAAGTGTTCTCTTGACCACCTGCGTGGAACAAACTATGACACAAGCAATGAGGAAATATTTTTGAGCTTCCCACACTTTTTTGGCAACTGCCATCAGGCCCCTCAACATCTCAAGATCAAACATTTATGCAAGAAAGGAATCTGTCATCATTAGAAAGATCTGCCTACTGGAGCATCCTGCCCTTTGGTCCTCATGGGTAGGAGCATTAAGCTTTGTTTAGATTTGTTCGATGGCTGACTTGGATGGTGACTTAGACTTACCCACATTTGGACTCAGGGAGGAGCCAAGATGGCCCAATAGGAACAGCTCTGGTCTACAGCTCCCAGCGTGAGCGACACAGAAGACGGGTGATTTCTGCATTTCCATCTGAGGTACCGGGTTCATCTCACTAGGGAGTGCCAGACAGTGGGTGCAGGTCAGTGGGTGCACGTGCGAGCCGAAGCAGGGTGAGGCATTGCCTCACTCGGGAAGCGCAGGGGGTCAGGGAGTTCCCTTTCCTAGTCAAAGAAAGGGGTGACAGACGGCACCTGGAAGATCGGGTCATTCCCACCCGAATACTGCGCTTTTCTGACGGGCTTAAAAAACGGAGCACCAGGAGATTGTGTCCCGCACCTGGCTCGGAGGGTCCTACGCCCACGGAGTCTCGCCGATTGCTAGCACAACAGTCTGAGATCAAACTGCAAGGCAGCAGCGAAGCTGGGGGAGGGGCGCCCGCCATTGCCCAGGCTTGCTTAGGTAAACAAAGCAGCCAGGAAGCTCGAACTGTGTGGAGCCCACCACAGCTCAAGGAGGCCTGCCTGCCTCTGTAGGCTCCACCTCTGGGGGCAGGGCACAGACAAACAAAAAGACAGCAGTAACCTCTGCAGGCTTAAGTGTCCCTGTCTGACAGCTTTGAAGAGAGCAGTGGTAATCCCAGCACGCAGCTGGAGATCTGAGAACCGGCAGACTGCCTCCTCAAGTGGGTCCCTGACCCCTGACCCCGAGCAGCCTAACTGGGAGGCACCCCCTAGCAGGGGCAGACTGACATCTCACACGCCCGGGTACTCCAACAGACCTGCAGCTGAGGGTCCTATCTGTTAGAAGGAAAACTAACAAACAGAAAGGACACCCACACCAAAAACCTATCTGTACGTCACCATCATCAAAGGCCAAAAGTAGATAAAACCACAAAGATGGGGAAAAAACAGAGCAGAAAAACTGGAAACTCTAAAATGCAGAGTGCCTCTCCTCCTCCAAAGGAACGCAGTTCCTCACCAGCAATGGAACAAAGCTGGATGGAGAATGACTGACAAGCTGAGAGAAGAAGGCTTCAGACGATCAAATTACTCCGAGCTACGGGAGGACATTCAAACCAAAGGCAAAGAAGTTGAAAACTTTGAAAAAAATTTAGAAGAATGTATAACTAGAATAACCAATACAGAGAAGTGCTTAAAGGAGCTGATGGAGCTGAAAACCAAGGCTCGATAAGTACGTGAAGAATGCAGAAGCCTCAGGAGCCAATGCGATCAACTGGAAGAAATGGTATCAGCGATGGAAGATGAAATGAATGAAATGAAGCAAGAAGGGAAGTTTAGAGAAAAAAGAATAAAAAGAAACGAGCAAAGCCTCCAAGAAATATGGGATTATGTGAAAAGACCAAATCTACGTCTGATTGGTGTGCCTAAAAGTGACGGGGAGAATGGAAACAAGTTGGAAAACACTCTGCAGGATATTATCCAGGAGAACTTCCCCAATCTAGCAAGGCAGGCCAACGTTCAGATTCAGGAAATACAGAGAACGCCACAAAGATACTCCTTGAGAAGGGCAACTCCAAGACACATAATTGTCAGATTCACCAAAGTTGAAATGAAGGAAAAAATGTTAAGGGCAGCCAGAGAGAAAGGTCGGGTTACCCTCAAAGGGAAGCCCATCAGACTAACAGCAGATCTCTTGGCAGAAACTCTACAAGCCAGAAGAGAGTGGGGGCCAATATTCAACATTCTTAAAGAAAAGAATTTTCAACCCAGAATTTCATATCCAGCCAAACTAAGCTTCATAAGTGAAGGAGAAATAAAATACTTTACAGATAAGCAAATGCTGAGAGATTTTGTCACCACCAGGCCTGCCCTAAAAGAGCGCCTGAAGGAAGCACTAAACATGGAAAGGAACAAGTGGTACCAGCCACTGCAAAAACAGGCCAAATCGTAAAGACCACTGATGCTAGGAAGAAACTTCATCAACTAACAAGCAAAATCACCAGCTAACATCGTAATGACAGGATCAAATTCACACATAACAATACTAACCTTAAATGTAAATGGGCTAAATGCTCCAATTAAAAGACACAGACTGGCAAATTGGATAAAGAGTCAAGACCCATCAGTGTGCTGTATTCAGGAAACCCATCTCATGTGCAGAGACACACATAGGCTCAAAATAAAGGGATGGAGGAAGATCTACCAAGCAAATGGAAAACAAAAAAAGGCAGGGGTTGCAATCCTAGTCTCTGATAAAACAGACTTTAAACCAACAAAGATCAAAAGAGACAAAGAAGGCCATTACATAATGGTAAAGGGATCAATTCAACAAGAAGAGCTAACTATCCTAAATATATATGCACCCAATACAGGAGCACCCAGATTCATAAAGCAAGTCCTGAGTGACCTACAAAGAGACTTAGACTCCCACACAATAATAATGGGAGACTTTAACACCCCACTGTCAATATTAGACAGATCAATGAGACAGAAAGTAAACAAGGATACCCAGGAATAGAACCCAGCTCTGCACCAAGCAGACGTAATAGACATCTACAGAACTCTCCACCCCAAATCAACAGAATATACATTTTTTTCAGCACCACACCACACCTATTCCAAAATTGACCACATAGTTGGAAGTAAAGCTCTCCTCAGCAAATGTAAAAGAACAGAAATTATAACAAACTATCTCTCAGACCACAGTGCAATCAAACTAGAACTCAGGATTAAGAATCTCACTCAAAACTGCTCAACTACATGGAAACTGAACAATCTGCTCCTGAATGACTACTGGGTACATAACGAAATGAAGGCAGAAGTAAAGATGTTCTTTGAAACCAACGAGAACAAAGACACAACATACCAGAATCTCTGGGACGCATTCAAAGCAGTGTGTAGAGGGAAATTTATAGCACTACATGCCCACAAGAGAAAGCAGGAAAGATCCAAAATTGACACCCTAACATCACAATTAAAAGAACTAGAAAAGCAAGAGCAAACACATTCAAAAGCTAGCAGAAGGCAAGAAATAACTAAAATCAGAGCAGAACTGAAGGAAATAGAGACCAAAAAAAACCCTTCAAAAAATTAATGAATCCAGGAGCTGGTATTTTGAAAGGATCAACAAAATTGAGAGACCACTAGCAAGACTAATAAAGAAAAAAAGAGAGAAGAATCAAATAGACACAATAAAAAATGATAAAGGGGATATCACCACCGATCCCACAGAAATACAGACTACCATCAGAGAATACTACAAACACCTCTACGCAAATAAACTAGAAAATCTAGAAGAAATGGATACATTCCTCGACACATACACTCTCCCAAGACTAAACCAGGAAGAAGTTGAATCTCTGAATAGACCAATAACAGGATCTGAAATTGTGGCAATAATCAATAGCTTACCAACCAAAAAGAGTCCAGGACCAGATGGATTCACAGCCGAATTCTACCAGAGGTACAAGGAGGAACTGGTACCATTCCTTCTGAAACTATTCCAATCAATAGAAAAAGAGGGAATCCTCCCTAACTCATTTTATGAGGCCAGCATCATCCTGATACCAAAGCCGGGCAGAGACACAACCAAAAAAGAGAATTTTAGACCAATATCCTTGATGAACATTGATGCAAAAATCCTCAGTAAAATACTGGCAAACCGAATCCAGCAGCACATCAAAAAGCTTATCCACCATGATCAAGTGGGCTTCATCCCTGGGATGCAAGGCTGGTTCAATATACGCAAATCAATAAATGTAATACAGCATATAAACAGAACCAAAGACAAAAACCACATGATTATCTCAACAGATGCAGAAAAGGCCTTTGACAAAATTCACCAACCCTTCATGCTAAAAACTCTCAATAAATTAGGTATTGATGGGACGTATTTCAAAATAATAACAGCTATCTATGACAAACCCACAGCCAATATCATACTGAATGGGCAAAAACTGGAAGCATTCCCTTTGAAAACTGGCACAAGACAGGGATGCCCTCTCTCACCACTCCTATTCAACATAGTGTTGGAAGTTCTGGCCAGGGCAATTAGGCAGGAGGAAATAAAAGGCATTCATTTAGGAAAAGAGGAAGTCAAATTGTCCCTGTCTGCAGACGACATGATAGTATATCTAGAAAACCCCACTGTCTCAGCCCAAAATCTCCTTAAACTGATAAGCAACTTCAGCAAAGTCTCAGGATACAAAATCAATGTACAAAAATCACAAGCATTCTTATACACCAACAACAGACAAACAGAGAGCCAAATCATGAGTGAACTCCCATCCACAATTGCTTCAAAGAGAATAAAATACCTAGGAATCCAACTTACAAGGGATGTGAAGGACCTCTTCAAGGAGAACTACAAACCACTGCTCAAGGAAATAAAAGAGGATACAAACAAATGGAAGAACATTCCATGCTCATGGGTAGGAAGAATCAATATCGTGAAAATGGCCATGCTGCCCAAGGTAATTTACAGATTCAACGCCATCCCCATCAAGCTACCAATGACTTTCTTCACAGAATTGGAAAAAACTACTTTAAAGTTCATATGGAACCAAAAAAGAGCCCGCATCGCCAAGTGAATCCTAAGCCAAAAGAACAAAGCTGGAGGCATCACACTACCTGACTTCAAACTATACTACAAGGCTACAGTAACCAAAACAGCATGGTACTGGTACCAAAACAGAGATATAGATCAATGTAACAGAATAGAGCCCTCAGAAATAACGCCGCATATCTACAACTATCTGATCTTTGACAAACCTGAGAAAAACAAGCAATGGGGAAAGGATTCCCTATTTAATAAATGGTGCTGGGAAAACTGGCTAGCCATATGTAGAAAGCTGAAACTGGATCCCTTCCTTACACCTTATACAAAAATCAATTCAAGATGGATTAAAGACTTAAACGTTCGACCTGAAACCATAAAAACCCTAGAAGAAAACCTAGGCAATACCATTCAGGACATAGGCATGGGCAAGGACTTCATGTCTAAAACACCAAAAGCAATGGCAACAAAAGCCAAAATTGACAAATGGGATCTAATTAAACTAAAGAGCTTCTGCACAGCAAAAGAAACTACCATCAGAGTGAACAGGCAACCTACAAAATGGGAGAAAATTTTCGCAACCTACTCATCTGACAAAGGGCTAATATCCAGAATCTACAATGAACTCAAACAAATTTACAAGAAAAAACAAACAACCCCATCAAAAAGTGGGCGAAGGACATGAACAGACACTTCTCAAAAGAAGACATTTATGCAGCCAAAAAACACATGAAAAAATGCTCACCATCACTGGCCATCAGAGAAATGCAAATCAAAACCACAATGAGATACCATCTCACACCAGTTAGAATGGCAATCATTAAAAAGTCAGGAAACAACAGGTGCTGGAGAGGATGTGGAGAAATAGGAACACTTTTACACTGTTGGTGGGACTGTAAACTAGTTCAACCATTGTGGAAGTCAGTGTGGCGATTCCTCAGGGATCTAGAACTAGAAATACCATTTGACCCAGCCATCCCATTACTGGGTATATACCCAAAGGACTATAAATCATTCTGCTATAAAGACACATGCACACGTATGTTTATTGTGGCATTATTCACAATAGCAAAGACTTGGAGCCAACCCAAATGTCCAACAATGATAGACTGGATTAAGAAAATGTGGCACATATACACCATGGAATACTGTGCAGCCATAAAAAATGATGAGTTCATGTCCTTTGTAGGGACATGGATGAAATTGGAAATCATCATTCTCAGTAAACTATCGCAAGAACAAAAAACCAAACACCGCATATTCTCACTCATAGGTGGGAATTGAACAATGAGAACACATGGACACAGGAAGGGGAACATCACACTCTGGGGACTGTGGTGGGGTCGGGGGAGGGGGGAGGGATAGCATTGGGAGATATACCTAATGCTAGATGACGAGTTGGTGGGTGCAGCGCACCAGCATGGCACATGTATACATATGTAACTAACCTGCACATTGTGCATATGTACCCTAAAACTTAAAGTATAATAATAATAAATAAAAAATTTAAAAAAAGAAAGACTTACCCACATTTCAAATTCACTGGGCTTTATAGACTTAAAACTTCTGAAGGTACTCAGGACCCTACTCTGATAGACCTTCAATGTCCTCCCACCACTCCACCTCCCATCCTCAATGATCTACAGCTGCTCAGAAGAACCTCTTGTTCCTAAAACAATGAAGATACACTTTTCTAAAAGAGTCTCTGCACTTAAAAGACTAATCTAAAACACAGTATAATACGGCTATGAGTATTTAATATTATTATGGTTGTCAGTTGATTTAAATATTTTAATGAGTGGCTTTATTATGCTTCTGTCCTATTATGCTTCTGTCCTAAGGCTTTAGGCATAATACAATTGTAAAACTCCAATGTCCTTGTAGCCATATTTCTTTGGCATTTTAGTAGTTTGTGGAAAAGGTCCAAATCATGATTGTTATGGCTCACACCAACAGATGACATCAGCAGTGATTTTGTACAAAGAACCTTGAACTAGGTATCAGGAGCCATGCATTTAAATTCCATATCAAAACATCATGTTGTATACCTTCAGTATATGCACTTTTTATTCATCATTTATACCTCAATAAAGCTGGAGAAAATAAATAATATATACATGATGAAATACAGAACTAAACAAAGGGTATAACTATGTTAATAATTGAAAAAATGATGGATAAAAAGTAAAAATTACAGCTGAGTAAAAAAATTAATAAATTCCAGATCTGCCACTTACCAGCTAGGTGACCTTGCATGAGCTTCTTAGCCAGTGTGAGCCTATGTTTTGTTATCTGTAAAATTAAGATAATGAGCCTGACTAAAATAGTTTTTTGTGAATCAAACTGGATAACATGTGAACATATTTTCTTTCTTTCTTTTTTTTTTTTTTTTGAGACAGAGTCTCGCTCTGTCACCCAGGCTGGAGTGCAGTGGCACTATCTCTGCTCACTGCAACCTCCGCCTCCCAGGTTCAAGCAATTTTCCTGCCTCAGCCTCCTGAGTAGTTGGGATTACAGGCATGCACTACCACACCCGGCTAATTTTTTTTTGTCTTTTTAGTAGGGATGGGGTTTCACCATATTGGTCAGGCTGGCCTAAAACTCCTGGCCTTGTGATCTGCCCACCTCGGCCTCCCAAAATGCTGGGATTGCAGGTGTGAGCCACTGTGCCCAGCCGTGAACATATTTTCTAAACTATAAAGTGAACGGCACACAGAAAAGATTTACACTCCTTTGTACAAGTGAAAAAATATGTAGTAATTTGAAAAGCTAAATTCTAAGTTCTTTCATTCACAAAGACATACTGAGCTTCCACCATTCACCTAGGAGGAACTCTCCACCCCTTTTTGTCTCCAAGCCTGCTTGTATCAGCTGTGTCTGTGAGCAACACAGAGGAGCCACCCCATACCCATAGTGCCTGCACAGTGTCTGGCACAAAGGACACCTGATACACACTTACTTCACTGGAATGAACAGCCCTCCCTCCCACCAAAATTCTATTAAGCCTCTACTTCCAGGGCTCTCTGAAAGCTGCTGCATCCCATAGTCCAGTGAGATCACATGACTTACTGCATGGCCTCCTGCAGCTAGCCTTTACCTTGAGTCTATGAACATCAGCAATGGCATCTGACCACAGGCTCCCTTGGCTTGGATGGTAACTTGGAATTACCCACAATTCAAATTTGATTGGCTTTATAGACTTAAAACTTCTGCTCTTTTTATTAGAATTTGACCTCAGTATGGATCATAGGTGCTTAGTTTCTTCCTCTCTTAATTTTTAGAGATTAATTACTATAGTAGGAATTCTGTTGCTTTCTAAGATATTTATTCTTTTTAGTTTCATCCAGAACTGGAAAGATATCAAGGCGACAAGACTTGTGTATCAGTCACAGCCAGAGTCATTGGCAGATGGGATGATAGGTAAAATGAGACTGGACCCAGTTTGGGCCAACAAGTGGCACAGGAATTAGCAAAGGGTGACAAAGATTATATTGCTAGTAGAATTGGGCAAGGTTCAAGGAAGCCAGAAGCAGCAAGTTCAGTAGAGGCCAAGAGTTCTGTTTACCTGCTAAGAGAGGAGCAGACAAAGGCACTCAGATATCCTGGCAAACTTCTTGAAAGACAGAGCTGGTTAGACTGAGGATGTGTTCTGATTGCTGCCTCTGAGCTTCACTGTTAGACACTCGGCATTCAGTTCTGCTGGATCTTCAACCCCTTCCTCCAACCCCCATCACTTTTAGAGCTGGTGTTGGACCAACTAAGCCCAAAGACATAAAACGAAAGGGCAAAGATATATCTACAAATACAAATAAACACGATTGGTACTATTACTATCAAAGTAGAGTTTAAGGCAACAGTATTAAGCAGAAGAGAGAGATTTTATATAAATAAAACACACAGTTCAGCAAAAAGTAGTAAGCATTGTGAATCTTAAAATACCAAAGTATCCTGCATCGATTTTTTTTTTTTTTTGAGACAGGGTCTCGCTCTGTCGCCCAGGCTGGGGTGCAGTGGCACGATCTTGGCTCACTGCAACCTCTGCCTCTTGGGTTCAAATGATTCTCCTGCCTCAGCCTCCCGAGTAACTGGGATTACAGGCACACATCACCATGCCTGGCTAATTTTCGTATTTTTAGTAGAGACAGAGTTTCCTCATGTTGGCCAGACTGGTCTCAAACTCATGACCTCAGGTGATCTGCCCACCTCGGCCTCCCAAAGTGCTGCTGGGATTACAGACATGAGCCACTGTGCCCAGCCCAGCTTCAAAATTTATAAAGCAAAGATTATAGAACAAAGAGGAGGACATGAAAATGGAGAGGAAAATCGGACCCACGTGGTGGAGGGACTTGAATACTTTGGAAGGAATCTGTACTCTATAGGAGACAGGAAACCAAGTAATCTCTCTGGTCCTTGGCTGTGCCTTTGATTTTCCTGCTTGTGTCAAGCTCTGTCTGTGAGCAACCCCAGGAAGCTACCCTGCATCCCCAGTGTCAGCCACATTGGACACAGAGGCCACCTAGGACATACAACTTCTCTAGAATAAATGGAAATGATCTCCATGACCCTGCTCCCCATCCAAACTAAATTCATTCTTGAAGATACATATCACAACCCATCTCTTATATCAAGCTTTCTTCCCACCCAGTATCCCTCATGACCTCCTTCTCCCAACTCTGAGCCCTTGGAACGATCATCAGTAAAACTCTTTGGGAAATTAATCACACCCTGCTTGTGATCTATCTTCTTCTGTGTTATCTATTTGAGCTATCGCTTGAATCTTGCCTTATCACTTCACTTTTCACAAACTTGTTTTTATCTGCCAGACTTAGCTATATACCTCAGAGGCCTGATGTGGTCTGATATTTTTTGTTGTTGTTTACAGCAGCATCACCATCCTGCTAGAACAACTGCATAACTGCATATGTAGAGTGCTTTCTGAGAAAGCAGACTCTGGGACAGCGGGTGGATGGGCCTGAAAGGCAAGAGGCTTTCTCTGATAGGAACCTGCTATGATCATACAAGGCAGGGGTAAGGAGATTTTCATGGTTAATACTATATGTCACGTTGACATATGCCCATAGCATGCTCAGATATCTGATTCAAAACATTATTTCTGGGCATGTCTGTGAGAATGTTTCTGGAAGAGACTGGCATTTGAATTGGTTGACTGAGTAAAAAATATGGCTCTCCCTAATGTGGGTGGGCATTATCCAATCTGTTGAGGGCCTAAATAAAACAAAAAAGCAGAGGAAGATTGGATTTGTCCTCCCTCTGCCTGAATGCTTGAATGAAGAACATCGATCTTCTCCTAACTTCGGAGCTCCTGGTTGGTTCTCAGGCTTTCAGATTCAGATAGGAATCTACACCAATGGCCCTCCAGTTATCAGAACTCCCATTTATACCACTGGCTTTCCTGGGGCTTCATCTTCCAGACAGAAGATCATGGGACTTCTCGGCCTTCAAATCACATGAGTCAATGCCTTATAATAATGATAATAATTTCAGATAGATAGATGATAGATAGATGATAGATAGATAGATAGATAGATAATCTGAGACAACTGTTTCAGTCAGATACGTGCATTTGTGTGTGTGTATATATATTCTCCTATTTGTTCTGTTTCTTTGTGTCTCTGGAGAACCCTGACTGATACAGAGATGGTATTTGCTTATGCTAGAAGGAAATGACGCAAGTAAATTCTCAGGAAGAAACAGGGCTGAATGGACTAAAAGGAGTAAGAGAGTCAAGGATATCTCTAGCTGATTTGGTTATGATCTGCAAGGTTCCAAGCATGGTGCTGACATCCATGACCCAAGATAAGCCCTCCATACCAAAAGAGCACTATTAGCCAAAGGCCATTTGCTCAGTTGGTTCAGGACCAAATCATCCACTGCTTCTGACCCATGTAGGGATGGCACAGGGGAGGAGGAAGGGTAGTTCAGCAGAGGCCCCTCTCATGCAAGCATTCTGCCTGTGCTCCTGGCACTCCCAGTGCCCCACCCTGCAGATTACCCAAGCCCTTTTCAGACCAAAAGATAAAGATCCCTATGGAGGAGTGGAACACCCCTCTGGCTCCCAATATCAAAGATTAGATACAGACAAGCCCTGTCTAGAGCCCACCAGCTCTAGATGCCAGACCACAAAGGGCTCCTCAGAAAGCATGATTCTCCCCCACTCCCCTGGTGTGCTTAGCAGCAGACACGTGGCTCACCAGTGTAACTCTACCCCCACCCCAATGCATCTAAGGGCAGTCCTTCCTCTGCTGCCTGAATACAGCCCTCAGAAGCTGGCTTCTCCACGTGCTCCAGGCAGAAGTAATGGTTCCCTCAAATCATTCAGTTTGTACTTCTCTGTGAAAGGCTGTATGGAAGAGGGAAAATCACAGGGACTTGAGAGTCAGAGAAACCTGGGTTAGTATCTTTGTGACCCTGAGCAAATCATCTCCCATATCTGGGCTACATACCCAACAGGTTGTTGCCAGGGTTAAATGGCACCTAGCACAAGTAAGCACCCAAGAAGCAGTAACAGTTATTGCTATCACTCTGTGCTGTGATAAAGTTAATCAAGGAAAAGTTCAGAAAGGGAAGCAATCTGTGAATGTCTGGGAGTACTGAAACAGGCTTGCCTAAGGCCTGAGCAGAGCCTTAGCTTAGTCTGCCTCTTGCACAGGTGAGGCGCATAATTGCCCAAAACACCCCTACAGGAGACCCAGCAGGGGTTGAACTCCCCTTCCTGCTGGCCAAGCCTGGAGCCTGCATCTTATTTGCATACTGATTAACACTAGTTAGGAGAAATGCATGATCATGATCCTTGTCCTGTAAAGGCTGGGTAGAAACAAAGTCAATGTGAAGCAGAATAGTCTTTCAGCCAAATGGATATGCTTACTCCCTGAAGCAACAACTGAGGAGGGCTTTGAACTCTGCTGGGAGCTTGCTAGCATCTCAGGAAATTCTCTTGCAGGGACTGAAATTCTCTTGCAGGAACTGAGTCAATGAGCCATGCCCCTTCTGTGTGTACGGTTTCTAGCTTTTTTGTTTTTTGTTTTTTGTTTTTTTTGGAGACGGAGTCTCGCTCTGTCGCCAGGCTGGAGTGCAGTGGTGCGATCTCGGCTCACTGCAGCTTCCACTTCCCGGGTTCAAGCGATTCTCCTGCCTCAGCCTCCCGAGTATCTGGGAGTACAGGCACGTGCCACCACGCCCAGCTAACTTTTGTATTTTTAGTAGAGATGGGGTTTCAACATGTTGGCCAGGATGGTCTCTATCTCTTGACCTCGTAATCTGCCCACCTTGGCCTCCCAAAGTGCTGGGATTACAGGCGTCAGCCACAGTGCCTAGCCTTCTAAGGCATTTTTAGAGCCATTTTCTCATCTGGTCCTCTAAATAACCCTGTGAGGTAGGTATGAATAAACCCATTTCACAGAGCAAGAGACTGCAGGCTCAGAAGGATAAAGAGATTAATCTAAGGTCACTCAGATATATATACACACACACACACATACACGCGGTTTTCAAGTTCAAATTCAAACAAGTCTGTCTGGAGCCTCCAGAACTCAGGCTTTCTACCCCACTCCACTACCTCTTAGTACTTCCTTCTCTCTTCTTTACTACCCTGCCAAAAAAGTCTATCATTCTCTAATTTATTCTTCTTTTCTGTGGCTCCTGCTCACCTAGGAGTTTATAGCCACAGAATCTAGCCAAGCCCTCAGGCCAGAAAAATGAAGATACCTGCAAGCAGTGACCCGGCAGCTTCTGTTTTCAACAGTTTAATTTCAAAGGAAATGGACCTCACTTAACTAAATTTCCTTTTCTATTTTTTCTAGCTATTAAAGAACTTGCATATCTAATAAATAT
This sequence comes from Homo sapiens, assembly GCF_000001405.40. Taxonomy (NCBI): domain Eukaryota; kingdom Metazoa; phylum Chordata; class Mammalia; order Primates; family Hominidae; genus Homo; species Homo sapiens. Next base: position 149,346,377 of record NC_000023.11, read on the forward strand.
TTAATAGGAATTTGCCTCCAGCTGAATTCAGGCCCCTCAGCATCTCATTACTATGTCTTAGAATAGTATCCTCATTGTCACTTGCTTAATTATGCTCAGAAAGAGTTGAATTGTGTGGCTGTTGGGATCAGAAAGTGATTAAATTCACTTGGCAAGACTTTGGATATCTCATTATGATCCTCATTTAGCATTTCTAATGGAGTTATTTTTTTTTCCCCAATACTGACTTGGGAAAGGCTTGTTCCGTGGCGCTAACTATTTCCCTGAGCCTCGCACAACTTCATACTGTGCCAGAAAAGATCAGAAGTTACTTCACACCTCATTTGCACTCCCAAGAAAAACAGCCATCCAAAGGACAATGATATAAGGCCCTGGAGAAAGGGGTGGGGAAGTTAGACTTTGAGACACTTTCCAGATCACTCAGTCTAGTCCTGTCTGATGGTTGAATCCCTTTTCCAGCAGCAGTATCAAAGGCTAGTCCAGGTCTGGCTTGGATTCCTCCAATATCAGGAAATTCACTTGGCCTTAAGGCAGCCTGCTCTCTCTTTAAAGGACTCAGTAAAACCTTCATTGCTTTCAATCATTGGTCCTCACGCTGTTCTCCAGGTCATCCCTGGCTTTGTTTGAGAATAAATTATATCTCTCTTTTAGAAGATCCTTTGGTGATTTGGAGATTCATTCTAATGGCAACTTGAATTTTTTCTTCTATCAGTTAAGTATCCCCATTTCCTTCCTCCATTTCTCATATGATGTGATTTCCAGTCCCTTTCTCAACTAAATAATACTCTCTTATCTTTCTTCTTCCCCCGCTTCCTTCCTCCCTTTTCTTCTTGAGTGCCTACCCTGCTAAGTAAAAGCTATAAAGGTAGATTCTGGACATAGAGCAGTGAATATGTCAAATATGACCCCTGCCCTCCCTTCCAGGGCTTAGAATCTAAGCGGAGAGAGAAACAAGCACACAGACCTCTACAATGGTGATGTAAGCAGTATGTGAGTAACAAGAGGTGGAGAAGTATCTGACATTTATTGGAAGTTGACTTTGTGCCCTGCCCCACGCAAAGTACTTTCTATTATTTCACTTATTCTTCACAATACCCCACTTCTTCAGAGGAGGAAACTGAAGCACACAGAAGTTAAGCAATTTTCCCAAGATCGCACAATAAGTAGTAGATCGAGGATATAAACCCATAGAATACACTGTTATCAGACTCTTTGAATATAGAGCCCAGATTTTGATTCAGTACCTCAAGAGTCCTCTGATCAGTCAAGAAAGCACAGCACTTCACGTCTGAATACTCTTTCTTTGCCTCCATCTGAACTCCTCTTTCTTGTCTTGGGAGCATGACCCTTCCAAATGCTGGTTCCTTTAAATGTGTTGATAACAAAACCCGGAGATTCTGCTTGCCTATTGCTCATCTCAAGCAACCCCTCTGAGCCCTCTTCCACCCTGCCCCTCCCCAGCTTTCCCTCACAGAAGAGGTCCTGCTAGGCCCCTGCACCTAGGCCCACATGCCTGCAGCCCAGTTTTGACCAAAAAGGATTGAATCCTGGAAGGGTGGCCTAAAGGAGGGTTCCGACTGATAGCCAGATGTTTCCCAACATCCCTGGGCCTTATTTTTGGAAAAACTTGTTTCTTCTGCACATGAATGAAATAGATACGACAGTGATAGTCACAGGTTCCAGCCCAAACAAACTGTGTATTCTACTCATGTCTCTTCTTTGGTTGAACCTTTCTGATAAAAGGTTGACATGCCAGGGGTGAGGCCAGTAGGCAAACAAGTTTAAAAAGGTGTACTCTGACTTCCAAGGAGAGGTGAGATGGAGCAGGGAATCTCCCTCTTATGGGTCTAGGAGCCCCCAAGTTGGAAATAAAGGAAAATCTTGAGCTCCTTCAAGGGAAATTCTAGGCACCTAGTTAGCCCTGAGAAGTAAATAAGCAACTAGATAAGCAAGAAGGTAATAGCAGCTTAAAACACTAGCCAAGGAAGTTAGAGTCAGGAAGTATTTGACTCCCCTCTGGTAAGATGGAACTGAAGACTGAACTCTGACCACTATTCTTTGTTCTAAATTTCTTCCTGAGGAGCCTGGAGGGAGTCACACCCATGAGCCAGAGCTATCATTATTTTCGGCTGATCCCAAATTTTTAAAGAATGCTTCTCTTCCTTAACCAATTGCAAATCAGAAAATCTTTTACTCTACCTATGACCTATAAGCTGCTGCTTCAAAAACAGCCCACATTGCCAGGTCAATCCTAAGCCAAAAGAACAAAGCTGGAGGCATCACGCTACCTGACTTCAAACTATGCTACAAGGCTACAGTAAGCAAAACAGCATGGTACTGGTACCAAAACAGAGATATAGACCAATGGAACAGAACAGAGCCCTCAGAAATAATGCCACATATCTACAACTATCTGATCTTTGACAAACCTGAGAAAAACAAGAAATGAGGAAAGGATTCCCTATTTAATAAATGGTGCTGGGAAAACTGGCTAGCCATATGTAGAAAGCTGAAACTGGATCCTTTCCTTACACCTTATACAAAAATCAATTCAAGATGGATTAAAGACTTAAACGTTAGACCTAAAACCATAAAAACCCTAGAAGAAAACCTAGGCAATACCATTCAGGACATAGGCATGGGCAAGGACTTCATGTCAAAACACCAAAAGCAATGGCAACAAAAGCCAAAATTGACCAATGGTATCTAATTAAACTAAAGAGCTTCTGCATGGCAAAAGAAACTACCATCAGAGTGAACAGACAACCTACAGAATGGGAGAAAATTTTTGCAATCTACTCATCTGACAAAGGGCTAATATCCAGAATCTACAATGAACTCAAACAAATTTACAAGAAAAAAACAAACAACCCTATCAAAAAGTGGGTGAAGGACATGAACAGACATTTCTTAAAAGAAGACATTTATGCAGCCAACAGACACATGAAAAAATGCTCTTCATCACTGGCCATCAGAGAAATGCAAATCAAAACCACAATGAGATACCATCTCACACCAGTTAGAATGGCAATCATTAAAAAGTCAGGAAACAACAGGTGCTGGAGAGGATGTGGAGAAATAGGAACACTTTTACACTGTTGGTGGGACTGTAAACTAGTTCAACCATTGTGGAAGTCAGTGTGGCGATTCCTCAGGGATCTAGATTCAGAAATACCATTTGACCCAGCCATCGCATTACTGGGTATATACCCAAAGGATTATAAATCATGCTGCTATAAAGGCACATGCACACGTATGTTTATTGCGGCACTATTCACAATAGCAAAGACTTGGAACCAAGCCAAATGTCCAACAATGATAGACTGGATTAAGAAAATGTGGCACATATACACCATGGAATACTATGCAGCCATAAAAAAGGATGAGTTCATGTCCTTTGTAGGGACATGGATGAAGCTGGAAACCATCATTCTCAGCAAACTATCGCAAGGACAAAAACCAAACACCGCATGTTCTCACTCATAGGTGGGAATTGAGCAATGAGAACACATGGACACAGGAAGGGGAACATCACACTCTGGGGCCTGTTGTGGGGTGGGGGGAGGGGGGAGGGATAGCATTAGGAGATATACCTAATGTTAAATGACGAGTTAATGGGTGCAGCACACCAACATGGCACATGTACACATATGTAACAAACCTGCACGTTGTGCCCATGTACCCTAAACCCTAAAGTATAATAATAAAAAAAAGATATCCCAAATCTCTATGTATTGATTTGTGATTTTGCCTACAACTTCTGCTTTCCTGAAATTTATCCCCCTTTAAAAAACTCTTGCTTGCAAGATATCAGGGAGGTCTGGATTTGAGCATTAGCTGCCTAGTCCTTCTTGCTTGGTGCTCTGCACATAAACATCCTCTTTTCTCCCACTGCAAACCTTGATGTTAATATCTGGTCTTCATGTGCCCTTTGAGCAGATCCCAGTTCAGTTCTGAAACAGAGGCTACTCCTTGCATGAGAAGAATCAATCTGAAAACTAAAATGGGTCACCCCAGTTCTGTCACCAAGTTGCACTGTGAGCTTGAACAAGTCTCTTCCCCTACCTAGGTCCTTTATTTCTTAAATAATGAGTGGTTTAAGCAAGCCAACTTCCATGGGCCCCTCTAGCTTTAAGATATGATGGGTTCAAGTCCATTTATTAAGAACTTTCTCTTTCAAGAACATCTATAAGTGCCTACTAAGTGCAAATCCCTGTAGAGAAGGGGCAAACTCGATTCTGGGGAAGAATTATTGAGGAGCCAGAGGCAATCATTGTGATGAAAAATCTCAGCCCTCCCTAAGACCTCCCTTTTGCCCAATTGGTGGCTTTTTGCAAGCCTAGCCCCATGTCCTTAGAAGTACCAGTACCAAACAGCAGGGCAGAAGGAGGAAGTTCCAACCTCAACTATAAACTGGTTTCTAGTACCTTTCAGGCTACTCCCCCAGTAATAAGCCAGCTATCTTGACTCTGGGACTAGAGCTCCTTCTAATTTGCTTCTTCCCGAGAAAGGTAGGAGAATTAAATGCAATCCCTGACTTGCCAAACTCAAACTAAGATGACATTCCAAAAACACATGGAACCATTGTCAGTATTCACCACTATTAGGGTTATCATCTGTCCTCAAACAGAACAGGAGAGCAGAGTGCTGATATTTGGAAAGAAAAGGAATGCCTCAAAGTAATATGAAAAGGTATCATTGGGATTGGCCTGTCAGCTGAGAGCACAAAGACCAAACAAGCTGGTACCCCCTTGGGTGAATATACAGAGCCTGGCCCACATCCCCTAAGCACTAATGATGAGCACATAATTATTTCAGGGTTGATTAGACTTAGGGGTGCTCATCCATCTCTCAAAAGCTCCAATGGCCATAAGAAAGAAAACCAAAAAGGCTCTTTACTGGATTAAAATAAGGAAATAAAACTGCCAAGGAACCTAGACATTTTGGGTCCCTGAGAAGCCAACTTGCCATTAGAAAGTTGCTTGGGCAACATGGAGGCACAACTATAGATCCTTCGGATGGATTGTATCTATCAGGGGCTTGAATGTTTTCCTGGGCACATGAGGAAGTTGAACAAGGTGAAACAGAGAAGTTCCTTTATCCCCCATGTAGGGCGTGCCACAGGGGTGTGGGTCGCTTCTTAGATGCCCCGCTGCTCAAACCCCTAGAGGGAGCATGCAGATGGGCAGGTCATGGGGAGCGCTTTGGGGCTCCGTCACTACCATAGCGTCTAGGGTAGACTGTTAACAGCTCCCGAAGCCCCAGTGGGTGTGTGTTTCAGTGTCCTCTTTCAGTTTTGCTGTCTGCAGGTGGCTTGTGTTAATCAGCTCAATTAGACCCTCTGCTTTATCTCAAAGACAGAGGGCTTTCTGTATCCCGGATTCTTGCCCTAGTGTACCAGAAAAATTGGACCACACATGGGCTTGGAGGATGAGTGAAAGGTTTTATTGAGTGATGAAAATAGCTCTCAGTGAGATGGATGAGGAGGCCAGAAGGGAGATGGAGTGGGAATGTAGTCTTCTCTTGGAGTCGAACCACCCAATGCCTGGACCCTCCTCCGACTGCCCCCAACCGAATTCCATGTTGCCCCACTGTTGATGGCCTGACGGCATCTGCTGGTGTCTGTCAGTGTGCTCTTCTGCTCCTCTGCTCCTCTCAACGTCCAGCTGCTTGTGCATGTGCCCGCTAGGGTCTCGGGGTTTTTATAGGCACAGGATGGGGGCATGGTGGGCCAGAGTGGTTTTGGAAAATGCAAAGTTTGGGCACAAAAACAGAAGTGCTTGCCCTCACTTAGGTCCGTGGCACAGGCCCAAGGGTGAAGCCATCTCCAGGGACACTGCCCTTCTCTACCCAGCACTTCCCTGCCCCCCTCCTGTATCAAAGGCAGTCTTGGATCTCCTATTCAGCACTGAAAATGCATAGAATAACCATAAGTTCTCAAGTTTGCAAATCACATCCCAGGAGAGTTCCATCTCTCCCTCTAGACTCAAACTCCCACACATGTCCTCTTCTCCACCTTCAGCATCTTGCACACCACTTTCACTTCTCAGTTCTCTGCCTTCCCACCAATGCAGCCACCACCACTTGGCTACCAAGGCTTTGAAGGCAGGCTCCATTAAGTAGTCCTTGCTTTTCCCAGTTCTCCTTCCTAGGCCTCCATATTTTTTGTGTAGTCTTTACAGTGTAAAAACAGCCCTAAGTGCTAAGTTATCCCTTAGTACTGCCTTCGAATCTGCTTCTGCTGCTTTCAAGAAAAATGAAACATTTTACCAGACATTTGTAACTGAATAGAGTCTCTTATCCAATGGCCAAAACCTCTTATAACAGCCACAACTGATAAGCACATAGTCCTAATAAACTTGTATATTTGAATAAAGTCGCTTTGCTTTCATGACACTTTCCCACAGGCTTACCCATCCCAACCCAGCACTAACAAGGTGAAGACCACAGGTGGGCAGACTGGCACTGGAAGGGTACAGTATAGAAAGTCAGAGGACTAGATTCTAGAGCCTGGGCTGACCTTGATTAAGTAAATGACCTTGGATAACTCCTTTTGCTTTGCTGAACATCACTATGGCCCTCTTGTCAGAATGGGCTTATGGAAGACAGGTGACCAATGGAGTTTTTGCTCAAATCCATTTTACACTGGGCCCAGTGGGTTCCTGAACCTATATTGCAGTTATTTCCCCAGATCCAGATGCATAGTTGGAATAGACATATTCAGCAATGGCAAAATCCCCACATTTGTTCACTGACTTTTGGAGTGATGGCTGTTACAGTGGGAAAAGCCAGATGGAAGCCATTAGGACTGCCTCTACATAGAAAAAGAGTAAATCAAAATCAACCCTTGAAGGGATCTCAGAGATTAGTGCCACCATCAAGTACTTGAAAGATGCACAGGTGGTAATTCCCACCACATCCCCATTCAGCTCTACTACTTGACCTGTGTGAAAGACAGATGGATCTTACAGAATTGCAGTAGACTTAACCATGTGGTGACTCAGATTAGAGCTGCTATACCAGGTGTGGGTTTCATTGCTTGAGCAACTTAACACATCCTCTGGTACCTGGTATGCAGCTATTGATCCATACAGCTGTTCCATAACTGTCCATAAGGCCCACCAGAAAAAAATTTGCTTTCAGCTAGCAAGGATAGCAATGTACCTTCACTGTCTTACCTCAGGGATATATCAGCTGTCCAGCACTAGGTCACAATTTAGTTTGAAGGGAACTTGATCACCTTTCACTTCACACGATATCACACTGATCCATTACATTGATGACATGATGCTGATTAAATCTAGTGAGCAAGAAATGGCAACTAGTCTAGACTTATTGGTAAGACATTTACATGTCAGAAGGTAGAAAATATATCTGACTAAAATATAGGCATCTTCTTCTTCAATGAAATTTCCAGGAGTCCAGTGGTGTAGGGCACATCAAGATACTCTTTCTAAGGTGAAGGATAAGTTTTTGCATCTGGCTTTTCCTAACAAAAAAGAGGCATAGTACCTAGTGGACCTGTTTGGATTTGGGAGGCAACATATTCTTCAGTTGGGTATGTCACTCTGGCTCATTTACTCAATGACCTAAAAAGCTGCTACTTTTGAGTGGGACCCAGAACAGGAGAAGGTTCTGCCACAGGTCCAGGTTGCTGTGCAAGCTGCTCTGCCATTTGGGCCACATGATCCAGCAAATCCAATGGTGTTTGAAGAGGCTCCTATAAGTGAATTGCAGTGCAGGCCTTTGAGATTTGGGAGCAAGGCCCTGCCATCATTCACAGGTAACTACTGTCCTTTTGAGAGCAGCTCTTGCCTTGCTACTGGGCCTTAGTAAAAACTGAATGCTTGACCAAGGGCCACCAAGTTATCATAAAACCTGAGTTGCTCATCATGAACTGGATGTCATCTGACCACCAAGTCATAAAGTTGGGCATGTAGAGCAGCACTCCATCATTAAATGGAAGTGGTGTATATTTGATCAGGCCTCAGTAGGCCCTGAAGGCACAAGTAAGCTACATCAAGAAGTAACCCAAATGCCCAAGGTCCCCACTCTTGCTACACTGGCTTCTCTCTCCCAGCCTGCACCTATGGCTTCATGAGGGTTCTCTACAATCAGCTGAAAGAGGAAGAGAAGACTAGGGCCTGGGTTACAGATAGTTCTGCATAACGTACAGTCTCTACCCAAAAGTGGATAGCTTCAGCACTACAGTCCCTTTTGGGGACATTCCTGAAGGAAAGTGGTAAAGAAAATCTTCTCAATCGGTCAACTTTGAACAACGCATCTGATTGTGCACTTTGCTTGAAAGGAGAAATGGCAAGATGTGCAATTGTATACTAGTTCATGAGCAATAGCCAGTGGTTTGGCTGACTGGGCAAGGACTTGGGAGAAATGTGATTGGAAAATTAGTGCCAAAGAAACTTGGAGAGGGAGTATGTAGACAGACCTCCTTGAATAAGCAAAGAACATGAAGGTATTTGTGTCTTATGTGGATGCTTACCAAAGGGTGACCTCAGGAGAGCAAAACTTTAATAATTAAGTGGATAGGATGAGCCGTTCTGTGGATACTAGCAGCTGCCTTCCCCAACCTCTCCTGTGATTGCCCGATGGGCTCATGAACAAAGTGGCCATGGTGGTAGGGATGGAGGTTATGCATGAGCTCAGGAACATGGTCTTCTACTTACCAAGGCCCACCTGGATACAACTATGCTGAGTGCTCAATTTACAAGGAGTAGATACCAACACTGAGCCTCTGGTAACGGTACCATTCCTGAGGGTAATCATGAAGCTATTTGGTGGCAGGTTGATTGCATTGGACGACTTGCATCATGGAAGGAGCAGTGTTTTATCCTTACTGGAAAAGACACTTACTCTGGCTATGGATTTGTCCTCCCTGCATACAAAGATTCTGCTATAATTACCATCCATAGACTTATGGAATGTCTTATTCACCAACATGATATTCTTCACAGCATTGTTTCTGACACAGGAACTCATTTCACAGCAAAAGAAGTGTAGCAATGGGCTCTTGCTCATGGAATTCACTTGTTTACCTTGTCCCCACTATCCTGAAGCAGCTGGCTTGATAAAATGGTGGAACGGCTTTTTGGAGATTCAGTTAGTGCCAGCTAGGTGGTATTATCTTGCAAGACTAGGGAATGGTTCTCCAAAAGGCTGTAAACTCTGAATCAGTGTGTAATATGTATTGGTGTGTCTTTCACAGCCAGGATTTATGGGTCCAGGAATCAAAGTGTGGAAATGGGAGTGGTTCCATTCACTCTTACTCCTAGTTACCCACTAGAAAACTTGTTTTGAGATAATAATTAATTTTTTATTTTAATTTTGTGGATACATAGTAGGCGTATATATTTATGGGTTACATGAAATATTTTGATACATTCTTGCAATGCGTAACAATCACATCAGGGTAAATGGGGTACCCATCACCTCAAGCATTTATGCTTTGTGTTACAAACAATCCGGTTATACTCTTTTAGTTATTTAAAAATGTACACTTAAATTATTTTTGACTATAGTTACCCTGCTGTGTTAGCAAATATTAGGTTTTATTCATTGTTTCTAACTATTATCTGTGCCCGTTAACCACCTCTACCCTGTCCCATCTCCCCAACTACCCTTTCCAACCTCGGGTAACCATCCTTTTTCTATCTCCATGAGTTCAAATGTTTTAATATTTTTGCTCTCACAAGTGTATGGGAATATTTGAAGTTTGTCTTTGTGTGCTGGATTATTTCACTAAACATAATGACCTCCAGTTTAATCAATGTTGTTGCAAATGACAGGATTTTATTATTTTTTATGGCTGAATAATACTCCATTGTGTATATGTACCATATTTACCCATTCCTGAGTTGATGGACACTTAGGTTGCTTCCAAATATTAGCTATTGTAAATAGTGCTGCAAAAAAAAACATGAGAACGCAGATGACTCTTCAATATATTATTTCCTTTCTTTTGGGTATATACTTAGCAGTGGTATTGCTGGATCATATGGTGGCTCTATTTTTACTTTTTTGAGGAACTTCCAAAGTATTCTCCATAATGGCCGTACTAATTTACATTCCCACCAACAGTGTACAAAAGTTCTCTTTTCTCTACACCCTCACCAGAATTTGTTATTTCCTGTTTTTGGACATAAGCCATTTTAACTGGGGTGATATGATATCTCATTGTAGTTTTTATTTGCATTTATCTCATTATCAATGATGGTGAACACCTTTTCACATACCTGTTTGCAATTTGTATGTCTTCTTTTGAGAAACAACTATTCTTACCTTTTGCCCATTTAAAAAATTGGATTATTAGATTTTTTTTTCCTATACAGTTGTTTGATATGGTTTGGCTGTGTCCCCACCCAAATCTTATCTTGAATTGTAGCTCCCATAATCCTCAAGTGTTGTGGAAGAGACCTGTTGGGAGGTAATTGAATCACAGGGATGGGTTTTTCCCATGTTGCTCTCATGATAGTGAATAAGTCTCATGAGATCTCATGGTTTTATAAAAGGGCAGTTCCCCTGAACATGCTCCCTTGCCTGGCACCATGTAAGATGTGTCTTTGCTCCTCCATTGCCTTCTGCCATGATTGTGAGGCCTCCCCAGCCATGTGATACTGTGAGTCCATTAAACCTCTTTTTCTTTACAAATCACCCAGTCTCAGGTAAGTCTTTATCAGCAGTATGAGAACAGACTAATACAGTAAATTGGTACTAGGTAGTGGGGTGCTCCTATAAAGATACCTGAAAATGTGGAAGCAACTTTGGAACTGGGTAACAGGCAGAGGTTGGAAAAGTTTGGAGGGCTCAGAAGAAGATAAGAAAATGTGGGAAAGTTTGGAACTTCCTAGATACTCGGGATGGGGGGTTCAGAAGACAGGAAGATGTGGGAAAGTTTGGAACTTCCTAGAGACTTGTTGAATGGCATTGACCAAAATGCTGACAGTGATATGAACAATAAGGTCCAGGCTGAGGTGGTCTCAGAAGGAGATGAGAAACTTGTTGGGAACTGGAGTAAAGGTCAATCTTGCTATACAAAGAGACTGGAGCATTTTGCCACTGCCCTAGAGATTTGTGGAACTTTGAACTTGAGAGAGATGATTTAGGGTATCTGGCAGAAGAAATGTCTAAGTTGCAAAGTGTTCGAGAGAAAGCAGAGCATAAAAATTTGGAAAATTTGCAGCCTGACAATACAATAGAAAAGAAAAACCCATTTTGTCAGGAGAAATTCAAGCCTGCTGCAGAAATTTGCATAAGTAAAGAGGATCCCACTGTTAGTCACCAAGACAATGAGGAAAATATCTCCAGGTCATGTCAGAGACCTTTGTGGCAGCCCCTCACATCACAGACCCAGAGGCCTAGGAGGAAAAAATGGTTTTATGGGCTAGGCCTAGGGCCCACCCTGCTGTGTGCAGCCTAGGGACTTGGTGCACTCATCCCAGCCTCTCCAGCCATGGCTAAAAGGGGCCAAGGTACAGCTTGGGCCATGGCTAAAAGGGGCCAAGATACAGCTTGGGCCATGACTTTGGAGGGTGCAAGCCCCAAACCTTGGCAGCTTCCAAGTAGTGTTGAGCCCATGTGTAAAAAAAACACAGAAGTCAAGAATTGAAGTTTGGAAACCTCCACCTAGATTTCAGAGGATGTATGGAAATGCCTGGATGTCCAGGCAGTAGTTTCCTGCAGGGGCAGGGCCCTCATGGAGAAACTCTGCTAGGGCAGTGCAGAAATGAAATGTGTGATCAGAGTCCCTACACAGAGTCCCCATTGGGGCATTGCCTAGTGGAGCTCTGATGAGAGGGCCACTGTCCTCCAGACCCCAGAATAGTAGATCCACCTACAGCTTGCACTGTGCCCCTGGAAAACCCACAGACACTCAATGCCAGCCTGTGACAGCAGCCCAAAGTATGGCTGTATCCTGCAAAGCCACAGGGCATGAGCTGCCTAAGGCCATGGGACTCTACCTCTTGCATCAGTGTGACCTGGCTGTGAGACATGGAGTCTAAGGAGATGATTTTGGAACTTTAAGGTTTAATGACTGTGCTATTGGATTTCCGACTTGCATGGGGCCTGTAGCCCCTTTGTTTTGGCCAATTTCTCCCACTTAGAATGGGTATATTTACACAATGCCTGTCCCCCGTTGTATCTAGGAAGTAACTAACTTGCTTTTGATTTTACAGGCTCATAGGTAGAAAGGAGTTACCTTGTCTCAGATGAGAATTTGGACTTGGACTTTTGAGTTAATGCTAGAATCAATTAAGACTTTGGGGGAATGTTGGTAAGGCATGATTGGTTTGGAAATGTGAAGACATGAGATTTGGGAGGGGCCAGTGGTGAAATGATATGGTTTGGTTGTGTCCCCACCCAAATATCTTGAACTGTAACTCCCATAATCCCCATGTGTTGTGAGAGAGATCTAATGGGAGGCAAATGCATCATGGGGGTGGGTTTTTCCTGTGCTGTTCTTGTGATGGTGAATAAGTCTCATGAGATCGGGTGGTTTTAAAAAAGGGCAGTTCCCCACACACACTCTCTTGCTTGCCACCATGTAAGATGTGCCTTTGCTCCTCCTTTGCTTTCTGCCATGATTGTGAGACCTCTTTGGCCATGTGAAACTGTGAGCCCATTAAACCTCTTTTTCTTTACAAATTACTGAGTCTTGGATATGTCTTTATTAGCAGCATGAGAACAGACTAATACAATATCCTTATATATTCTGGGTTGTTTTGTTTTGTTTTGTTTTGAGACAGAGTTTTGTTCCATCACCCAGGCTGGAGTGCAGCAGTGCGATCTCAGCTCACTGCAACCTCCACCTCCCAGGTTCAAGCGATTCTCCTGCCTCAGCCTCCCGAGTAGCTGGGACTACAGGCATCTGCCACCTTGCCCAACTAATTTTTGTATTTTTAGTAGAGATGGTGTTTCTCTATGTTGGCTAGGATGGTCTTGAACTCCTGACTTTGTGATCCGCCCGTCTTGGCCTCCCAAAGTGCTAGGATGACAGGTGTGAGCCACCAAGCCCAGCTTATTCTGGTTATTAATCTCTTTTCAGATGGATAGTTTGCAAATACTTTCTCCCATTCTGTGAGTTGTCTCTTCACTTTTTTGATTATATCCTTTATAGATAGATAGATTAGATAGATAGATAGATAGATAGATAGATAGATAGATAGATAGATAGATAGATGATAGATAGATAGAGATTTATCATGAGGGATTGGCTCACATGATTATTGAGACTGAGACATCCTGTCATTTGCCATCTGCAAGCTGGAAGCCCAGGAATGCCAGTGGTGTACTTGATGTAATCTCATTTGTCCATTTTTGCTTTGGCTGCCCGTACTTGTGAGGTATTGCTCAAAAAATTGTTGCCCAGACCAATGTTCTGGAGATTTTCCTCAATATTTTCTTGTAGTCGTTTCATAGCTTGAGTTTTTAGATCTAAGTATTTAATCCACTTTGATTTAATTTCTATATATGGTAAGAGAGGGGCCTTGTTTCATTATTCTGCATATAGATATCCAGTTTTCCCAGCACCATTTATTGAAGAGACAGTCTTTTCCCTAGTGTATGTTCTTGATACCTTTGTCAAAAATGTGTTCACTGTAGATGTATGGATTTATTTCTGGGTTTTCTATTCTGTTCCCCTTGTTTATGTGTCTGTTTTTGTGCCAGCAGCATGCTGTTTTGGTTACTACAGCTCTGTAGTATAATTTGAAGTAGATAATGTAATTTTTCCAGTTGTGACCTTTTGCTTAGGATAGCTTTGTCTATTCTGAGTCTTCTTTGTTTTCATACCAACATTAAAATTGTTTTTTCTATTTCTGTGAAGAATGTCATTGATATTTTGATAGAGGTTTCATTGAATCTGTAGATTGCTTTGGGTAGTATGCACATTTTAACAATATTGATTCTTCTAATCTATGAATATGGAGTATCTTTCCATTTTTTGTGTTCTCTCCAATTTCTTACATGAACGTTTTATAGTTTTCATTGTAGAGATCTTTCACTACTTTGGTTAATTCCTAGATATTTAATTTTATGTGTGGCTATTGTAAATGAAATTGCTTCTTTATTTCTTTTTCAGATTGTTCACTGCTGGCATATAGAAATCCTACTTACTTTTGTATATCAATTTTGTATTCTGAAACTTTAAATTATTTATCAGTTCTAATAGTATTTTTGTGGATTCTTTAGGTTTTTCCAAACATAAGATCATATTATCTGCTAACAATAATAATTTGACTTTTTCTTTTCCACTTTGGATGCCTTTTATTTCTTTCTCTTGTCTGATTGCTCTAGCTAGAATTTCTAGTACTGTGTGGAATAACAGTGGTGAAGGTGGGCGTCCTTGTCTTGCTCCAGATCATAGAGGAAAAGCTTTCAGTTTTTCCCTATCCAGGATGATACTATCTGTGAGTTTGTCATATATGGCTTTAGTTATGTTGAGGTATGTTCCTACTATTCCCATTTTTCTGAGGGTTATTATCAGGAAGAGATGTTGAAATTTGTCAAATGCTTCTTCAGCATCAATTGAAATGATCATATGGTTTTTGTCCTTCATTCTGTTGATATGATGTATCATATTGATTGATTTGCATATGTTGAACTATCTTTGCATCCCTGGGATAAATCCCATTTGGTCCTGATTAATGATCTTTTTAATGTGTTATTGAATTCAGTTCCACTGGCCTAGATATGTTAGTTCCAAAAGGAAGGATGCTTCTACCAGGAGACACAATGATTCCATTTAATTGGCAAATAAGATTACCACCTTTCTACTTTGGGGTCCTCATGCCTCTGAGTCAACAGGCCAAGAAGGGAGTTATGGTGTTGGCTGCAGTGATTGAGTCACAATGTCAAGGGGGAAATTGGACTATGCTCCACAATGGAAGCAAAGAAGAATATGTCTGGAGTAACAGTGATCCCTTAGGGTGTCTCTTAGTATTATCATACCCTGCGATTAAGGTTAATGGGGAAAAAATCCAGGTAGGACTATGAATGTCCCAGATCCTTCAAGAATGAAGGTTTGGGTCATCCTGACAGGTAAAGAACCATGACCAGTTGAGGTTGTTGCTGAAGACAAAAGGAATCCAACATGGGTAATAGAAAAAGGGGGTAATAAATACCAGCTACTATCATAAGACCAGTTATGGAAACAGGGGCTATACTTGTCATGAGTATTTCTTTCTTATTTTACATAAATACATTTGTGTGAATAAATGTAAACTTAGTGTGAAAAAAAGAGAATAGGGAAATATTAAGCAAATGTCTTTGTTTTGTTTCCTCTTGTATTCCCTTATCATGTAACATAAGATGTATTGAGTTTGTATTAGTTTTTAAGTAATGTTAATGTTACTTCATAGTATTTAAGTTAGAGGATATCAGAAGAAGAATAAACGTCACTCAAGGACTTCATCTCCTCTTATGGGAAAGGGATAAGTGTGTATTAGTTGCACAGAGAACAGTTGTATCATGTTAGCTGATTATGACTTTGTTATTGTCTTTATTTGGAGATTTTTTTTTTTTTTTTTTTTTTTTGAGGCAGAGTTTCACTCTTGTTGCCCAGGCTGGAGTGCAATGGCACAATCTCGGCTCATCACAACCTCCGCCTCCCGAGTTCAAGCGATTCTCCTGCCTCAGCCTCCCGAGTAGCTGGAATTACAGGGATGCACTACCATGCCAGGCTAATTTTTTGCATTTTTAGTAGAGACAGGGTTTCTCCATGTTGGTCAGGCTGATCCTGAACTCCTGACCTCAGGTGATCCGCCCTCCTCAGCCTCCCAAAGTGCTGAGATTACAGGCGTGAGCCACTACTCCTGGCCTTTATTTGGAGATTAAGTATGGCTTAAGGAGATGCATACAGGTGTGAAGTTGACAAGGAGAGGAATTGTGATGGTTAATTTTATGTGTCAACTTAACTAGGCTAAGAGATGCCCTGATAGCTGGTAAAACATTATTTCTGGGGGCATCTCTGAAGGTACTTCTGAAAGAGATTAACATTTGAATTAGTGGACTGAGTAAAGAATATGGCCCTCCTCAATGTGAGTGGGCCTCATCTAATCCACTGAGGGCCTAAACAAAACAAAAAGATGGAAGAAGGAGGAATTCATACTCTCTCCTTGAGCTGGGCTGTCTGTCTTCTCCTGCCTTTGGACATTAGCAATCCTGGTTCCTGCACTTTTGGACTCAGACCAGGACTTACACCTTTGGCTTCCCTGGTTCTCAGGCCTTTAGGCTTGTACTGGAAATATACCACTGGCTTTCCTGGACTTCCAGCTGACAGATGGTAAATCATGGGATGTCTCATTCTCCATAATCATGTGAGCCAATCTCTCATGGTAAACCTCTTTATAGGCCGGGCATGGTGGCTCACACCTGTAATCCCAGCACTTTGAGAGGCCGAAGCGGGCAGATTGCCTGAGGTCAGGAGTTTGAGACGAGCCTGGCCAACGTGGTGAAACCCTGTCTCTACTAAAAATTCAAAAATTAGCCTGGCATGGTGGCGGGAGCCTGTAATCCCAGCTACTAGGGAGGCTGAGGTGGGAGAATCGCTTGAACCCGGGAGGCAGAGGTTGCAGTGAGCCGAGATCAAGCCACTGCACTCCAGCCTGGGAGACAGAGCAAGACTCTGTCTCAAAAAAAATACATAAATAAAACAAGATAAATCTTTTATACACACACACACACAATTGGCTTTGTTTCTCTGAAGAACCCTGACTAACACAGTGTCTGTCTCTGCAGTGTGGCGAGAACAGACTTAGTTTGAAAAACAAACAAAAGAATAGGGAAGGAACTTAATCGGCAAACAGTAACCATAGCACTGTTCTAGATCCTTTACAAAGATTAGGTTATTTAATCATCATCACAATCATTTGCAGTAGATACCATTGCTATTATCATATTATAGGAGAAAAAACTAGGGCACAGAAAGGTTAAATAACTTGCCCCAGGTCACACAGTTTGTAAACAGCAGAGCTGGGATTAGAACCCAGGTAATCTAGCTCCAGAATTTGTACTTGCAACCAGGATGCTATGCTGAGAAACAGAGGCTGTTTTCAATATCCCTGATTTGCAATTGCTAATAGGCTTGAACTCCACATTCAGTGCTCTTTCCCTTACATGGCACTGCCTCTCATATAACTGTATGCTCACTGAAGATCCACTATAGAAAGTTACATCTGGAAGAACCTAAAAATCCTCAAGGCTTCGCTCAGACCAGAGATCAGTGCTTCTCCAAAGGAGTGTTTGATGTTCCTGTGAAGTTTCACAGGAGACTTGCTTCTGAGGTCCGTGGCATTGATCTTATTCACAGCCTTGTTCTCATTTATCATGATTCTTTAATCAATAGATACTTCAGCAACTGGAACTTTGGGCTCATATTCATGGAGATGACATTTGGCTGAGGCCAGTCTCCTTTCAGACGACCAATACAACTCCCCTACCAGGGAGCAGATCCAAGATTCCTGCAGTTTCTGAGGCATGAGCCTTTTTCTCCACAGAAGGTGAGGCCAATGGTTCAAAGTTGTCACTTGGCTTTCGTATAATAAATGTCTGTCTTGGGAGATTAACGGACTTCATTTCCTTTTCCTTCATTTTATGTGGCCTACTTGGCTTGCAGGTAATTTTAACAGCAAGAAAAGGAGATGGAAACACCTTGTTGAAAGCAATACAGTGCTCTGTCGGTTCTCTGTAAGATATTTTCCAGAGGCTTTCTCCCCCTCCACTTCCCCTTCCGTGAGCAGGACTATAAAAGGCAGAGAGTGCCTTCTGTCAGAATCTGCAGCCTGGAAGATAATTCTCTGGGGAGACACACCAACTAACCAGTTCAGAGCACTTTCCTACCCCTGAAGCTTTAGAATATATTTCACAGCCTTCTCTGAATTCTCATATCTAAATACATGCAGGTAATAAAACTACTATAAAACAACAATGACATAGTTAAACAAAAATGCCTGATGGTTTTATTCTTTTTTTATCCTTCATCTCTGGGAAGGAGAAACATCGTATAGGCACTTTAATGAGAAAGCCCCACCTTGAAAGTAGATGAGGCAACGTTTCCTGAAGCTTACATCTTGGTCCCACCTTTCAGAACAAATGATTTTAATTCACAATGTCTTCATCACTAAGGTCATCTTTGTAAGATCCCTCTGACAAGAAGCAAGTCTGCAACATGAAAAATAACTCCTGTGTCATGGTTTTTCCCAGCCTAAAAGAAATTCACACATGATTAGAAATTATTCTTTGTGGTAAATGGCAGGAAAAATACCTGGAAAGGTGGAAATGATCACAAATAAAACAGCTGAAAGAAGATGGTTAATTGCTGATTAAATTTTGACATTAGCTCTATAGATAAATAGCCCCATCAAGTGCTTTTTAGGAAGTGTCAGTACTGGCTTCTTTATGGTATTTAATCAGAGAAATAAAAGTTGGAAGAAAATCCATTTTTATTAAGTTTCTACAGAGCTGAGGGCACAATGCTAAGTGCTTTCCTTCATGCTACCTTATTTAAGCCGCAGAATGCACCTGTGAGAGTGGTATTACCATTAACGTCAACAGATGAGGAAACCAAGGCTCAGAGAGGTAAGTGGTTTGCCAAAGGTCACGTGACTAGGAAGTGGCAGAGCTGGGGTTCAAATATCATGTTGCTTTACTTTTTTCTGAGGCAACTATAGAGAAACACCATAGCAAATACAACTAATAATTTTGACCTACAAGAAATCTGGGGTTTCCCAGAGTCTGATATCCTTCAGCACATACTGTCTCTCCATCTAACACTCTCATTTAATGAGCAGGAAAACCCTTCCTAGGGCCCCCTGTACTTTGACTCAGTGACTATTCTTTGTAGGTATCCTTTGAGTTTTAGCTATTTGGTTAGTTTCATGATTCATTCTTCTGGTATTTTCCAGAGGCCACAGAATAGTTGACCACCTCCATTACTCAGGAATATTTTGGTTTCAACTGAAAGTAACCAAATTCATTCTAGCCTAAGCATTCCCCCGCAAAAAAAAAAAAAAAAAAATTCCAAAAAGTGTTTTAAAGTAATATTTTAAAATAAAAAGTCCAAGGAAAGTTTGAAAATTCAAGCCCCGGGAAGGGCAAGAATCCTCAAAAACAATAGGAACCAGGAATTCAAATACCATCAGCTAGCTCACCCATAAGCATATGCACATTTCACTTGTAAATTCTGTGTGTGTGTTTATGTGTGTGTGTGCATGCAAACACACATGCACTAAAACCTTACAAGGTGTAGCTACAGGCCTGATTCTTTTGAGGTTAAGTTCAAAACTCTTACAGAAGGGAGTACATCCAGCTTTGGGATAGTGCCTACACTACTGAACCAAACAATAGTGGCCAAAGGGCAAGGTCAGAACATGGCCACATCAAAGATAATCATGTAAAAGGAGAGAGGCTTAGGAAAAAGTCATGATACAGGCAATCCTATTGAAGCCTGTTTATCAGCTTATAGATGAGCTACCCTTAAAAGTGCCCACCCTAGTCCAATTAGTTACAGTTGAGAATAGTCATGTTGTACTAAACACATCCCACTAAGGGCTACCCCTTGAGCTGGGGCTGAGCATGGGACAGGCACTCTACTACACATATTCAAAACCTATTCAGAATCTGGGAGCCACTGAAGCACTTAGATATAGCACTCAACCCCCTGACAGCCACAAGTAAGGGCTAAGACCCAGAAAAGCTGTGTGATACAAAAGTGATAGTACACTCTTCACCTTGAGCCTCTTTTTTCAAGCAACGTTACTCAGGCCCTGGCCAGCTGACAGTTCTGCCACAACCAACTCAAGGATCACTAAGGAAATACTCTCACAGAAAGAATTTGCCACAAAAAGACTATTATGAGCCCTACTCATCAGTCATTTAATTTCCATTCATTTTTCATATCCACAGAGATCATCTCTTGCCCACTTAAATTTGGCCTCCATTTCTTCTCCCATCACGAACAGGAGTGGAATTGGTATCTATGTTTGTTTTACCTGCGGTGAAGCTCAGAGATCAACTTAGCGCTCATTAACATCTCATCTCAGTTTCCTAGAGGAATTTTCTGTTCCATCTCTCATTATCAGAGACTGTAAACCAGTGGCCCATTGGTGACTCTGGTCTGCAGACCTGCACTGAAAGACACACACAGTATTTTTAAAAATATGAATTACCTGCCAACATTTAGAATTTAGGAAATTTACACAAATGTTAAGTTTCCAGCTTCTCATGAAAACATGAATGAAATGGCCCCACTTGACCTCCCTCCACACAGGAGTTCCTCCTGGAAACAATCAGCTAGAGCTCAGTATGGTTACTCACTTCCTTGGGGCATGTGCTCTTCGCATCACCCTCTGTTGTATTAAATCCACTTCCCTCAGTACCCTTACTTGCTACCTGCCTGGCCCCTGTAGGTGTTTGAGTTTGAAAGCCCTGCCTTCAATGATTTTTGAATTCCAATATTGGTAACAAGGCTGGTGTATCTTTCCATCTCAAATCATTCTTTTTGGAACGATTACTTATACTTTATAAAATATTATTTTTAAAAATAGATCAATACAGAACTTTTAATGGCTTTATAATACCTTCAGGATAAAGTTCAAACCCTTAGCAAAACATTCCAGAAAACCTTCATAATCTAACTCTAAACTGTGTTTACAAACCACAGCCCATAATACCCCATCATGTGTGCTCTGCAACAGCCACATTCTGATGATTTCAGCCACTCTTCATTTCTTAGGCCCACCATTGTGATTTCCTGTCTCTGTCACAACTCATTCTCCCTCTGCCTAGAATACTCTTTGCCTGGTTGCCTGGCCAGCTAACTTTTAATACCATTGTATAGCCCAGACGCAATACCATCTCCTCTCCATCGCCCTTCAAATCATGTGCCTGTCCACGGTCACCCGCTAACCCATACAGTGCCTTAGTGAGAATTTTTAAAATACATCCCTTCCTTCAGACATGTTCCTTTATCTGCCAGAAAACTGCCCTAATGTAGATATTTTGGGTACCTACACTGTGGGTGGTTTCTACTTAAATTTGTCACCTTTGCACAGTGCATGATCTGCATGGCTGTACATAGCCATCCTGCTCTTGTCAGGGGCAATTTAGCAACTCTTCTGTGTTCCTACAGTAATGTTCCACACTTCTGGCATAGAATGAAAAACATCATAGTATAATGAATTTCCCATGTCTGTCATCCCTACAGACATGCATGCCATGAGTTCCTAGGGGGCAGGAACCACATTCTGATGATTTCAGTTTTCTCAGGACACATGGAGGGCAGTCCATAATGGGCATTGAATCAGTTTGTCAACTATTGAATTGCATACACCCAGCAGCTGGATAGACTGAATGGAAAGCAGCAAGATCAGTGTGTCCAAAGACATAACTAGAAAGGAGTGGAGGGTACAGTTCACAAAGGGGCCCAGAGACCCCCTTAGAAGCAACTAGCTTTGAATTGTGGGGAAAAAAATTAGAGATCTATAATCCTATTAAAAGAAAAACCAAGAAGACTGAACTAAAATGTGTTGTGTTATTCCATTCTCAAAATGGATTTTTCTTTATATTTTTCTAACTCCTAACACAATAAAATAGCTTCATTCTGACAGTCATCTTACTTAAATGGAAACATGATTTAACAAAATGATACTTTATGAGCTGTAAACCAAGCAAATATTTGACATAAAATGGAAGAGAGAGACAGAAAGGAGAAGAAGGGTAGGAGTGGCAAAAGAAAAAGAAAGAAGCCTGCTTCTAGGCGTGCACACGGGCCTGTTTTACAGTCATCACACCTCCAGGTAGGGCTCCTGGCTGGTCCAAGGGATAAGTGAGGAGAAAGAGGTCAAGCAGGTTTAAAGCAAAACACAGGATAAGCCACAGAGGTCAGTGCTATCAAGGTAGTAATCTTTGCTCAACAAAGACAACAGCAGGACCAGGGAGACCTCCGTGAGCAGAGACTACTGCTGACCACAGAGAACTTGAGATGGTGGGGCCTTTCTCTCTCAGCAGCCCAAGTATGTGGGCTGGACT
Source organism: Homo sapiens (assembly GCF_000001405.40). Lineage (NCBI taxonomy): Eukaryota > Metazoa > Chordata > Mammalia > Primates > Hominidae > Homo > Homo sapiens. Next base: position 149,368,418 of record NC_000023.11, read on the forward strand.
TAGAGGGATCTAGGCCAATCCAGGTAGTATCTTGTCCCTCAAATATCAGGAATTATCCCAAATCAGCCTCATCTGAAGCCAGGGCCGCATCTTCCAGCTTGACTGGACTCACAGGGTCTTGCTGGGTCTAGCTCTAGAGTAACAATCCAGGCTAAAACTTGCTCTTTGAAGAGCTTCCCTTCCTCCTGTGCTGAAACTGAGGCTCAATCTACTTATGCTGCAGCCTGTGGTCTACCGTTATTTCTCTTTCCCCTTTGCCCATGCCTAATTGGTAAAGGAGTCAGGAGTTGTTTTCCTTCACTACTGTGGCAAGTACCTTTAAACTTCCTCTCATCTGTCTTTGGCTGAAAGAGCAGTCTACTACCTTCTTGTGGACTGGAGAGACCATGATGATATGGTTAGGCTTTGTGTCCCCACCCAAATCTCATTTTGAATTGTAACCCTTCCCCCACAATCCCAATAATCCCCACGTGTCAAGGGAGAGACCAGGTGGAGGTAATTAAATCATGGGGTCAGTTACCCTCATGCTGTTCTGGTGATAGAGAGTGAGTTCTCATGAGAGTCGATGGTTTTATAAGGGGCTCTTCCCCCCACCTTTGCTCTGCACTTCTCCTTGCTGCCACTATGTGAAGAAGGATGTGTTTGCTTCCCCTTCTGCCATGATTGTAAGTTTCCTTAGGCCTCCCCAGCCATGCAGTACTGTGAGTCAATTAAATCTCTTTCCTTTATGAATCACCCAGTCTCAGACAGTTCTTTATGGCAGCGTGAGAACAGACTAATACACATGGGTTCCTTAGAGCAGGGTCTATTCCTAAAAATCAACCTTCCTTTAAGAACAGGACCAATCTCCTGCTCCACCCCAGTCCATTTTTCTTTCTTTCTATTTTTTTTTTTTTTTTTAGATGGAGTCTCGCTCTGTTGCCAAGGCTGAAGTGCAGTGGCACGATCTTGGCTCACTGCAACCTCCACGTCCCGGGTTCAAGCGATTCTCCTGCCTCAGCCTCCTGAGTAGCTGGGATTACAGGCAAGTGCCAACATGCTCCGCTAATTTTTTTTTTTTTTTTGTATTTTTAGTAGAGATGGGATTTCACCATGTTGGCCAAGCTGGTCTCCAACTCCTGACCTCAAGTGATTCACCCACCTCAGCCTCCCAAAGTGCTGGGATTACAGGCATGAGCCACTGCGTCCAGCCAGACAGATATTATTATTACTCCCATTTCGATTTCACAGGTGTGGTCTAGAGTAGTTTGTTAACATACTCAAAGTTACATCATTAAATAAGTTGTGGATCCAGAATTTGAAACCAAGACTAAGCAAAAACTGAAGATCAATTGTAGTCCCTGTGGGATCTACTTAAAATGCAGATGCTGATTCAATGGGTCTGAGGTGGGCCAAAGATTTGGATTTCTGAAAAGCTCTCAGGAGATGCTGATTCTGCAATCCTCAGACCACAGTCAAGGCTCTGGAGTTTTCTGTATCCCAGAGGAAAAACACAATAATTATAGTTCTACTGTCTTAGAATCATAAAGACTTTTAGCCTATAGATCTTCTGTGATCCACCAGTCAGTGATGTCATGTATCAAAAGCTATGATGGGCAAGAAATGGGCATGATTCCCCCAACTTTCCTAGGAAATAACACAGAGAAGAAGCTAACAGGAAAGGAACCACCTCCAACACCGCCCCCCCACCCCCAATTTATGGCCATTCAATGTTTCTTTCATCTCCCTCAAGCAAATCTCTTACCTCTGCTCTAAGTCACAGTGAAACCAGGACTAAGAATGAAGTTCTAAGTAATCCTCTCTTTGAGCTGCAAAGCAAGCACTTGGATAGCTTACTCCTTTCACTCACAGCTGCTTAGATGGCCGCAGAGTACACACCAGAGGAATGTTAGGCTCTATATCGTAAAGAGCTCGGACCGACACAAAATTCCACTGAGACAAATCATCTTGCTAGCAAGACCCATTTATACAAGTCTGGAAATCAGTGAATAACCAGACAATTGCTATAAATGTGCCTTTCTTGAATGCGGTCTTAGAAAATGTCAGATGAACAAAGTAAGTACTTTCACGGTAGCAGAAGGTCAGGTGAATGTTCAGCTTCACAAGAGTATTCACCATGACCTTCAATGTTTTCTTAGCTAGTTTACGTACAGGTGAGCCCCAAATCCTTCTTTAAAAAGTATGTCTCTTAACTTCTAGAGGTCACACTTCCAAACTGGAAGTTAACAATAGAGCCCAGTCATCTTTTTGTGGGTCTTTTTCTTTAGAAAACATAAAATAACCTTTCAAATGTTTCAGAGACATATGGACAATGAAACACTCCCATTTCTTACCCAGCCATTATGCAAGGAGCAAACCATAGATAAAGGCACTTCAATGTGAAATCTCAATAAACCCATTGCTGCCAGCAGAGGCAAGTATGCAAGGGTTTCAGCAGACTTTGATAATTAAGGGTATTTTATTTCCTCTAAACAATGTTTTTGTAATATCTCTAAAGGAAGGATTCTACAACTTGCCTGAATCTTCCAACGAGTCTCTGAGTTGACAACTAATAATTAACAAACAACGAATAGTGTCTTGCTGTCCATCACAGTGACTGGTACTGTCATCTCTGAGAAGAGGAAGATGTGCTAATGTGGCATGCTTCATAATACCCAACTTTTAGCTCAGCACCTGATGTGCTGGGCAGTCCATTCTCAGGAAAATTTGGCAAGTGGGGGTTGGAGGGACAAGTGACAATTCTCTGGAGCCATTCCAGAGAAGCCACTTGCCAAGAGAACAGAAATTCATGGCCCAGAAGCTCCTTTAATTCAGTTATTTCATCATCTTTCTTTGCAGTGCTACTCTCACTAACTTGGATCAATTCTACTCATACTTACTGAGCACCTGCATGTGCAAAGCCAGGAGAACTCTGGAGACTAACAGGCCAAGTGCTTCAAGGGATCTTGGCTGCTGAGCTGGGCTGTGATCAGTGGACACAGAAAACTAGTCCTGTTAAGTGTCACTAAGCTGTATGGCCCTAGTCCTGGCAGGATCATTTTCTATTCTCCCCTCTTAAGACATTACCCACCTCATTTCAAGATCTATGAGCTCACATATACATACACATGTGGGCAGACCTATTGCAGTCTTTCCAGGTAACTAATATCCAGAGTTATCTACCTACCTGGCATGGAACCTGGCTTTTTTTAGGATGAGAGGAGAGGGAGCTGGGGAAATTTGCTCAAGTCACTTAGGGGAATCTGTCCAACCATGGGTATAACACAATCATGGATAACAGCAGAGTTAAGACACAAATGACTGCTATCTGGGGGCCAGGAGCCTTGGGTTCTAGCCTCACCCTGCTATGGATTGTGTGACCTTGAGAAAGCCCCTCCTGTCTTCGAGGAAGCTGAAGTGCCTATCTGCTAAGAGAGGTAATTAGACTGGATGATGTATGCTCTTCGCTGCATTCCTAACCCTCAGCTCAGTACCTGAAAATGTTTATTGCCTGAATGATCTGCCACATGCTCTTCCATTGCTGACATGCCAGAACACTGTGGAATCATCCCCCCTGGTACTCTGAATCTGCCTTCACAGCTAGGCTATCTAATGACAGAATCTGCACTTGAATGGGGATTTAAAAAAATAATAAAGTGACAATCATCTGAGTTTCTCTTTTACTTTCTAAATCATTCCTCAGCTCACAGTTGCTTCCTCCCATCACCCAGGAGACAGAAGCTCACACCAATCATGCTCCCTTCACTGGTGGTACGTGCCACTGTACACAGAAATTGGTAAGGTCTGTGAACATAAGGAAAGCATTAGAGACAAAACCCTGAGTCCCATAATCCCCAGCTCAGACAACACAGCGCATAGCCTTGCTGCCAATTCGTACAAGGAAAGAAGGGAGCAGACAGAAGAATATTAACACTGTCAATCTGAATATGAGGGTTTAAAATTAGTAAAGGGAAAAATATGTCATTCATGATTCAGGCGGCATTGCCTATTGCTTTGCACATTCAATTCAACCAACAAACCACTTGGAATTCTTCATATCCAAAATGTCTACTGACAAAAATCAGTGCTAAGATCAAGCTTCAGTGAACCAAAAAGCTCACAGAGAAAATAGGGAGGAGAGGCTGAAAGGAGAAATTGAAATCACAGATTAAATTGGTGATTTCTGTAATTCTGTTTACTGATTACCAGATAATTCTGGATGTATTGGAAAGTGGCCAAAAACAAAAGGAAGAAAAGAAAAAAGAACCATGGCAAAATATGCCAAGGAGAACACCAAGCAGGCAGATTTTGTGACATTAAAAATTCTTGAGGCTGCTGTCACCTCTGTTCTGAAAATATAGCTGGAGGCTGGGATATAGCAGCAAGAGAGAAATCCATCACTTACATGACAGCCACCACCCCATGCCTTAGTCTTGTTGGGAGTGGAAATGGAACACCTGAGGGAGTCCAGTGAGCAAGACCAGGGCAGGCAGGCTAGTCATCACTCTGGGGGCTATGGGGAGGGGAAGGAGAAGGGAGAGAGGGGAGCAAGTTCTGGCACTTCACTGGGATGAAAGGATAAGAGTGAAAAGAGCATGCACTTGAAACCTATCCACTCACTCTCCTCAATACTCAGAATGTGGCAGGGTGCCAGGGAAGAAACCACAACACTGACCATGAGCAATGGAGCCCCAAAGGCTATAGGAGCTCCCTGACCACGTCCCCACGCCCCAAAACACACACATACACATTTTTTACATTAGGTGCAGCACAAATATTTGGAACAGAATCAAGTTTGTGAAGCTCAGTCCTACCTCTACCATGTGTTCTTTCTTGAGCAAATACCAGCTCCTCCCTAAATTCAGTGTCCTTAATTAGGGGCTACAGCAGCTGATCTCATAGGACCATCTGGATCTGTCATGACAAGGCTAAAACAAGCTCGGGGGCATGGGAACACAAGAAGAGCCCCCTAATCCTTGCCTGGGCCAGGTGAAATTGAGGATAAGTACACCAAGCAGAGGGTCCAGCAAGTATCAGCAGGGTTGTCCTGCAATTGCAGTGGGCATGACAGAAGTTTCTAGTAGTCCTGGCCTTAGAGATACTTGATTAGCCCTGAACAAAGTGCGCATTACCCAAGTGACCAAAGGCATTCTTGCCTCAATCATGACAGTAATATCCTAGCTGATGCAGGCTCACTCTGTCATTCCACAGACAGCCTGTCAGCATCTCATAATTAGGAAAAAATCTGTTTCTCCCATCATCAAGAAGCTTAGTTTTTCAGATAGCTGCCACAAGGGAGACAGTATTTCAAACAAAAAGGTTTTAAATATCAAAATCCAGACACTCCAGCAAGTCACATCTCAACATCATGGCCTTAGATAACCCAATATTCTTAAACTTCCCCTCTTTGTGCTCAAGACAAGAAATTGCCCTTCTTTTTCCAAGATCAGAACCATTCAAACTTTTGAAGTAACACATGTCAATCTGGCTAGAAAGAACATTTTGCATTTAGCAAGAAATCCAACATAAAAGGCAAATATCTAATCAAAGTGAATGTCACTGAAATCATGACCAGCTACACACCTGTTCCTATAGGATATGCAGCAAATGGATACAAGACTCCTGTGCACAGAAGTGATTACTTCCTCCTGCAAGGACTTGAAGGCAAACAACTAAAGTGCTTCATTTATTTCCTTTCCTTGTCCATGCTTACTATACACAAATGAGGCTTCTGGCTCACTAGTCAAAGGGAAATAAAATGGAGGCCACTTGGTTAGCAAAGATGAATGGGGTTTCCATTGGTGTTCCCATGTTTAATAACAAGTCCATTGGCAGTGTTTCTACTCTAAGAGTAACAAATGCTCATTATGAAAAATTTGGAAAATCTAGAGTATTGTACAAAAAGAGAAATAAGTTCTATCCCAAAATGACTAATGTAAACATTGATACGGTTCTGCTATGGTCTGAATATTCATGTTCCCCAATTATTATGTTGAAGCTTAATCCCCAATGCAATGGTATTAGGGGATGGGGTCATTTGTCAGGTGATTGGGTCAAGAGGGTGGGGTCCTCATAAACGGAATTACTGTCCTTATGAAAAAGGCCCCAGGGAGTTTGTCTCTTCCACAGTGTGAGGACACAGCAAGAAGGCATCGTCTATGAGAAAGTGGGACCTCACCAGACATGGAAACTACTGGTGTCTTGATCTTGGACTCCACAGCCTCCCAAACTGTGAGAAATACATTTCTGTTGTTAAGTTGCTCAGTGTATAGTATTTTGTTATAGCAGCCCAAGCTGACTAAGAGTAACAAATGCTCTGTCTTTTTGGTTATAAATAAGTCCTGTTTGTTTTATAATGTTGTAATTGAACCGTGTCCACAATTGTACTTAAAAAATACATACAACTTAAGTATCTTTACATGTTACAGCCATCATTTTGAGAGCCACACGAAATGGATGTGATAGAGACAAAAAAGTGCACCATAGGTGGTTAAGAACATGTGTTCTGGGATTAGATGCAGCTGGAGTCAAATTGCAACTCTACTATTTACTGGTTCTGTGGTCTTACATGAGTGACTCAACCTCTGAGCTTCAGCTTCCTTCTCTATAAACTAGGGATGACAATAGCAGAGTACCCATTATCAGGTTGTTTTGAGGCTTAATGAGATAATGCCATAAAATACTTAACACGGTGCTGGGAGTAACTCCTTAGTACATGTAGCTGATATTACTACTCTTACCATTTTTTAACTTATCCATTCTCTTACTGTTTACCATTGGATTGCTTCCAAATTTTCCATTTGGATAAATTTGCAATGTGTACGTACACAGTTTGAATTTTTTTCCTTGGCATATATTTTCCAAAAGTGAAACTCCTGGACATTCTATGGTCATTAATATGTATTTTCAAATTTGTTGGTTAATGATTTTGTCCTACTGGGAATCAGTGTGAAGATACTGTCAAGGACTGGAGAACAGAGTGAGACTAAGGGACCCTTGAAGTCCTTAAATATCTTAAGATTATGAAGGCCCTTGAGGACCACCAAGTGCAATCCTGCTTAGACTACTAATGGGAGACAGCTGCCTGTATCAATGACTTTGGCCTCATTTAAGATAGGCATAAACCATCAGAGCAATGTGCATATGAAGCAGCATGCGGTCAGGCACTGCTGAGAGTTTGTATCATCCATGCACACAGGCAACTGAGCATTTAACATTGAATCCTGTTCCATGGGTTCTAGCCCTATCCTGAAAGTCAGGAGCATCTTCTCACATCATCATCATCTCACCTGTCATCATCAGGAAAATTTATAAGCATGGTAGTGGGGTAACCTGCCTGAAGTGCTTTTCTCCAACTTCTTGAATAGCCACCTCCTTCTCATCCTTTATGCCTCAACTTCCATGCCATCTCCTCCAAGAGTTGAGAACACCAAGTTTTGAGTAGCTATCTCACACACAATTCTGTGTAAATTAATTTCCTTCCAAGCATTCATCATGCCTTGTAATCATTTACTTGTTTGTTCACTTATTCGCAGTGCATCTCCCTAATTTGACTATCTCCTTCAGGAGGGTTGGGACAATATTCAGTCTTGCTACTGTTGTACCCTTATTCCCCGGCTAGCAAAGGGCCTGGCACAAAGTAGGTATTCCTGCTCCCATTACCTGTTTGTCTGATGCCCAGGGGCCTCTTGGCAACATAAGCAGCTTGACCTTGAGCTGGAAAGAGGGAATACAGAAATGAGGTACATATAATCCCTGCCTTTAAGGAGTGCCTATGGCAGGTTTCTTTTCACAGTCATCTTAGAAAGAACCAAGAAGCCCTTTTACAAGAGCTACATTCTATAATGCTGAGGAGGCAGCTCGAAGCTGGAACTCAACAATCGATACCCAAACATAGGAATTGTTATTCTACCACCCCAACATGCGCACTTGGACTTTGCACCTGTGTAGATCTTTTCTGCTTTAGATAGCTCTCAAAAACATATTCCTCAGGAAGCCCTCACAACATCCCATAAGCCATGAGCTGAAAGGGCTGGTGAAGCAGAGCAAAAATAAAGAAAAAAATGGGGCAAGAGACACAGGGCCAGAGCCTCAAAACTGGGCTCTAATCCCAGTTGTGCCCCTTAGGATGAAGGATGGGTCATATCAACCCTGAGCTTCAGTTACCTCCTGAATAGTAGTAGATAGTACACTCTGCCCTGCCTTGTGGAAAGCCTCAATGACCATGTGTATGAAAAACAATAGTGCAACAGGGAGGTTAAGAGTTAGTATAGAAAGCTGGAAAGATAAAGAATATGCCAGCCTGGTGACCCTCTGGGCCCCCTCTGGCACATATCAATGGTGAAAGCAGAGAAAGAACCACATCTTCTGTGCCTAGACCTGAACTTCCCTGGCAGAGGAATTTTTAGGCCTCTTTAAATAGCCCACCTGACTTTCATTTTTGGTTGTACCTCCTCCTGAATGAACACCCAACAGCTACTTTGTTCTTCAAGGCAAGTTTTCTAACCAACTAGGCAGTATCTCCATAGCAGCCAAAAGAGATCTTTAACTGTTAAATACAAAAGCTCAGACAAACCACAAATGCCCTATTCACCTTGTCAGTCCTACAAAAAGAAGTTGGGGTTCTGTCAATTTCTCCTGCCACATACAGCTGCAACACTGGCTTATATTATTAGTTACATGCAGTATGTGTGTCTCTGGTTATAACAGATGGTGTTTGCACTGCACGCGAAAGCTCCGGATAGTCAAATAGTACAGCTATGGAGATTTTCCAAAGAGAAGACAAAACAACAACAGAAAATACTCCCACCAGTGAAAATCTGAAAAGTGTTTGTCTTGCTTTCTACTTTGGCAAAATAGAGAACATCCGATTTCTGCAATAGCTTTACTGACTGAGAAAAACCAGCCTAGCACAGAGAGAGTGATGCCAATAGAAGACTACCTAAGCAGCATGCTGTCACCCTTCTAGAAGGGCTATTAGTTAAAAGAGGTGAAAGTACACAGTCTAGGCCTCCTTGCCCTGCCAATAGATCTGCAAGCTGCCAAGATTGCCAGCTCCGTGAATGGACTTTTCTAGATGGGAGAAAACTCTGTTTTAGTAGAATTCCCAGGGTTTCTTTCCTGTTAACTTTTAAACTAGAGCTTAAGGGATGCTGGAAACTCATTTTCTTCAACCTCCTTAATTCCCATTTGAGGCAACTGAGGCTTAATTATGAGAGGATATTTAGCCAAGTTTATGGCTGAAAAATGACTTAGCTCTCTAAGCTGGTGCACCTCACCAGGCTCCTTACACACTTGGAAAAAAACAAAAAGAGCCTATTCATGTTTTACCAATTTCTCAAGACCCATCTGCTCCCACTTTTTCCTGACCTGCTCTTGTTCCAATACCCTTGTGACTCTTGCCTTCCTTGTGACTATAACCTTGGGCCTGTCTCTGGACCTTCGACTGGGGTCTGGATTTTGCCTCAAGCTTTCTGTAAAACACTAAGACTTGCCTCCCCATCATGACCCACAACTTTGGCTCCACTGACTCCACCCCACAATCCCAGCAATCTCATCTGAACCATGGCCCAGCCAGTTCAAGCCATGGCTGAACAAACTCCAACAAGGAGGAGATTCAGATAGAGGCAAAACCAAGTCAAAGCCCAGGTCTTCTGACCCTGAAACCAATGAACTTTCTACTACTTTCTACTACTTACTCCTTGCCTCTGCTTTACTGTTAGTTTTACATTCTGTATTAGCCAGTAAATCTAGCCCCTCTCCATTATATGAAGACAGTTTTCACGTCCCTGTACCACCCCAACCAATTTTCCCGAGCCTTCTCTCCTCTACATGAATCATCCACAGCTTCTTAAAACTGACCTCATAATTCATGGTTTCCAGACCTTCAGAGGGCTCATAAACTCAATCATCATCCTCTTTGAAAGAAAAAGTGATAATACTTTGGATCACCACATCCTTTGCTTTAGACAATCTGCTCATATCAATGCAGCTCTGATCATGGTCACATTTGCATCAGCTGCAAGTCATATTATACCAAGTTGTGGCCAATTAATACCCCATGTTTACATTCAAAGTCAGAATTCTCCTTGGATATTGTTCAAATCACAATAAGAGAACAAAGGTGCATTCTCTTTTCTCTGGGGCCTCTATGCTGGGATTTTGTAAATCCAAGGATGCCAGAATCTATGTTTTCCACCAAGTGAAAAAAGCTCAACTGCAGTAGAAGAGTTTGAAGCCAGGAATAAATGAGCAGAGCTCTCTCTCTCTCTCTCTCTCTCTCTGTGTGTGTGTGTGTGTGTGTGCATGTGCGTGTGTGTGTGTGTGTTTGAAAGAGAGAGAGAGAGAACTAGTCCATACTAGCATATAAGCACACAGTCACTGGTGTTATCAAGTCTCCAATTCCCCAAATCACTGAGGTCTCCTGAGCTGCTTTAGTTCCTGAAGCTCTTCCACTTGTTCTGGGAGCTACACCAGTATTCTGCCAATACATTTTCTTGCATGCTTAAACAAGAAAGGAAGGTTTCTGTCACTTACAACCAAAAGAAATTTGATCCTGAATTTCCTAAAATCTTCACATTACAGGCTTCTTCTTGTCCATTATTCATTGTTTTATGGCCCCAGTGTGAAGCAGTTCCCTGTTGAATGAAACTTGAGATCAGGAATCTGGACAGCCAGAGGGGTCGAGAGAAGAGGGGGCACAGTAATGCTACAGACCAAGTATTCTGCTTACCACTTTGCTGAGCACCAGCCCAAGCCTTCTCTAGGATGCTCCAGTGATCCCTCCCATCCCATAAAGCTCAGATGAGAATGCGCAGGAGTCTATAATCTTGCTGTTTCCTGAAATCTTTTCTCCAGAAGGTAGGCTTTGCGGAAGATGGGTTCCTGGGATAGACAAGAAGTTATTGGGAAAATTATAAGTCTGTGACACAGTGTGAATCTGTTTTGTTCCTGGGCCCTTTATGATGCCATTCTACCCATTTGTATTCTGCCATGGAGAATCTAAGAAATCTTGAGCTGAAGGTAGCAAAAATCATCATAATCAAGTTGAATCTCAAAACTGCCTTGGACTCCTCCTTTTAGAAAGTGTTCTGCGCACACATAAGAAAGGGATTTAGCTTAAGGCCCAGCATCTAAAAAGTAAAACAAACAAACAAGAAATCCACAAAACTTCCAAGCCAGCTATTTGCTTATATGGGCAATATTGTACAGGAAGATCATTAATATGATGTTGGTTAGAGAGCAACGTTCCTGGCATTACTCTCCTCAGTGTGGCTAAGAGGCTCTCCAGCATGTACTATTAGTATCTGGAGGAACCATGGCCAGTTAATAGCCTTGCAGATGTAAACTCACTCAGAAGGAATTATGTGCTTCTACTAACACAGTACTGTTGGAGCGAGCTTTGCTTGGTTACGTACTTGGCCACAAGCCTTCAATTCAAGGCATTACAACAGCACCTCACAAATTCACCTACCAGTAAATCTGTGTATTCTCTTATAATAATAGTAAAAAACTACTAAAGAAAGATTTTATTGGCTTACTGGTTTCCACTCTCCTGCTTTATTTTAGGAAATAATGATGTTTCTGGAACCACAAAAGTATGAAAGCATGGGAACAAAATGTCACCTGTTTAACTATGAAAAACATAGTTCATATATTTAATATATATATAAAATAATATATATGTATTTTATAAATGTAATAGTGTACATTTATGTAATATGTATGCGTACATATATGTGTATATACACATATATGTACACATTTAGCACAGTAATTGATTACTAATCTTTTGGAGGAAATGCAAACTGTCCAGATGGCAATAATCTGAAGGAGTGAGAGCTACTAAATGGCTTTCGATTAAGCTGCTAAGTAAGAATGAAGAGGGACTTACAAACACATTTGGGTATACACCTAGAGTGAAAGAAAGAATTTCTCAGTAGATTTTTGGCCACTACCTTCCCCCTAAATAACCTTTGATGAAGCAGCCTGCTCACCTAGTTACAGATCATCTTAGAGCCCATTCTTAGCCCCTTGAAGCTATTTTAAAAAGCACAGAAAATAAATGGGTAGTGCTTATTAAATTAGCATTGATTTTGGAATGAGGCATTTTATAACTCCTTCAAAAATGGTGTCCCAAGAAAAGCGTGAGACAGTCACAGATAGGGACTGGGACTTTGACAAGTGTTCTAAGCATTGTCCTTCATATCATTGGTGCTGTACAACCAAAGCCACTTAAAAAATGGATTTGAAACTGCTTGAGCAAATAAGTTGCAGGAATAGATTAACACTGAGGTCTTCTGATGCTAGATTGTGTAGTTTGCTTCACATCCAAAAGACAAATTGTAGATCTCTGCTTTCAAGGCAGATAACAACTACCCTTAATAAATGTGCAGTCATCCTAGAAACAGAATGCAGCCAAGTAAGTGAGAAAGTGCGTTGGAAGAATGTGAGCCCTTGCTAAATAAGCAGTACAGACACAGCAAATGTCTGTCTCCCTCTTTCCGGAACTGTCCTGGCCTTAAATACCCTAGTAGATGGTATCCACATAAACCCCTGAAGTGTCCTAGAAATACCAACATTTCAGCAAATAGTGACAAAATTAAGTCAGTAATTGTAGCAACACCAACTTCAACAGGTTACAGAGATCACATCACAGATCACGTGTCCCTGGTCCTCTATTGATATTGATAACACAGTACTACGAATTTAAGAGGCATTTCTATAGTTTGTTGTTTTAGGTGGAGGTCTTTGATTATAAACCACCACAAGGAATTCTTGGTAACTTAAGCAAAAATGAGAAAGTATTAGATGGCCATGGGGAATTTTTATCAGATCATAGAAAACTGAAGAACTAGACTTGAAACAGACAGGAACCAGGAGCTCCAGAGGGTTTGGGAACACCCAGCAGCTTCAATCAAGTATATGCCACCACTGGAATTCATTCACTCATCCAACACATATTTGCAAGTACTTATCATGTGCCAGGCACATGATAACAGATAGAGGATGCTGTTATATCCTCTACATGGTGAGGATATAGCATTAAACAAAACAGACAACATTCCTCATTCTCAAGGAACATTCCTTCTGGTAGTGGGAGATATAAAATAGCAAAAACTGATAACAGTAGTAATATCTCCAACTTTTAAGCATCTACTGTGTGACTGGCACTGTGCTAAGTGTTTTACATATTCATACATTTATTCAAAAAATATTTACTGAGTCCTAGTATGCAAGAGAACCTATCCTAAGTAAGGGAAATACAACCATGAACAAAACTGATAAGAATCCTTGCCTTTGTGAAGCTGATATTGTGGTGAAACAAATAAATTCAAAACCCTCAAAGATTAAAATCTTAGGAAACAGCACACAATTGGCCATGCTGAGGTTATGTATCTGCCCCCAGCTTCATAAGGGCAGTGAGGGGGATGATCTGATAGAAGGAATCTCCATACACCCTGTCCAGCCTTGAAAGTGGGAGAACTGTCCCATATCTACTGCCCAACCAAGGCTGAACACGGTGAGAGAAGAGTCCTCAAAAAGAAATCAAGGATCCTGAGCAAAGGAAATGGAATGCAAGGCAGAAAAAACAAACCCATTCCTTTGCATAAGGCATGGGACAATGAAGACTACTTCATCTGGGCCTTATTAATGTGTCTTGGTGAAAAAAAAAAACAGAAACTAGATTATATCTAGAACACAAAGTGAAACTATGTTTTAGACCACTTGAGCTTAATTTCAGCTCCATTATTTACAAGGCTATCTCTAGGACCATGGGCAATTACTTAACTACTCTGTATCTCAGTGTCCTCTTCCGTGCAAAGGGGGATGTTATTAGTATTTACCTAATAGTGATGTCATGAGGAATAAATAAGTTAATATTTGTAAAATGCTTAGAACAATGCCAGAAATACAGTAAGCATTATATACATGACTGTTAAGCAAATAAAGTAGAATGCTTAATTGATAGAAAGACATTCATGGTATATTATGTGAAAAAGCAGGTTGCTCAATAAGTACACAGCATAATCCCAATTCTTATATTAAAAATTAACAGTTATTAGAAATACCATTTGACCCAGCCATCCCATTACTGGGTATATACCCAAAGGACTATACATCATGCTGCTATAAAGACACATGCACACGTACGTTTATTGTGGCATTATTCACAATAGCAAAGACTTGGAACCAACCCAAATGTCCAACAATGATAGAGTGGATTAAGAAAATGTGGCACATATACACCCTGGAATACTATGCAGCCATAAAAAATGATGAGTTCATGTCCTTTGTAGGGACATGGATGAAATTGGAAATCATCATTCTCAGTAAACTATCACAAGAACAAAAAACCAAACGCCGCATATTCTCACTCATAGGTGGGAATTGAACAATGAGAACACATGGACACGGGAAGGGGAACATCACACTCTGGGGACTGTTGTGGGGTGGGGGGAAGGGAGAGGGATAGCATTAGGAGATATACCTAATGCTAGATGATGAGTTAATGGGTGCAGCACAGCAGCATGGCACATGTATACATATGTAACTAACCTGCACATTGTGCACTTGTACCCTAAACCTTAAAGTATAATAATAATAAATTTAAAAAAAAACACAATAAGAAATGAAACTTTCATTTTAGCTAATCCTGTAATACCTGCTACAGTAAAATGCTCTTTGCAGTTTTGTATGCATGTGTTTCCATTTATTGAAATTACTTTATATATAAGCATATATGTAAATGTTTACACTTATTTTATTAAAATCAAATCTATCAGGCTGGAAAAAAATAAAAATAAAAAAATAAAAATTAACAGTTATTATAGAAGGTTATATATATAAGAAATATGTGTATCAAATAGTTCAAAGTATTTATCTCTGACTGGGGTTGGGTGATATGAATAATTTGTATTTTCTCATTTTTTCTTGTCTGCTTTTTTCAAATTATTAACTGAATATGTATCACTATTGTAATTTTTAAATTATTAAAATATCATATTCAAACATGTATAAACACCTAAATATCACTAAAAGGGGATGTGTTGGCAGAAGGGGAAGTGACCAATTACAAGCATGTCTTAAACTGTTAAAAAATTAATGTTACGTAGTAAGTCACACTGAAATAATATAAAAGTCAGGAAAATTCCTTCTCAAAAATAATTATAATGAAGACACTGTAGTTATTACTTGGAGGCGAATATTACATTGGAAGAAAAGCAATCACTAAGAAGAACCACACCTGAGTACTGGGCTCAATTATTCCTTGACAAAAGGCTACTGAAGACTCTCCTGCTTAAGTGGAAAAAGCCTAACACTCTTTAAAGAAACACAGAGTTCCTGGTAACCTGAGAGAGAATATCAAATGATTCAACATATATGTAATTGGGATCACAGAAATAGAAGGGAAGAAATAATTAGATAAATAGATAGATCTATAAAAGAAATAATGTCTGAAAATTTTCCAAATTTGATGAAAACAATAAACAAGAACCTAAAATCTCAAACAAAATAAACACACAAAAATTTACACTAATACATACCATAATCAAATTTTAAAATTTAATGATGAAAAAAATCTTAGCAGCCAGAGAAGCAGACATACAGTTATTACATACAAAAGAACAAACATAAGAATGACAATAACTTCTCATCAGAAGCTATGCAAGCCAGAAGGCAATGGAACAAAATCTTTAAAGCACTGAAGAAATTGTTTACTTAGAATTTCAATCTTGAGAAAATATCTTTCAGAAATAAAGGCAAAATAAAGAATTCTCCAGTCAAGCAATATCTAATATAATTAATTATCATCAGACCTGTGCTACAAGAAATATTAAAGGAATTTCACCAAGCAGGAGGAAAATAATACCAGATGGGAAAATATGGATTTATACACAGAAATAAAGAGAATTGGAAAGTTTAAATATATGGGTAAATATTTTTTAAATGCCTTCACACTTTTTTGTTAATTTACTTAAAAGCTAAGTGACTGTTTAAAGCAACAATAATAACTATGGATTGTGTGGTTAATAACATATGTAGAGGGAAATCTATGAAAATAATAGTGTAAAATAGAAGAGAAAATGGAAAAGTATTGTTGTAAGGTTTTTACAGTTTACATGAAGGGATATAATATCTTTTGAGGAAAGACCATGATAAGATAAAGATGCATATTGGAAATATTAGGGCAACTTGTGATAAGATAAAACAAAGAGGTAGAGCTAATAAGTCAAGAAAAGAGATTAAATGGAATGTTAATGAAATACCTAAATAATGCCAAGAAAGGCAGTAAAGAAAAAGCTGCACAAAGAACACATGGGGAAAACAGAAAACAAACAACAATGTATTTAATTCCAAACAAATTGAAAATACATTAAATGAAAATGATGTATTATAAGATGCTATCACACTGCAAAAATAATTAAATGCTCCATATAAAATATACAATTTAAATATGAAGACAGAGATAGAAGAATGGAAAAAGATGTAGCATTCAAGCACTGATCATAAGAAAGCTGGATTTTTATATTAACATCAGATAAACAAGACTTCAGAACAAAGAATATTGCTCAGGCTAGTGAGGAACATTTACATTTTATAATTATAAAAGAGCCAATTGATCAAAAATATAATTCTAAACATATAAATGTGTATAACAGATCTTCAAAATGCATGAAGCACTGACACAAAGAAAATGAAAAATAGGCAATTTCACAATTACATTTACAGATTTTGATATTCTATCTTCTGTAATTGATACAAGTATACCCTAAACATTAGTAAATATATAGAAGAATGGAACAATGCTGTCAACCAATTTTACCTAAATGGCATTTATAAAGCATTCCATCCATTCCCTAACAGCACAAAGCACATTATTTTAAAAGTCATATTGGACATTTCACCAAGATAGACCACATATTTGGGCCATAAATCATATCTGCATATATTTAAAAGAATTGAAACCATACAGAGAAGGTTCTGTGATGCTTAATATTAGGTGTCAACTTAACTGGATCAAGGGATTTCAAGATGGCTGCTGAAGCATTGTTTCTGGGTGTGTTTGTGAGGGTGTTTCCAGAGGAGACTGACATGTGAGTTACTGGACTGAAAGAAGAAGACCTGACCTCCATATGGGCAGGTACCATCTAATTACCGCTGGTGCAGCTACAAAAAAGCACATAGAAGAAGGGGGGACATTCGGTTTGCTTGCTCTTTTTTCTTTGTTCACTTTCTCTCTTTCTCTATCTTCCAGAGCAATATGCCCTTTTCATCCTTCCACCTTTGGATATCAGACTCCAGGTTCTTTGGCTTTTGGTCTCTGGGACTGGCACCAGTGGCTCTCAGGCCTTTGGCTTCAGACTGGAGGCTGCACTTTCAGCTTCTCTGGTTTTGAGGCTTTAGGACTTGGATTGATCCATACTAATACCTTCCCTGGGAGTCATGCTACTGGCTTCTCTAGGAGCCATGCTACCAGCTTCTATATTTCTCTAGTTTGCAGACAGCCTATTGAGGGACTTAGTCTCTATGATCCTGTGAGCCAATTCTTCCTAGTGAATTCCCATACACACACACACACGTGTGTGTGTGTAAATATATATATATAATATACATAAAATGTTTACACACACATGTATTTATCCCCTATTAGCTCTGTCCTTATGGAGAATCCTAACTAAAACAGGTTTCATGGCCACAGTGGAGTTGAATTAGAAATAAATAACAAAAATACAAAAATATCTGGAAATGTCTCAAATATTTGAAAAATTTTAAAACCTACTAAATGTTACTTTTACTTCAAATCAAGACAAAGTATCATGGAGAGGAGTTATCCTCCTTTCTAAAACAACTAAAAGGCTAGACTGAACATGCAAATAATGGCACTCAAGACATTGGACATCAGGCAATGAAAAATAATTATCCTTGAAAAAAATGAAAAACAAATGAAGTGAACCCTAATATTGGCCCAGACTACTATTTGGAGAAAGTTTCAGAGTGCAACACAGAAAGGGGTAACTTAGGAAGCCTCCTTTAATTAAGTAGACACAGGTGGGAATCTGAGAAAATTAAGGTGGTTAGAGTTCATATGAGAGGGTACCAAAGAGGAGAGAGATGCACAGAGAAAAATTTCAGAGATCTGCAGTGGTCTCCCTCAAGTAATCAAGAGAGTGCTAATCTGTGTATGCAAGGCTAGGGAAATAACCACCCACAAGGATTGTAAAGAACAGTGCTCAGAGATCATACATATTCAGAAAAATTATCTACTGTCAATAGTCAATGTGTAACATCTTACAATTCAGGCAGCATTGGTTAGAACAGTAGTTCCCAAAGGAAGGCAATTTTGGCCCCAAGGGGACATTTGGCAATGACTGGAGAAATTTTTGGTTGTCACAACTGGGAGCATGCTACTGATATCTAGTCTGAAAGTTAAACAATGCACAGGAAATCTCCCACCACTAAAAGTTATCTGTACCAAAATGTCAGTAGTGATGCAATTGAGAAGTCCTAGGTTAAAGTACTAAAAAGGTCTTGCCTCAGTAATAGTCAAAAATTAACCCTAATCCAGGCATGGTGGCTCAGGCCTGTAATTTCAGCACTTTGGGAGGCTGAGGCAAGAGGATCACTTGAGGCCAGAAGTTCAAAATCAGCCTGGTCAACATAATGAGACCCTATTTCTACAAAAGAAAAGTTAAAAAAAATAGACAGTCCTGGTGGTGCATGTCTGTTGCCTCACCTACTGGGGAGGCTGAGGCAGGACGATCCCTTGAGTCCAGGAATTTGAGGCTGCCATGAGCCATGATCTCACCACTGCATTCCAGCCCGGATGACAGAGTGACACCCTGCCTCAAAAAAAAAAAAAAAAAAAAAAAAAAAAAAATTAACCCTAAACTAAACTCTGTTCTTGTTCTTGTCCCAACTAAGAAAACTTTTGCTTCTGTAAGACCTGAAAACAAACAAACAAGCAAACCAACAATTTCCACAGAACTGAATCCCAGAGCAAAGATCAAAAACAAGCTCAATTTGTAGAAATGTAAACATATTAGTAACTAGTAAGGCAAAATATGCAATGCCTGGTAGCCAATAAAAATTTACCAGACAGGCAAAGAAGCAGAAAGCACAACCTACAAAACCTATTTTTCTTTTCATCAAAAGAAAAATCAATCAAAATTGACAGAAAAATTAAAAATATGATAGATTGATAGAAAAAGATATTAAACTATTATTATAACTATATTCTATATGTTCAAGAAGCTGGAGGAAAGATTAAACATGTTAAGTAGCAAAATGGAACATATGAAAAGATCCAAACCAACTTCTAGACATGAACACTAAAATGTCTGAGATTTTTTAAAAAGTTAGTGGACGTGGTTAATGACAGATGACTCATTGGAGATGAAAAGATTATGAAGACATACCAATACACACAAATACACACAGAGTAAAAAACACTCTAAAATAAACCATGGAGTGAAAACTAACTAAAACATAAATAAATAATTAATGAACGATGGTGCAAACTGCCAGCAACAAAATATACATTCAATTGATGTCTACGAAAGACAGAGGAGAGAGGGGAAGTCCAAAAATATTTGAAGAAAAAATTGGCAAAATTTTTCAAAAGTTGATGTAAACTGTAAACCCACAGATCTATGCAGCTCAACAAACTGCAGCACAAGGAGCATGAAGAAAGCTATACTAAGACATAATCAAATGGCTTAAAACCAATGATAAAAAGAAAATCTTAGAAGCAGCCAGAAGGGGAAAATTTGACATATAGAGGAACAAAGACGAAGATAATAGAAAATTTCCTAATAGAAACAGGGAAACTAGAAAAGAGTAAAGCGAGATATTTAAAGTATTGAAATAAAAATAATTCAACCTAAAATTGTTTATACTATCTTAAACTATCTTTCAGAAATAAAGGCAAAATAAAGCTTTCTCTGACAGAAAAGTTGAACAGCAGATGTGTACTACAAGGAAGAAAAACAAAACCAGACAGAAACTTAGAATCTAAATAAATGAATAAAGAGTCCTGGAGCTGGTAACTGCATAAGTAAATATAAGTAATTTTTCTCATTATTTAAATCTCTTTAAAAGATCACTGGAATCATGAGATACCACTTCGTGATCCCCAGGATGGCTACCATCAAAAAGTCAGATACCATCAAGTGTTGGTGAGGATATGAAAAAAGTCCAAGCTTCATAAACTGCAGGTAAGACTGTAAAGTGGTGCAGCCATGTTGAAAAACACTCTTGCACTTCCTCAAATAATTAAACGTGGTTACCACATAATCCAGCAATTCCACTACAAGGTGTATACCCAAAAGAAATGAAAACACATGTCCACCTGTATATAAGTTTATATACAGATTGTTATAGCAGCATTATTCATAATAGTAAAAAAAGCTGGAAACAACACAAATGTCAGTCAATGGATGAATAAACAAAATGTTGTAGAGCTAGACCATGGGATATTAATTCATTCTTAATAAAAAGTGAAGCACTGATATGTGCTACAATATGGATGAACCTTGAAAACATCATGCCAAGTTAAATAAGTCCATCACAAAAGACTACATACTGTATGATTCCATTCTTATGAATGTCCAGAATAGGGATCTAAAGAGACAAAAAATAGAATAATTGTTGCTTAGGGCTAGGTATGGGGAATAGGGACGGGGACGGGGTATAGAGGGGTGACAGATAAAGGATACAGGTTTTTTCCTTGAAGTGATGAAAACATTTTCAATTGACTGTGGTAATAAGTATATATTTCTGAATATAGCAAAAAACAGAATTTTACACTTTAAATGAGTGGACTGTGTAGTATATCAAAGACGTCTCAATAAAGTAATTAGAAAAAGAGAATTGGCTCTTTTAAAGAAAAAATAAAATGTATCGTAGGATTTATAACATATTGAAATAAAATGAGATCACAAAGGCCAAAAGGGGAGAAATAGAAGTATACTATGTATGGTTCTCATATTTCATGTGAAACAGTATAATGTCACTTGAAGACAGATTGTGATAAGTTAAAGATGCATATTATAAAACTTACAGGAAATACTAAGTAACAAAACACTTGTTATAATTAACAAGCCCACAAAGGAGATAAAATAGAATCATAAAAAACTCAGTTAATCCAAAAATGACATGAAAGAGGAACAAAGAACAGATGGGACAAATAGAAAACAAATATAAAAATGGTAGATTTAACCTCAGCCATATCAAAAATTAGATGAAATATAAATGTTCTAAACACCACACAAAAGGGCAGATAAATCAGATTAATAAAGCAGCAAAACCTAAATATATGCTACTTAAAAGAAAGCCACTTTAAATATGAAGACACAAATAGGTTCAAAAATGAAAGAGTGAAAAATGATATTTCATGCTGACGTCCAGCTGTCCAAAGAAAGCTGGAACAGCTATATTAGTATCAGGCAAAGTGGATTTCAGAGGAAATAATATTGCCAGAAGTAAAAAACGATCATTTTCTGATGTTAAAGGTATTGATTAATCAATATAATGTAACAATCTAAGAATTTATGAACTTAAAAACAGAGCTTCCAAATATATGAAACAAAAACTAATAAAAACTAAAATTAATGAGAAAAATCTGCCATTAAAATAGGAGATTTCAATATTCCTCTACTAATAACTAATAGAAAATATAAACAGAAAGTCAGCAATGATATAGAAGACTTGAACAACAAAATTAGTCAACTTAATCTAATTGCATTCATAGAACACTCCACCCCACAACATTAGAATACACATTTTTTTTTCAAATGCACATGACACGTTTACCAAAATAGGCCATATTCTGGGTTGTAAACAAGTCACATTAAATTTAAAAGGATTCAAGTTATACAAACTATGTTCTCTGACACCTATAGAATTAAATTAGAAATTAACAAGAGGTGTGTACTTTTAGAAACTAGTAAATAATACACCCATGACTAGATATCTCTTTCAAATAAAAAAATCAAGAAGAGAAAGGTATCTGAAAAAATTCCAAACATTTGTAAACTAATAAAAAAAAATTAAAAATAAGAAAATTTTAAAAAATAAAAAAATAAAATAAATAACTCATGGATCAAAGAAAAAAAATTAAAAGGGAAATGTAAAAGTATGTTAAACTAAATGAAAAGAAAACACAATATAACAAAATTTGTGGAACACAAAGTAGAATTTGGAAGAATATTTATAGCATTATAGACCTCTATTAGACAAAAAGAAAAGTCTCTAATCAATGATATTAGCCTATTCCCTAACAAACTAGAAAAGAAAGAGAAAATGAAAAATAAGCAGAAAAAACTAACAAAGAACAGAGCAGAATCAATGAAATAGAAAATAGAAAAACAAAACAATAGAGAAAATCAGTAAAACCAAAATCCAGCTCTTTGGATCAATCAATAAAGTTGATAAACATCTAGTCATGTTGATCAGGGAAAAAAGAGACAAGACACAAATTACCAATATCAGGAATGAGAAAGGTGACATCACTAAAGATTCTACAGATATTAAAATACTAATAAGAGGATATCATGTTTCATCATATGTAAATAAATCAATGTAATATGCCACATTAACAGAGTGAAGGGAAAATACGTGATCATCTCAATTGATGCAGAAAATTCATTTGACAAAACTCAACACGCTTTCATGATAAAGACATTCAACAAACTAGGAATAGAAGGAAACTACCTGAATATAATAAAGGTCATAAATAACCCACAGTTAACATCACATTCAGTAATGAAAGACTGAAAGATCTTTCTTGAAGATCAAGCACAAGACAAGGATGCACTCTTTTGAAATTTCTAGTCAACATAATACTAGAATTCCTAGCCAGAACAATTAGGCAAGAAAAAATAAAATAAATCCAAAATGGAGGGGAGGAAGTCGAATTGTCTTTGGTCGCAGACAACATGATGTTATATGTAAAAACTCCTAAAGATTCCACAAAATACTGTTACAACTAATAAATCTAGCAAAGATGCAAGATACAAAATTAACATGCGAAAATCAGTGCATTTCTCAACACTAACAATGAACAATCTGAAAAGGAAGGTTAAAAACTAATTCCATTTACAATAGCATGGAAAATAACAGAATACATAGGAATAAATTTATCCATTGAGCCAAAAGTCTTGTACACTGAAAACTACAATACACTGGTGAAAGAAATTAAAGACAGCAAAAATAAATTTTAAAAAATCTCTTGTTCATGGATTAGAAGACTAATATTGTTAAAATATTCATACTGTCCAAAGCAATCTACAGATTCAATGCAAACCTTATAAAATCCCAACAACACTTTTTGCAGAAATAGAAAAATCCACCATAAAATGCCTATGGAATAGGAAGGAACCAAGAATAGCCACAGTAGTCTTGAAAAAGAACAGAATTGAAGGTCTCACACTTCCAGATTTCAAAACTTAGTATAAAACTACAGTAATTGCCAGGCACAATGGCTCACACCTATAATCTCAGCACTTTGAGAGGCTGAAATAGGAGGATTACTTGACCCCAGGAGTTTGAGACCAGCCTGAGCAACATAGGGGGACCCCATCTCTACAAAATATTTGAAAGTTAATTGGATGTGGTGGCATGCTCCTGTGGTCCCAGCTGGAATCCAGCCTGGGCAACAGAGCAAAACTCAGTCTCAAAACAACAACAACAACAAAAAAAAAGCTACAATAATCAAAGCAATGTAGTACTGGTACAAAGACAGACATATAGACCAATGGAATAGAATAGAAATCCCAGAAACAATTCCTCACATACATAGTCAAATGATTTTCAACAAGGATGCCAAGACCATTGGATGGGGAAGGACGATCTTTTCAACACATGGTACTGGGAAACCTGAGAAAAAATTAAGTTGAACCCATACCTTACAACATATACAAAAATTACCTCAAAATGGATCAAAGGCCAAAAGAGCTAAAAACCTTTAGGAGTAAACATAATGGGAAAATTTCATGACATTGGATTTAACAATAATTCCTTGGATATGACACCAAAGGCACAGGAAACTAAAGGAAAAATAGGCAAATTGAACTACATTAAATTGTAAAGACTTTTGTGCATCAAAGGACGCTATCATCAGAGAGAAAATATAACCCACAGAATGGGAGGAAATATTTGCAAGCTATATATCGGAGTTAATATCCAGAATATATAAAGAACACTTATAACTCAACAACAAAAAATACATAAATAAATAGTAAACACTTTTGCCAATAAAAAATGGGCAAAATATTTGAATAAACATTTCTCCATAGGATATATACAAGTGGCCAGCAAGAATATAAAAAGATCCTCAAATCATCAATTATTAAAGAAATGCAAAGCAAGACCACAATGGGCTATCACTTTGCACACAGTAGGATAGCTATTTTTAACAAAGAAGAATAAAAGAAAATGCTAAATATTACAGGGTATGTAGAAATTACAGTCCTTGTACAAGCATTACTGGTAGGAATGTAAAACAGTGCAGTTTCTTTGGAAAATAGTATGACAGCTCCTAAATAATTTAAAAATAGTATTACCTTATGATTCAGCAATTTTAATTCTGACTATATTCTAAAAGAATTGAAAGAAGGCACTTAGAAAGATATTTGTGTACCCATGTACATAAAAGCATTATTTACATTAGCCAAAAGTTGGAAGTAACCCAAGTGCTTCTTGATAGATGAAGAGATATGTGTAATGTGATACTGTATACATAGAATGGGATACTGCTCAGCCTTAAAATGGGAAAAAATTCTGACACACTTTAAAACTTGGACAAACTGAAGACATTATGAAATAAGCAAGTCACAGAATGACAAATACAATATGATTTGACTTATATAAGTGACTTAGAGTAGTCAAATTCATAGAGACAGAAAGTAGAAAGGTTGTTGCCAGAGGCTGGAGAAAGGAGGAGTTGTTTAATGGGTACAGAGTTTCGGTTGTGCAAGATAAAAAGATTTCTGGAGATGGATGATGGTGATGGTTGCACAACAATATGAATTTACTGAATCTCACTGAACTTCACACCTATAAATGGTTAAGATCATTTGTTTCAAGAAACTTTTTCATTTCCTTCTTAATGTCTTCATTGACCCACTGGTTATTCAGAAGCATATTGTTTAATTTCTGTTTGTTTGTTTGTACAGTTTCCAAAATTCCTCGTTATTGATTTCTAGTTTTATTCCATTGTGGTCAGAGAAGATGCTTGATGTTATTTCCATTTTTGAATGTTTTAAGACTTGTTTTGTGACCTAACATATGGTCTATCCTTGAGAATGACCCATGTGCTGAGGAAAAGAAAGTGTATTCTGGAGTTCTTGGATGAAATGTTCTGTAAATATTAGATCCATTTAGTCTACAGTGCAGATTAAGTCTGATGTTTCTTTGTTGATTGTCTGTATTAAAGATCTGTTCAATGATGAAAGTGGAGTGTTAAATTATCCAGCTATTATTGTATTGGGGTCTATTTCTTTAGCTGTTATAATATTTGCTTTATATATCTGGATGCTCCAGTGTTGGGTGCATATATTTTTACAGATATATATTTACAGATCTGTGGGAGCAAGGTTTTGGAAATGACTGGAAAGAGACAGAAGGTAATCTTGTAGAGTGATGGAAATGTTTTATATCTTGATGGTGGTTGTGGTTACACAGGTGTACACATTTGTCAAAACTCATACAACTGTACAATAAAATGCACTAATGTTTAATTTATGTAAAATACATTTCAATACATTTAAGGGTTTTCAAAAAAGTACATGTATTAGAATGGCCAAATATTAAAAACTGACAATACCAATTCTTGGTGAGGCTGTAAAACAACAATAACTCTCATCCATTGCTGGTGGGGAATACAAAATGATACAACCACTTTAGAAAGTTTGGCAGTTGCTTACAAAGCTGAACATAGTTTTACTATACAGTTCAGTAGTCATGCTCCTATGTATTTACTCAACTGATTTGAAAACTTGCATCCACACAAAAACCTGCATTTCAATGTCTATAGCAGCTTTACTCATAATCACCCAAAACTGGAAACAAGCAAGATGTCCTTCAATAGGAGAATGGATAAACATACTGTAATATATCCATACAGGTGGAATATTATTTAGTAATAAAATGAATGAGCCAAGAAACCATGCAAAGATATGCATGAATATTAAATAAATATTTCTAACTGAAAGAAGCCAGCCTGAAGGCTATACTGTATGATTCTATTTATGTGACATTCTGAAAAAGGCAAAATTGTAGAGATAACAAATAAATCATGATTGTCAGGGGCTTGTGATGAGATCGGGGCAGTTGAATAGGTGAATACAGGGGAATTTTCAGGGCAGCAAAACTGTTCTGAATGATATTGCAATGGTGGATATATGATGCTATTTTTTCAAAATCCACAGAACTTTATATTACAAAGAGTGAGTCTTAATGTACACAAATTTAAAAAATCATTTGAGGTCAGTGGATCCCAAGATGAAATACAGAATGTGAAATGAAGAATTGAACTGTGATATCGTTTGGCTCTGTTGACCTAAAAGTTATGATACCTCAGTAGTAAGAAGCACCCAAATCTCATCTCAAATTATAATCCCCATAATCCACACATATTGAGAGAGAAACCAGGTGGGAGGTGATTGTATCATGGGAGTAGTTTCCCCTATGCTGTTCTCATGATAGTAAGTGGGTTCTTATGAGATCTTATGGATTTATAAGGGGATCTTCCCCCTTGGCTCCTTATTCTTCTCTCTCCTGCTGCCATGTGAAGAAGGCCCTTGCTTCCCCTTCACCTTCTGCCATATAGTAAGTTTCCTGAGGCCTCCCCTGCCATGCAGGATTGTGAGTAAATTAAACCTCTTTTCTTTAAAAATTACCCAGTCTTGGATATTTCTTTATATCAGTGTGAGAATGGACTAATACAAACCGTATTACAAATGTGTGATGAAAGGAGATGGGAGAAAAGTTACCAACCTAAGTAACTTTGGAAATGAGTGTTTTTTGCTTTAGATTGTAGGACTAAAGACAGTAAGAACTGCACATAAGCCTTGTACTCTAGTTGATACATTTGTTTTCCACAGGGATATGGGTTAGCAAATTTGATACTACCATACATGTTTACTGGAATTCAACAATCAGGTAAATGGAGGCATATGGTGGGAGCCAGATTTCTCACAATTGGAGTGGGTAGGTACACATATGTAAAAGGACAAGGCTAGAATGACCTATGTGGTAATGAAGACTTGAAGACATCAGTAGGAGCTTATCTTCAGCTTAAATTATATAAATGTGGTTATATAGAGAAATATGGAAAGATATGTGCATGTAAATACTCAAGTTAGTGTATGTACATATATTTTGTTGTTCTGTCGGCCTAAAAGCTATGATACCTCAGTAGTAACAAGTACACTTAGTGCCCAGATCTTGGTCTCTAATACCATTTTTCAATTAAAAGAACCAGTGCTCCCTGAAAAAATGTCTGATTCTAGGAATGAGTCAAGATATATTCAAGATGATCCTTGGGCATCCCATAGTACAACAACATAAGAAAGTGCTAAGAAAAAAACCCACTACATTATAGGGGTATGTCAAAGGGATAGACATGTCAACTGAAAGAGCTTCTGATAGGCAGAGATAGAACAAGTTAAAGAACAAAATAAATAACTTATTATTGGATTATAACCTTGTAAGATACAATTAATTTTAGCCTACTAACTTCCTTGTCTTTTGTTCTCAAACTCAACTTTCCTGTTCCTCCTGCCCCTAGTTACTGTAAAACAGCCTATCCTTTCCCATCAGGTCCAATGAATAACTCACATCTGTTCCCTTGGTTACCTTCCCCCACCCACTGTTCTCCCGAAACTGCATATCTCACATGCTCCACCTCTGTACCACACATCCCTCTCCCCTTCTATATTTAGAAAAATATGTACAAGTAGCCAATCGGGTCAGCTCAGATTGTGCAGTCTGACCCCAGCCCATGGGGGAGGGACACAGAAGTAAGGATTGTGTTAAGGATATAAAAAACTCCTAGTCTCCTTTGTTCCGTGTGCTCTTATGATCTTGACTGACGCAGGTAGCATGCTTCTGCAGAAGTAAATTGCCTTGCTGAGAGAATTAAACTTTTGCCTGAGTGCTGGTTTCACTTTGTGGCACCAAGCATTTATTCATAGAGGATTTTTATAGCCAACAACCTGAAGTATAACATACATGTGCATGAGTCCATACTTATGAAATCAAATAAATGTAATAATAAATAAGAGAAAAGACACAAATCTTTCATGTAGAAGAACTAGAACTGATTCATACAGGTACTTTCCTCTCGATGAAGTGCAGCATAACTCCCCACTCCTTAAAAGTGACTTCCTTCCAAAGAGTACAGTGTGGAAAAGGAGGAAATAGAGCAACTTTATGGTAGACAAATCTGATAAACACTATTGCAACCATGTCAGCATCAAAAATTATGAGTCGTGTTGATAGTATGAACTTTTGATGTGACATGATGAGAATGCCACTTCATCTCTGTAGTCTTCCTCCCCAAACCCATAATCTCAGTCTAATAATGAGAAAAATATCAGGCAAACTACAATTGAGGGTCATTAAGCAGAATACCTGACAATTATTTTTCAAAACTGTCAAGGTCATGAAAAATAATGAAACTGTTAGAAACTGACACAGCCAAGAGGAGCCTAAGGAGACATGTTGACTAAATGTAATGTGTTATCTGTTCTGAATAGGATCCTGAGACCCAAAAAATGGCATTAGGTAAAAAGTAAGGAAATCTGAATGAAGTATAAACCTGAGTAATAATAACGTATCATATTGATTTATTAATTGTGACAAATGCACCAAACTAATGTGAGATGTTAATAATAGAGGAAACTGGATATGAAATATATAAGAACTTTGTGGTATCTTTGCAATTTTTCTGTAGTACTAAAAGTATTATAAAATAAAGTTTATTTTTTAAAAATCTGATAACTGCCCCCATCACCTGAGATTCTGATTTAATTGATCAGTTTTGTGGCCTTAGCATTGGGATTTTTAAAGACTCCCTAGGTTATACTAGGATAGGCTTGCAGCCAGGTTTGAGAAATAGTGGATGAGTGCCTGAGGCTGAGGACACTGAGCAAGTGCCAGGAACCACTTGCATATTGACAATGCTTATTGGCCGTAATTTAATCTCATAAAATCATATTCCCTCAACAGATACCATCTCCCTGCTTCTTAGGATAAGTGAATGGCACCATACAAAATACACTGATGTCTTTAATATTGTTTTAGATTAAAGAGCACTATTCAAAAGAGCTTTTGTGATGAAAATGTTCTACATATACACTCTCCAATATGGTAACCACTAGCTACATGTGGCTATTGAGCGCTTGAAATGTGGCTAGTGTGACTGAAAAAGTGAAGTTTTAATTTTATTTAATGTTAATTAATGCAAATTTAAATATCAACATATGACTAGTGGCTACCATATTGGACAGCATTGCTCTATAAAAATGCAATCAGGTTCCTAAGAGACTTCTTAATGTTCTTTTTTGGGATATGGACTAATTTTTCTCATTCCGACTTTTTTCTTCCTACAAATTGGAGTCTCCTACTTTCTAGGAGACATTTTTACTTTAAAACAGCAGTACAAATGCTATGCCACTCCCCCAGATTTGCAATAGAAGGGTCTGGCATCATCCCTGGGTCATCCCCACCTGCAGTGCCTGCTGCTGGCTGCAGAAAGCAACCATTGTGCCCTCGGAGAAGAACGTTTCTTGTGAGCCCCTGCCCTGCCTCCCTTTCTTGAGTATTTTGGTTCCTTCTAATGCTAATTTTTCAACTGCTCTCTCTAGAGTTAATTCCAAACTCCTAAAGTTAAAAGGAAAACAGGTTCTCCTGGTGGAGAGATGCAGCTGTTCTATTATTTGTCTTCATTCAAAAAATAGCTATCCCCCAGCCCATTACCATATCCATGCATTTCTACTATGCTGCACAGCTAATGACTACATTAAGCATTTGGAAGGTCTGCATTATTGTATTACTGATAGCTCAGTGGCTGAATACAATTATACTATGGATTGCTTAGGCTGTTGGGGTGATGGGAAGAAATAAACTTTCTGGAGGGGCAGTGTAGATTCAGTGTTACCACGGTGGTGGGGTGCCACCGGAACTGCCAGATCTACATCCCTATTATTGAAAGCGAAAACCAAAGATGAGATTTTAGAAATACTGCTTCCATGTTGGGGCTACACGCATTATCACTTACACACTATAGAGGAAGTTCAGCTGTCTTTGTTTTTTAGTAGATATGGGGTTGTGTGGTTTTAATGATGCAAAGAAATGGAGGAATTATGGATTTTCCTAAAATGTAACAGCTTCAGCAGTCGAAGGCTGTCCCAAGGTCATTTCACTGATCAGGAAAAAATCTAGGTTATCATGAACAATTAGCAGACGACAAGAAATTGAGATTAGCATTAAAATTAGAAATTCTAAATTGGGAACTGATGGCCAGCAAGGCCTCACTTCCCCAGTTTTGCCGTATCCCTAGAAC
Organism: Homo sapiens; assembly: GCF_000001405.40. NCBI lineage: Eukaryota > Metazoa > Chordata > Mammalia > Primates > Hominidae > Homo > Homo sapiens. The sequence continues at coordinate 149,398,968 of NC_000023.11, forward strand.
CAAGTTCAGGGTCCACAGCTTTAGGATTTTGTGTGTTTGCTTATTTTAACAGCTTCATTGAGATATAATTTACATACTATGAAATTTATTAATTTTAAATGTACAATTCAATTGTTTTTATTAAATTCACAGTTGTGCAACCATCACCACCCTCCAGTTTTAGAAGATTTCTTTCACCACAGAGAGATCCCTGGTGTGCCCATTTATAGTCACTACCTATTTCCCCCAACCTCTCCCAAGACTTAAGCAACCACTAATCTACTTTCTGTCTCTACAGATTTCTCTCTTTTGGATAGTTTATACAAATGGAATCACTCAAATGCAGTATGTATAATAGTATTTTGTGACTGGTTTCTTTCACTCAGCATAATGTTTTCAGGGTTCATCCATGTTGTAGCATTTATTGGTATTTCATGTCTTTTTATGGATGAGTAATATCCCATTGTATGGATACAACACATTTTGTTTATCTATTAATCAGTTGTTGGATATTTATAGCTTGTTTACATTTTTTATATGTTATACATAATACTGCTATGAACACTTGTGCTGGGATATTGACAGAGATATGTTGAATCTACAGATCAATTTGGGGAAAATTGTCCCCTTACCAATCCATGAACATGGAGTATTTCTCTATTTAATGTTCTTTATTTCCTGTGAACTGTGTTTTGTATTTGCCAGTCCACAAGTCTTGTACTTCTTTTGTTAAATTTATTTCTAAGTTTTTTATTTTCTGGATGCTATTATCAAGTAGATTATTTTCTTAGTTATTTTTACATTGCTGATTGCTAGTGTTTAGAAATACAACTGATATTTTTATACTGATCTCTCATCCTTTAATATTGCTAAACTCATTAATTAGTTCTAATAATTTTATTGTATGTGAATTCAGAGGATTTTTGTAAAAAGAATTATGTCATCTGTGAATGAACATATTTTTATTTTTTCTTTTCCAAGCTTGAAGCCTTTTATTTCTTTTCCTTGCCTAATTGGACTGGCTAGAACCTCCAGTATGTTGTTGAATAGAAGTGGGGAGAACAGACATCCTCACCTTGTTTCCAGTCTTTTCCTGACATGCAGACAAAGCATTCAGTCTTCACCTTAAGTATAATGTTAGCTGTACGTTTTTCATAGAAGTTCTCTCCTATTCCTAGCTTCTTGAGAATTTCAATCATGAATGGTTTTTGGGTTTTATCAACTTTTTAATCCTTCCATTAAGATGATCATGTGATAAAATGGGGAAAGGACACCTGATTCAACAAATAGTGCTGGGATAATTGGCAGGCCACATGTAGAAGAATAAAACTGGATTCTCATATCTCACCTTATACAAAAATAAACTCAAGAGGGATCAAGGGCTTAAATCTGAGACCTGAAACCATAAACATTCTAGAAGACAACATCATAAAAACCTTTCTAGACATTGGCTTAGGCGCAGACTTCATGACCAAGAACCCAAAAGCAAATGCAACAAAAACAAAGATAAATAGATGGGACTTAATTAAACTCAAAAGCTTCTGCATAGCCAAAAAAAAAAAAAAAAACAGCAGAGTAAACAGACAACTCACCAACTCACACAGTGGGAGAAAATCTTCACAATCTGTACATCCAGCAAAGGAATAATATCCAGAATCTACAAGGAACTCAAACAAATTAGCAAGAAATAAACAAATAATTCCATTCAAAAAGTGGGCTAAGGACATGAATACACAATTCTCAAAAGAAGATACACAAATGGTCAACAAACATATGAAAAAATGTTCAACATCGCTAATGATCAGGGAAATGCAAATCAAAACCACAATGTGATATCACCTTACTCCTGTAAGAATGGCCATAATCAAAAAATAAAAAAAAAAAATAGATGTTGGCATGGATGTAGTGGAAAGGGAACACTTTTACACTGCTTGTGGGAATCTAAACTAGTACAACCACCAGGAAAAACAGTGTGGAGATTCCTTAAAGAACTAAAAGTAGAACAACCATTTGATCCAGCAATGCCACTACTGGGTATCTACCCAGAGGAAAAGAAGTTATTATACGAAAAAAGATACTTGCACATGCATGTTTATAGCAGTAAAATTTGCAATTGCAAAAAAATGAACCAAGCCCAAATGCCCATCAATCAATGAGTGAGTGGATAAATAAATTGTGATATATACATTATATATATATACTATACACCATGGAATACTACTCAGCCATAAAAAGGAATGAAATAATGGCATTTACAGCGACCTGGATGGAATTGGAGATCATTATTCTGAGGGAAGTAACTCAGGAATAGAAAACCAAACACTGTATTTCTCACTTATAAGTGGGAGCTAAGCTATGAGGATGCAAAGGCATAAGAATGATACAATGGACTTTGGGGACTTGGGGGAAAGAGTGGGAATGGAGTGAAGGATAAAAGACTACAAATCGGGTACAGTGTAAACTGCTCAGGTGATGGGTGCACCAAAATCTCAGAAATCACCACTAAAGAACTTATTCATGTAACCAAACACCACCTGTTCCCTCAAAAACCTGTGGATATAAAAAATAAAAAAAAGATGATAATGTGAGTTTTGTCCTTCATTCTATTGATACGGTGTATTACTTCAATTGATTCTCATATGTTTAACCAACCTTGCATTTCTGGAATAAATCCCACTCATTCATTGTGTTATAATTCTTTCTATATGTTACTGGATTAATTTTGTAATATGTTGAGAATTTTGCATTTATGTTTATAAGGGCTGTTGGTCTGTAGTTTTTTTTCCTTAATATTTCATTGTGTGGCTTTGGTATAAGAATAAAACTGGACTTTTAGAATGTGTTGGGAAGTCTTCCCTCAGCTTCTATCTTTTTTTTTTTTTTGGAAGAATTTTTATTAACTCATCTTTAAATGTTAGGTTAAATTCACTAGTGAAGCCTTCTGGGCCTGGGCCTTTGTGTGGGATTTTTTAAAAATGCTAATTTGATCTCTTCACTTATTATAGGCTTATTCACATTTTTTATTTTCTATTCAGTCAGTTTTTATAGTATGTCTTTCTCGGAACTTTTCTATTTTATTTAACTTATCTAATTTATTAGCAAAATTATTCAAAACAATTAGTAACCTTGTTTTTGTTTTGTTTTGTTTTGTTGGTTTGTTTTGCTTTGTTTTGTTTTTGAGACAGAGTCTAGCTCCGTTGCCCAGGCTGCTGTGCAGTGGCGTGATCTTGGCTCACTGCAACCTCTGCCTCCCGGGTTCAAGCGATTCTCCTGCCTCAGCCTCCCGAGTAGCTGATTTTTATTTATTTATTTATTTTTGAGACAGAGTCGTACTCTGTCACCCAGGCTGGAGTGCGGTGGTAAAAGCACAGCTCACTACAGCCTCTACTTCATGGGCTCAAACAGTCACCACACTTCAGCCTCCCAAGTAGCTAGGACCACAGGTGTGTGCCTCCATGCCTGGCTAATTTTCAAAATTTTTCTGTAGAGATGGGGGTCTCCCTACATTGCCTAGGCTGCTCTTGAATTCCTGGGCTCAAGCAGTCCTCCCACGTCAGCCTCCCAAAATGCTGAGATTACAGGTGTGAGCCACTGCAGCCAGTCCTTATTTTCGTAAGATCAATATTGATGTTCCCTTTTTCGTTCCTGATTTTAGTCTTTCTTTTCTCTTTTTATTTGTCAGCCTGTCTAAAGATTTTTCAGTATTGTTGATCTTTTCAGAGAATCAACTATTAATTTTGTTGATTTTTTTCTGTTTGTCTATATTCTCATTACTTTCCACTCTAGTCTTTATTATTTCCTCTTGCTGGTTTTGGAATGTTTATGGATTTTTTTTTTTTAGTTTTTTTTTTTTAAGATGAAAGGTAGGTTATTGATTTGAGATCTTTCTTGGTTTTTAATATAGGCTTTTAAAGCTATAAATTTCCTTCTAAGCACTGCTTTATAGCTGCTTCTCACACATTTTTATATGTTATGCCTTCTTTTCACTCATCTTAATTTGTTTTCTAGTTCTTGTGATTTCTTCTTTGAATCGTGAGTTGTTTAGGAGTGTGTTGTTTAATATCTGCATATTTAGGGATTTCCAAATTGTTTTCTGTTAATGATTTCTGATTTAATTCCGCTGTTGTCAGATACTTTGTATGATTTAAATCATCTTAAAATTATTGGGGTTTGTTTTATAGACTAACATACGCCTCTCCTGGAGAACATACCATGTGTAGTTGAGAAAAATGTATATTCTCCTGATTTTAGATGGTGTGTTCTATAGATGTCTAAAAGATCTAGTTGGTTTATAGTGTTGTTCAAGTCTTAAATCACATTGTTAGTTTTCCATCTAGTTGTTCTTAGAGCTTCAGACTTAACTGATGACTATGAGTGACCTCTATTTGCTGTCATGTACACTTTCTCCAAAATTCATCACAACAAACCTCTATAGTGGGTAGTATTATGACTATTTTTACACATAAGAAAATTGAGGCTAAGAGTTTAAAATGGCTTCTCAAGGACAGTCATGATAAGTGGCAGAGCCAAGAATCAATCTGACATCTTCTGAACTGACATCCATTGTTCATTCTACTGTATCATGTTGCTCTTCATGCACACCTTCCCTGTTTATGAACTGAGTGGTCTCCAGTTCTGACTTTCTCCTGACACACTGGGAATCCCACTTGACTCTGGAAGACTGAAATATTCTGTGTAGACAGAGACAATCCTGAGGGCCTGGAGTAGCCATGAGGACCTCTTCTTGAAGGAAATGAAAGGTAAAACTGGTATAGAGAGTACCACCTTAAAAAAAAAAAATCCCAGCCTGTTTTCCTGAGGTTTTTCACAGTGACTATCATTTTTAAAGAAGAGGCCACTTACACTTTCACCAGACATGAGGCTTGGGAAGAATTTAGAAAACTGGTCTGATCTGACAAGACCCTCAGGCAGAGGAGCATATGGTGGCAGTGAAAGGTGAATCTGCTTAGGTCAGCTCCTAGAATTTGCAGGATGTGACAGTTGATTTTGTGTCAACTTGGCTAGGCTATGGTGCCAAGTTGTTGGGTAAAACATCAGTCTATATATTCCTCTGAATGGATCTTTTAGATTTAATATTTATATCAATAGACTTTGAGTAAAGCAGAGTACTCTTCATAATGTGGGTGAGCTTCATCCAGTAAGTTGAAGGCCTTTAGAAAAAAAGACTGAGGTCCTCTGTGGAAGAAAGAATTTGCCTTCAGATTGCCTTAAGATTCAAGCTCCAATATCAACTCTTCTTTACCAACCTACAAGCCTACCCTGCAGATTTCAAACATGCCAGTCCTCACAAGTGCATGAGCTAATTTCTTAAACTAAACCTCTTGGGAGAAACTTGACTAATCCACAGGGCTCCAGATAAGATTATAAATGCAGGCTCAGACACCATATCTAAATATTTAAAATTTGTACTAAATATTTAAAATTTGTAAATCAAGCTAACAAACTGTTCTATATTTCTACCTAAACAAATATATGTGTACAACAACCTGGAAAGCCACATTCAAATTTAAAATCCTTGGATTCCTTAGAGTTCTGTACCAAAATGTGGTGACATGAAGAGGACCAGACCCCAGCAACTGGCCCACCTGTCCCTCTTCTCTTCCTACTCTGGGTTCACCCTTCATTGTGAGGGGCCTTACACATGTTTATATGGGCCCCTATAGCCCATGCTTCTAAGTTTCATCCACACTCTCCCCAAATAACAAACAGCTGCCTCCTAGAAACCCCTTAAGCATACAGGTAATCATACAAATGTGTGTGTGTGTGTGTGTGTGTGTGTGTGTGTGTGTCCCCAGGAATACAGAACCAGGAATGGAGTCTGTGAACTCTCTGGAAATAGGAATGGGCTTGTGAACATTTAGGCAGGGAATTCCAGCTTCCCAGGTGCCCACTCAGATCTAGAAGGTGAACCAAGGATTCTGTATGGTTACATCTCCTCAGGTCCACTGTCTCCTTTTCAAAGTAAGGTTCTTTAAAGCACAGAGACCATATAGGGGTTATTTTTGCATGTGTCTAAATGTGGCGCTAAACCTTCAAATCCTCAGGGGAGAAAGATAAGGTAGAGCAAATGGCTAGTGGTTCCAGGGCCTTGCCCACAGGAGGCGTTGCTCTTCCAAGGGCTCCTATCCAATCCTGAAAATAGAAATGGGAAGTCTGGGCAGTTTGTGCCAACAGGATAACCAATTAAACCATTTCCAGTGAGGCAAGGAGGGGAAACAATCTCAGAGGGAATAACTCATTCGTAGGCTTTGCAAACCTAGACTGCTAGTACTATGATTTGAATATGTCCTCCAATTTTTATGTGTTTGAAAACTTAATACCCTAATTCACATGTTTATTGGAGGTGAGACATTTGGGAGTTACTTAGGATTACATAAAATCATCATGGTAGCTTTATAAGAAGAGCAAGAGAGACCTGGTATGACGTGCATGCTCTTGCCCTCTCACCATGTGATATCCTACACCATGTTTTGACACAGCAAGAAGGCCCTCACAAGATGCTAGTGCCATGCTCTTGGACTGTTCAGCCTGCAGAACTGTAACAAATAAATTTCTTTTCTTTATAAATTACCCATTCTTGGGTATTCTGATATAGTTACAGAAAATAAAATGAGACAACTAGTTACCTCCACTTTCCTGTCTTATTTTCTCCAGTCAGGTTGCAACCTGCATCCCAAAAATTTCATCCATAGACCTATGGTTTAATAGGTCTACAGGTCTCCAAGATCCTGTGGCTGGGACAAAAAGAAACCTATTCTGAGTCAAGGACTTCCTGGCTCAAGGATCTCCTCACTGGTTTATCCAAAGGTAATTCCCATTTAAATGGTTAGTGAACACCAAGACAACTGCTTAGTAGCTGTTCCCCTACTGGTATAGATTACCTAAAGTCTCTCCCAGAATAGAGTTCCAGCACATTTCCACCTTTCCAATGAGCTGCCAGGTTTGACTGGAGCCAGTAACTGTTTATTCATGCGTGACCAGGCTGCTGATAGAGAAGTAGTGCAATGCAGAAAGGCATTCAGCACTGGACCACCCATGAATGAGTGTGCTTATGTGTTGTAATTCCCTTGGTGCAGGTGGGCATCTGATACTCATTCATTCAGCACCAAGGGCTAGGCCAGGGCTCAGGACCAACTCAGCAGCAGCAATCTGTCATCTGTCACACACCTTCTTGTGTTGCCTTTCTCAGGTTGGCTGCAGCCTCTGAGCCATGACCCCGTAACCATTTCAAAGATAGCCATGGACACTAGAACTCTGTTTCAGAAGCTTTAAGACGTCTCTAGGAGAGGGGTGGCAACCAAGTTATTTTATGCATGCTAACACCAGGTAGCACAGTATAAACAGGCACAAATTAGAAATATTTTGAAGAAAGAGAAGGGATTGAGTTAACCTATGAACAGTGATGTGGACAGTTGCTTTCATGAAAAAAGAAACATACAGCAAATGAGGCCCCAGCTAACTACCTATTGTATGTGTCTACATTACAAAGAGAGAGACAGAAAGGATTGAATTTGAGAGTGTGAAAATAAATAGGGAAGAAATGTGTTGGGCCACAGCCTCCCAGAGAGTGGCTCCCTAGGTCCCATTCACAGCACTGATTTAACTTCCTTCAGGATTTTTTTCAATGCCTATTTTCCTTTCCACTGCTCTGTTTAAAAAGAAATGTAATAACATTTCTTTTTAATAACAGAAAGGAGGTTATTTTTGATAAGTTTGGGGCTTTTAAACCACTAGTTCATTTAACAAACACTTCCTGAGTTATACTGTGTGCTAATCCATATGCCAGAGGTTGAGACTATCTTGCTGAATAGAATAATCATGGCTCCTGCTCTCATAGGGTTTACCTTCTATTGGATGAGAGTGAGAAAAACAAAAATAAACACATAAGTATAATAAAAATGTTATCAAATAATAATAATGCCTATGAAGACAAAGTGGTAAAATGGCCAGCAACTGTGATGAGGTAGTCAGAGAAGGCTTCTCTCAAAAGATAACCTGTGATCTGAGAATTGAATGATGAGAAGAAGAAATCTGTGTAAATACCTGGGGGAAAAGCATTGCAGGTAGAGGGAACAGCAGATAAAAATGCCCTGAGGCATAAATGACCTTAAAGTGTCCAAGGAGATGCAAAAAGAAGAAGGAGAAGAAAGAGAAGAGGATGAAATTGGAGAGGCAGGTGAAAATGGGCCATCTAGGACCTAGTAGTCTATGGTAACATATTAGGATTTTATTGTAAGTAAAATTATAATTTACTGGAGGAGTTTATACATTCGCCCCACCTTCTTTAAATAATAGCACCTCAGTTTTTTATTGTAAATATCTTCTTTCCTCCATTGAAAACAGTCCAGTGGGACTAACAGTCTCAATGCTCTGCTAGATCCTAGCCAAAGCAGAAGCCTAAATCAATATGTATTTTGTCTAGACATGTTTTTCTTTTGATTTTATGACAGCTTTATTGAGATATAACTCACATATCATCCAATTTATTTATTTAAAATGGACAACTTCATGGTTTGTAATATGTTCACAGATATGTGCAATCCTCACTCCAGTTAAGAACATTTTAATTACCTCAAAAAAAAACCCTGAACTCTTTAGTTATCATCCTTCTACTCTCTTTCCTCTCCCTCTCCCATTCTAATCAACAACTAATCTACTTTCTGCCTCTGTAGTCTTGATTTGATGGACATCAAATATAAATGGAATCATATGCGATCTTTTTTGACTGGCTTCTTGCACTTACCATAATGCTTTCAAGGATCATCAACACTGTAGCTTGTATCAGTACATTGTTGCTTTTATGGCTGAATAATATTCCATTGTATGTATACCACATTTTGTTTATCCATTCTTCAGTTGATGAACATTTGGAATGTTTCTATCTTTTAACTGTTACAAATAATGCTTTGTGGACATTTGTGTAGAAGTCTTTGTGTGGCCATGTTTTAAATTATCTTGAGTGAAAACCAGATTTGCTATCATATGGCCACTTTGTGTTGAACATTTTGAGGAACTACCAAACTGGTTTTCACAGTGGCTGTGTCAATTTAAATTCTCAACAAAAATGCATGAGGACTCCAATTGCTCTATATCCTCACCAACACTTGTGCAGATGGACTGAATGTTTATGTCTCCCCAGAATTTTTATGTTGAAGCCTAATCATCAATGTGATAGTATTAAAAGTTGGGGCCTTTGGCAGGTGTTTAGCTGATAAGGGCTCTGCCTTTATGAATGAGATTAGTGCCTTTACAATAATAACTCTGGGGAACTAGCTAGCCCCCTTCCACTATGTGAGGATACAGTGGGAAGTCATGAACTATGAACCAGAGAGTGAGCCCTCAACAGACACAAAATCTGACAGAGCCTTATTCTTGGACTTCCTAGCCTCCAAAACTGTGAGCAATAAATTTTTCTTGTTTATAAGTTACCCAATCAAAAGTATTTTGTCATAGCAGACCAAACAGACTAACACAACTTATTTTCCTCTATTTTCAAAAATTACAACCATCCCAGGAGTTGCAAAGTTGTACCTAATTGTGGTTTTGATTTGTGTTTCCCTGATGGCTAATTATGTTGAGCATTCTTTCATGTACTTACTGGCCCCTGTGTATTCTTTTTGGAGACATGTCTATTGAAATCCTTTGCCCATTTTTAATTGCCTTGCCTTTTAATTGTTTTTCAATTGTTTACCTGTTAAATTCATCAAGTATTGTTTCCAATCATAACAGTATGAAACTACAAATCAATAACAAGAAATTTTGGAAAATTGACAAATATATATAAAGTAAACAGTATGCTCCTGAACAACCAATGAATCAAAGAAGAAATTAAAAAGGAAATTTAGAAATATATTGAGACAAATGATAATGAAAACAACATATCAATCCTATGATGTGCAGCAAAAGCAGTTCTAGGAGGAAAGTTCATATCAATAAATGCCTACATTATAAAAAGAAAGATTACAAATACAGAGCCTAACATTATGCCTCAAGGAGCTAGAAAGGGAAGGAAAAAACTAAACTCAAATTTAGCAGAAGGAAAGCAATAAAGATAAGAGTAAATATGAAAACAAATATATTGTGGGTGCTATATTATTATCAGATATACAATTTGCAAAAATTTTCTTCAAAGACTTTAATTATGATATGCCAAAGATTTTACTCATGATGAATTCCAATTTACTTTTTTTAGTTGCTTGTGCTTTTGGTGTCATATACAGGAAACTATTACATAGTTCAAGGTCACAAAGTTGTATACCTTTGTTTTCTTCTAAGAGTTATATAATGTTAGTGCTTATATTTAGGTTTTAATATATTTTGAGTTAATTTTTTTATATGGTGTGAGGGAGGAATTCAAATCCTTCTTTGCATGTGGATGTCCAGTTGTCTCAGCACCATTCACTGAAAAAAACTAGTTGATAGATCATAGATATAATTTTTACCATAGACTTCTCAATTCAGTTCCATTGATCTATATGTCTATCTTTAAGACAGTACCATATCTGTTGATTACTGGAGATTTATAGTAAGTCTTAAAATAAAGAAGGGTGTATCCTTCAACTTCCTTCTCTTCCAAAATGGTTTAAATTATTCTTGGTTCCTTGCATTTCCATGTGAATTTTAGGATCAGCTTATCCATGTCTAGGAGTATCTTTTTCATTCTTTTACTTTCAATGAATTAATGTTTTTGAACCTAAAGTGTCTCTTATAGACAGCTTATAGCTGGATAAAGTTTTGAACTAAATTCTGCAAATCTCTGCCTTTTAATTGCAATGTTTAATCTGTTTACATTTAATGTAATTATTGATAAGGCAAAATTTATGTCTGCTATTTTGCTATTTATTTTCTATATGTAATTTATTTTTGTTTCTCAATTCCTCCATTACTGCTTTGTATTGTGTTAAATATATATTTCATAGTGTACAATTTTTATTTGCTGTCATTTCTTTTACTGTGTATTTTTTAGTTATTTTCTTAGTGTTTTTCCTGAGGATTACCCTTAACATATCAATTTATAAAATTCTAGTGCAGATTAATTCCAACTTAATTTCAATAGTGTACAAAGACCTTACTCCTTTGTGGAACTTTTCCTTCTTATACTAATATAGTCAAAAATTATATCTTTATATTTGTGTGACTCTCAACTAGATTTATAATTATCACATCATGCAGTAGTCTTAAGTCAAATAGAATAGAAATGGTATTATACTGAAAAATGCACTTATACTGGTTTAGATCACCTACATAGTTATCTTTAACAGTTTTTTAAATTTCTTTATATGGATCTAGGTTGCAATCTAGTTTTCTTTTATTTCTGTCTGAAGGTCTGCCAGTTACAAATTCTCTCAACTTTTTGTTTACCTGGGAGTATCTTACTTTCTTGTCTTTTAATGACAGTTTTTCTGTGTACAGAATTCTTGGTTGACAGTAGTTTTTATTTTTTCTCAGCATTTTGAAAATGTTATCACAGTTTTCTGCCTCCATGGTCTCTAATAAGAAATCAGCTGTTGATCTCATTAAAGCTCACTTGTAAGTGATGAGTCACTTCTCTCCTGCTGTTTTCAAGGTTCTTTCTTTGTCTTTGGATAATTTTATTATGCTGTGTACTGGTGAAGATCTATTTGTGTTTCTCATATTTGGAGTTCATTGAGCTTCTTGGATGGGCAGATTAATTTCATCAAATTTGGGATGTTTTTTCATTGTATCTTCAAATACTATATTAACATCTTTCTTTCACTCCTCTTCTGGGACTTCCATTATGCATATTTTGGCACACTTGCTATTATTGCACAAGTCACTGAAGCCTTGTTCATTTTTCTTCATCTTTTTTCTTTCTGTTCCTCAGACTAGAAAATCTCAATTGAACTAATTTCAGGTTACTTATTCTTCTGCCCACTCATATGTGCTGTTGAGCCTTCCTTATGAATTTTTCATTTCAATTATTTCAATTCAATTATTTCACACCCCAGAATTTTTATTTGGCTCTTTTTAACTTATATTTCTTTACTGATGGTCTCTATTTGTTGTGACATTGTTCTTATACTGCTCTTTAGTGATTTAGACATGGCGAAGTTTAGCTTTATGAATATATGTAAATAGGAGATCTAAAGCTTTTGCCTAGTAAGTCCAATTTTAGGGCTTCTTCAAGGATTATTTCCATTGATTGCTTTTATACTTGTATATGGGTCATACATTCTTATTTCTTTTATGTCACATAACTTTTTGTTGAAAACACAAGAGTTCAAGTAATAATATAGTTTAGATATTTGCTCTGCTCAAATCTCATGTTGAAATTTAATCCCCAGTGTTAGAGATTGAGTCTTGTGGGAGTTGTTTGGATCAAAGGGGCGAATCCTTAATTAATGGTTTGGGCTATCCCCTTGGTGATAAGTGAGCTCTCTCTCTGAGTTCACACAAAATCTAGTCACTTAAGAGCTTGTGGCACCTCCTCCTCAACTCTCTGTCTTTCACTCTTGCTTTCACCATGTATGATGCCTGCTCCCCCTTCATTGTCTACCAGGATTGTAAGCTTCTTGAGGCCCTCCTAGAAGCTGAGCTGATGCCAGCACCATGCTTTGTGTAAAGCTTGATGGGCTGTGACTCAATTAAGCCTCCTTCCTTTGTAAATTATCCAGTCTCAGTTATTTCTTTATAGCAATGTAAGAACAGCCTAACACATACAAAAAGTTGGTAATGAGGAGTAGGGCATTGCTACAAAGATACCTGAAAATGTGGACACTACTTTGGAACTGGATAAAAAAACAGAGGTTTGAAGAGTTTGGAGGGCTCAGAAGCAGACAGGAAGATGATGGAAAGTTTGAGACTTATTAAAGACTGATTAAATAGTTATGACTAAAATGCTGATAGAGATACAGACAGTGAAGGACAGGCTTATGATGTCTTAGGAGGAAATGAGAAATTTATTGGGAACTGGAGCAAAGGTCAAGCATGTTATGCTTTAGTAAAGAGCTTGGCTGGATTTTTCCCATGGCCTGTGGACTATGAAAGTTTAAACTTGAAAGCAATGACCTACAGGATCTAGTGGAAGAAATTTCTAAGTGGCAAAGTGTTCAAGATGTGGCCTGGGTGCTTCTAACAACCTATGCTCAAATGTGGGAGCAAAGAAAAGACTTAAAATTGGAACTTATATTTAACAGGGAAGCAGAGCATAAAAGTTTGAAAAATTTGCAGCCTAGTCATGTGCTAAAGAAAAAGCTTTTTCAGGAGAGGAATTGAAGCAGGCTGAGGAGCAACCACTTGATAGAGAAATTTGCATAACTAAAAAGGAGCCAAGTGTTAATAACTAAGACAATGGGGAAAAAGCCTCTAAGGCATTCAGAAATCTTTCAGGCAGCCCCTCTTATCACAGGCTCTGAAGCCTCGGAGGACTGAATAGTTTCATGGGCCAGACCCAGGTTCCTGCTACACTGCACAGCCTTGGACACTGCTACTTGCATCCAGGCTGCTCTAGCTCCAGCCATAGCTCAAAGGGACCCAGATACAGCTCAGGCTGCCACTTTGGAGAATGCAAGCCACAGGCCTTTGTGGTTTCCACATGGTGTTAATCCTGACGGTGCACAGAGGGCTAGAGTGAATGAAGCTTGGGAACCTCTGCCTAGATTTCAGGAAATGTATGAGTAATCCTGGGTGCCCATGCAGAAGTCTGCTGCAGGAGTGGAACCCCAGAGAGAACCTCTACTAGGGGAGTGTAAAGGGAAAATATGAGGTTGAAACATCCACACAGAGTCCTCAATGGGGCCCTGCCTTGTGAAGCTGTGGGAAGGGTGCCAACTGCTCTTTAGACCCAAGAATTGTAAGTCTTCTGGGAGCTTGTACCCTCAGCATGGAAAAGCTATAGTCAGTCAACTCCAGGCCTTGAAAGCTGCCTCAGGGACTGAACCCTACAAAGCCATGGGGCAGAGCTGCCCAAGTCCTTGGGAGCCCACTCTTTGCACTAGTGTGCCCTATATGTGGAACATGGAGTCAAAGACAATTATTTTGGAACATTAAGATTTAATGACTGCCCTGCTGAGTTTTGAACTTGCATAGGGCCTGCAGCTTTTCTTTTGGCTTATTTCTTCATTTTGGAACAGGAATGCTTACCCGATGCTTGTACTGCCATTGTATCTTGGAAGTAAAGAGCTTGTTTTTGATTTTACAAGCTCATAGGTGGAAGGGACTTGCCTTCTCTCAGATGACATTTTGGACTTTGGATTTTTGAGTTAATGCTGGAATTAGTTAAGACATTGGGGGGACTATTTCTCAATAGCTAAGTATACTTTAAAATGTGAGAATGACATGAGATTTAGGACGAGCTGGGGTGAAATGATATAGTCTAGATATTCTACCCACCCAAATCTCAAGTTGAAATATAATCCCCAATGTTGGAGGTGGTGCCTGGTGGGAGGTGTTTGGATCACGGAAGCAGATCCCTCATGAATGGCTTGGGCTATCCCTTTGCTGATAAATGAGCTCTCATTCTGAGTTCACACAAGATCTGGTCTGTGGCCTCACATGTGACATTAAAAGTGTGTGGAGGCCTGCACGGTGGCTCATGCCTGTAATCCCAGCACTTTGGGAGGCCGAGGCAAGAGGATCACCTGAGGTCAGGAGTTCGAGACCAGCCTGGCCAATGTGGTGAAACCCCATCTCTACTAAAAATGCAAAAATTAGCTGGGCATGGTGGTGGGTGCCTGTAATCCTAGCTACCTACTCAGGAGGCTGAGGTAGGAGAATTGCTTAAACCCAGGAGATGGAGGTTGCAGTGAGCCAAGATCGCACCACTGCATTCCACCCTGGGTGACAGAGCGAGATTCCGTCTCAAAAAAAAACAAAAAAAGTGTGTGGCATCTGTTCCTCCCCCTACTCTCTCTCTCTCGCTCCTGCTTTCACCATATGTCTTCCTTGCCCCCCACTTCACCTTCCGCCATGATTGTAAGATTCCTGAGGCCTTCCTAGAAGCCAAGCAGATGCCAGCACCATGCTTTCTGTGAAGCTTGCAGAACTGTGAGCCAACTAAAGCCCCTCTTCTTTATAAATTACCCAGTCTCAGTTATTTTTATAGCATTTCAAGAATGGCCTAACACAAATGATATAATGTGGCAATTCTCGAAATCAAATTATCCCTATTTCCTTGGCGGTTTTTGGTGTTGCTTAATGTTTGTTTGCTTGTTTAGTGACTTTTCTGAACTATTTCTATAGTCAGTAGTTTTTCTTGTATGTAGCCACCACAAAAGTATCTATTCTTTTAGTTTAACAGTTGGCTAGTGATTGGACAGATATTTTCTTAACCATAGTAAGATACTGCTGCATCCCAAATTTTCTTAGCAAAAAATATGGCATATTCCATATTGGGGCTGTGGCATTTAAACACCATTATTTCAGTGTTTGGAAGTTTTGTCAAATTTTATTAGGGTTAGTTTTGGGTCCTTTCTTAGATCATTTAATTGCTTGTTACATAGTCTGAAGGAAAGCAAACACCACTATGAAATATGTGGCCTGGAGATGGTTTCTTTGTCCACCTTTTATAGGAAGTGATACTGTCACCCAACACACATTACACTTCTCCCCATTTGTGTTCTGGCAACCTAAACCCTAATGTTATCCCCATGCACATATGCACAAATAGAAACACCAAGCCCATTTCTCTTCTTGCCTATGGGTTATAATGTTAAGAATGGAAATTTTTCTTCAGTGCTCAATCCTCACCTAGTCCTTATCCCCAATGTTTGGCTCATGGTAGGCCTGCAAATATGTCTACCTGTCAGTATATAAACCTACTGGCAGGTCAACCCCCTCCAATTCTCCTGGACCTCACTTTGCTTCTGTCTCACAAACTTGCCTCTTCCCTTCCTTCTCTCTTTTCCCACAATCAGATAACTTACAGAAATACATACACATGTTCTGAAATAAAGGGTTTTTCATAACATGTTGATTTTGTTTTAATTACCACCATCGCTGTTTCATTATGCTGTTGTATCTTGTAGGAGTGTCATTTTTTTTTACAGCATCTTGGGCCTGGCCTGAGTGCTTTGGCTCCTACTCAATCTTTGCTAGTGGCCGATTCTTGGCTCTTTTCACTCTTTTTACCTTTTGTGGAATTTCTGTACTAGTACTAGACGATTTTTTTCTTGAACTCCCATGAAGCAGTCGTTTTATCACCCTCTGTATCTTCTTCACCTGAAAGGGCAATAGAGTGATCACAAAAGGACCTTGTGTTCGAGGAAGGAGATAGGCACTGAATGAGAAGAGGAGCTTTGTAAAAAGGGACATGGGCTAATGAGGGGGTTTGTGCCAGGCAGGTAAAGCGTAGGAGACATAGGGGAGGGTGGATCAAGAGAAAAGAGCTTGAGTGAGGTGGTCTCACCTTGCCCCCTTTTCTGGCCCTGGGTTGACAGGATTTCTTCATCTTGTTCTTCCCTTTTGTGCTTGAGATTAATTGTTCTGTGCTTGGGTTTGATTGCTCCATAACTTTGCTAGATCCCTTCAACTTTCTGGTAACTTTAGCCATGTTGAAACCCCACAGTAGTCTTCTCTACCAGCATATAAAATGCCCATCATCAGGACAATGAGGAGCCACACCCTTTAGCTTTATTTGTTCATCTAGGCACTTCCCCTGGCCAGTAGGGGTTAAAGGAGCTGTAGACATCACAAAGCACTCTTGGCTTCTGCCTAATGGTGGGGATGCTGGGGAGATCCATGTGCTCTGGTTGGAGACAGGGGCATATCCTTAACATCCCACTAAAAAGCCTTCCCAAAATGACCTGTAATCCCTTCTCATCACTTGTACAGATGGCAAGAAAAAAGTGATGCCTCCAAGTCTTTCTCCATAGCCACTCCCATTCCATTTTTATTTTGTTCTCTCCCATCCTTCATCATGACCTAATATTTTGGATATCTTACCTAAAATCTCTCCAAGAAAATGTGATTATATTTAAGTTTCTGTGTAGATATAAATCACCTCATTCCCCTTCAAAAGATTTATCTTATGCACCTTGAAGACAATTTCATTCTTGGCTACTACACAAAACTTCCCATCTCACCTTCTTTTTCCAATGTCTGTATAGACCTCTTAAGTTTTCTAGTTTCAGATTGACATAGCAGCTCTTATCAGTCATGAAAATATTGTGATACTGGCATAAGGACAGACATATAGACTAAGAGAATAGAAGTAAGAGGCCAGAAATAATCCCACATATCTATGAAAAATTGATTTCTAACAAGGGTTCAAAGACAAGTCAGTGGAGAAAGAATAGTTATTTCAACAAATGATATTGTGGCAACTGGATATTCACATGCAAAATAGTGAATTTGGACCCTAAATCACATCATACACACAAATTAATTTAAACTGGATCAAAGAGCTTAATATAAGACCTAAAACTATAAAATTATTTGAAGAAAACATAGGCAAAATTCTTCATGACCCTTCATTCAGCAATAGTGTCTTATAGTATAACACCAAAGGCACAAGTAACAAAAGAAAAATTTGATAAGTTGACATCATCAAAATCAAAACCTTGTGATTCAACAGTTAAAATTAAGAAAGTGATAGACAATGCACAGAATGGGAAAAAAATTTTGCAGATCATACATCAGTAAGTGAAATTCATGTAAAATATATAATATAAAGAACTCTTACAACTCAATAATAATAATGTTACCCAACTTAAAAAGTGGACAAGGGGTAGGAAAAACATATCTCAAATGGCCAATAAGCAGATAATGATATAGTCAGCATCAGTAGCCATCATGAAAATGCAAATCAAAACCACAATGAGATACTGCTTTACATGCACTAGGATGGTAATAATAAAAAACGGCAGATAATAAGATTTGGTAAAGTTGTGAAAAACATTAGCCCTCATATCTTGTTTGTGGGAACATAAAGTGGTACAGAAGTTTTAAAATATAGTCAGCCAGGTACCCAAAAAAAGCTAAACATAGAATTATCATATGATCCTGAATTCCCACTCCTAGGTATGTACCAAGAAAAATGAAAATTATATTCTCACAAAAACTTGTACAGGAATGGTCACAGCAGCATTATTCCTAATGGCCAAAAGGTGGAAACAACCCAAATGCCCATCAACTTGAAAAATGGATAAATAAAATGTGGTATAGGAATATAACAGAATATTGTTCGGTCATAGAAAAAATGAAATACAGATATATGCTGCAACATGCATAAATGTGAAAATATTATGCTAAGTGAAAGAAGCCAGTCACAAAGGATTACATATTGTATGTTTCCATGGGTGCAGCACATCAACATGGCACATGCATACATATGTAACATACCTGCATGTGGTGCACATGTACCCTAGAATTTAAAGTATAATTAAAAAGTATATCTATAAAAGAAATATTCACAATAGGCAAATTTATAGACAGAAAAGAGATTAGTAGTGCCTTAAGGTGACCAAGTAATGAGGAAATTTAGAGGTGACAACAAAGGGATGAAGTGGTGTTGTTTGGAATTATGAAAATATTCTAAAATTGATTGAAGAGATGGCTGCCTAACTCTGTGCATATATTAAAAGCCATTGAATTGTCCACTTTAAATGATTGAATTGTATAATATGTAAATTATATTTTAACAAAGCTGTTAAAATTAATATGAATTTTCCTCATGAAAGGAATTCAATAGGCTTCAGGCTGGATGTGGTGGCTCACGCCTGTAATCCCAGCACTTTGGGAGATCGAGGTGGGCAGATCACTTGAGGTCAGGAGTTCAAGACCTTCCTGGCCAACATGATGAAACCCCATCTCTACTAAAAATACAAAAATTAGCCAGATGTGGTGGCACATTTCTGTAGTCCCAGCTACTCGGGAGGCTGAGGCAGGAGAATCTCTTGAACCCTGGAGGTGGAGGTTGCAGTGAGCTGAGATTGCACCACTGCGCTCCAGTATGGGCAACAGAGCAAGATGCCATATCAAAAAATAAACAAACAAACAAACAGAAAGTAATTCAATAGGGTTTGAATCTCGGCTCTTCCACTTACAAGCTGTGTGACCTTAGGCAAATTAGTTTCCTTATCTGTAAAAGGGAGTTAATAACACCTACCTTATAAAGTTATTGTAAGGGTTAAATTAAATATTTTCAAACATGAAAATATGAAGACCCTAAAAATAAATCTGTGGACTCTTGAGAACATGTCTTTTGGACTCAAGTTTGAAAAACACTGCCACTTTAGTTCATAACGATCACAAATACCAGTGGTAAAGCAGATGCTGAAGTCATGTGTCACAATTCATTTATGAAGTGGTGCCCCAAATAATCCAGAACCCATGTATGCATTAAAATGTAAATAGAACATTTTATACTTACCACAGAGAACTCACTGACCCTAACATTCCCCTTAAGAATATATGCACAACAATTGAAATTTTTATATACTGCTGGAGGAGGGAGTGTAATGTGTTATAATTACTTTGGACAACTGGTTGAGCCAGTATCTACTAAAGTTAAAAATATCCATGCATTGTTATCAAATAATTCCACTCCTAGGGGGAAGACATATATATATATCATATATATTATATATATTATATTATATATATATAATATAATATATTATATATATTATATTATTATATATTAAATATATTATTATATATAACATGTTATATATGTTATATAATAACATATATATTATTATAATAATATATTATATATTATATATGTCTTATATATTATATATTTTATTATATATTATATATGTCTTATATATATATCAGAATAATAGATACATATTAACCTGAAAATGTATGAAGACAAAAGCACAAAAGTGCATAAATCATAAGTCAACACTCGTATGTAACCATGACCCTGGTTGACACTGCCAGCATCCCAGAAACCACCCTCACACCCTCAGATGTCTCCAAATCACTACTTCTCCTTCCTCCCCCAAAAAAACCAATCTTAACTTCTACAACATAGAATAGTTGTGCTTTCTTTTAAACTTTATATATATGGAATTGTACAGCATATATATTTTTTATGCTTGGCTTCCTTTGTGCAATACAATGTCTATGAGGTTGATTGATACTGTGTGTATACTGGAGTTCAGTTTTGTCATTGCTGAATAGAATTAATTTTCATGTGACTGTATATGCATTTATTTATTCTACTATTGATGAACATTGAGTTTGTTTTCAAACGTCATGCAAAAACAAAATTGAAAAAAAGACATGTGCTGATAAAAGACCATAAAAATACTTCATTGCCAACAAATCAGCACTACAAAAACTACTTTTGAAAAAGTTCTCATCATTAATCATTAGAAAAATGCTTAAATCAAAACCACAATAAGATATCACCTCAATTAAGTGGATTAAATTATCTAATCAAAAGATAGAGTGGTTAAATGGACCCCCCAAAAAAATAAGAGCCAATTATATGCTCCCTGCAAGAGACCCACTCTACCTTAAGGACACATATAGGTGAAGGAATGGACAAAGGTATTCCATGCAAATGGTAACCAAAATAGAGCATAGGTGGCTATACTTATGTCCAATAAAATATACCTCAAGTCAAAAACTGTCACAAGTGACAGATAAAATCATTATTTAATGATAAAGGGCTCAATTCATCAAGAGGACATAATAATTATAAATACATATGCACAGAACATTGGAGCACCAGCACCTAAATATATAAAGCAAATATTAATGAACATTAATTAATAGATAACAATACAATAATAGTAGGGGATTTTGGTACCCAACTTTCAACAATGGACAGAAAAACTAGACAAAAAATTAATAAGAAAATACTGGAATTGAACTGCACTTTAGACAAAATAAACCTAACAGATATATACAGAACTTTCCATCCAATGGCAGCAGAATACACCTTCTTCTCTAGTCCACATGGATCATTCTTCAGGATAGAACACATGTGAGGCCACAAAATAAGTCTTAACAAATTTAAGATCAAATTCATCAAGTATTGTTTCCAACCATAATGGTATGAAACTAGCAATCAATAACATAAAATTTTAGAAATTTGACAAATATGTATAAACAGTATGCTCCTGAACAGCCAATGAGTCAAAGAAGAAATCAAAAGGGAGTGTGTAGAAGTGTCAGAGTACAGCTCCCTCTCCCTCTCCCTCTCCCTCTCCCTCTCCCCTCTCCCCTCTCCCCTCTGCCTCTCCCTCTCCCTCTCCCCACAGTCTCCCTCTCCCTCTCTTTCCATGGTCTCCCTCTCATGCTGAGCCGAAGCTGGACTGTACTGCTGCCATCTCGGCTCACTGCAACCTCCCTGCCTGATTCTCCTGACTCAGCCTGCCAAGTGCCTGCGATTGCAGGCTCGCGCCGCCACGCCTGACTGGTTTTGGTGGAGACGGGGTTTCGCTGTGTTGGCCAGGCCGGTCTCCAGCCCCTAACCGCAAGTGATCCGCCAGCCTCGGCCTCCCGAGGTGCCGGGATTGCAGACGGAGTCTCGTTCACTCAGTGCTCAATGGTGCCCAGGCTGGAGTGCAGTGGCATGATCTCGGCTCACTACAACCTCCACCTCCCAGCCGCCTGCCTTGGCCTCCCAAAGTGCCGAGATTGCAGCCTCTGCCCGGCTGCCACCCCATCTGGGAAGTGAGGAGCGTCTCTGCCTGGCCGCCCATCGTCTGGGATGTGAGGAGCCCCTCTGCCTGGCTACCCAGTCTGGAAAGTGAGGAGGGTCTCCGCCCGGCCGCCATCCCACCTAGGAAGTGAGGAGCACCTCTTCCCTGCGGCCATCACATCTAGGAAGTGAGGAGCATCTCTGCCCGGCGCCCATCGTCTGAGATGTGAGGAGCACCTCTGCCCGGCTGCGACCCCATCTGGGAGGTGAGGAGCATCTCTGCCCGGACGCCCCGTCTGAGAAGTGAGGAGACCCTCTGCCTGGCAACCGCCCCGTCTGAGAAGTGAGGAGCCCCTCCGCCCAGCAGCCGCCCCGTCTGAGAAGTGAGGAGCCTCTCCGCCCAGCAGCCACCCAGTCTGGGAAGTGAGGAGCATCTCCGCCCGGCAGCCACCCCGTCCGGGAGGGAGGTGGGGGGGTCAGCCCCCCGCCCCGCCAGCCGCCCCGTCCGGGAGGGAGGTGGGGGCGTCAGCCCCCCACCAGGCCAGCCGCCCCGTCCGGGAGGGAGGTGGGGGGGTCAGCCCCCCGCCCGGCCAGCTGCCCCGTCCGGGAGGGAGGTGGGGGGGTCAGCCCCCCGCCTGGCCAGCCACCCCGCCCGGGAGGTGAGGGGCGCCTCTGCCCGGCCGCCCCTACTGGGAAGTGAGGAGCCCCTCTGCCCGGCCACCACCCCATCTGGGAGGTGTGCCCAACAGCTCATTGAGAACGGGCCAGGATGACAATGGCGGCTTTGTGGAATAGAAAGGCGGGAAAGGTGGGGAAAAGATTGAGAAATCGGATGGTTGCCTTGTCTGTGTAGAAAGAAGTAGACATGGGAGACTTTTCATTTTGTTCTGTACTAAGAAAACTTCTTCTGCCGTGGGATCCTGTTGATCTGTGACCTTACCCCCAACCCTGTGCTCTCTGAAACATGTGCTGTGTCCACTCAGGGTTAAATGGATTAAGGGTGGTGCAAGATGTGCTTTGTTAAACAGATGCTTGAAGGCAGCATGCTCGTTAAGAGTCATCACCACTCCCTAATCTCAAGTACCCAGGGACACAAACACTGCGGAAGGCCGCAGGGTCCTCTGCCTAGGAAAACCAGAGACCTTTGTTCACTTGTTTATCTGCTGACCTTCCCTCCACTATTGTCCTATGACCCTGCCAAATCCCCCTCTGTGAGAAACACCCAAGAATTATCAATAAAAAATAAATAAATTTTAAAAAAAAGAAGAAATCAAAAGGGAAATTTAGAAATATATTGAGATAAATGACAATGAAAACAGCATATCAAATCCTATGATATGCAGCAAAAGTAGTTCTAGGATGAAAGTTCATATTAATAAATGCCTACATTATAAAAAGAAAGATTACAAATACAGAGCCTAACATTATGCCTCAAGGAACTAGAAAGGGAAGAAAAAGCTAAACTCAAATTTAGCAGAAGGAAAGCAATAAAGACAAGAATAAATATGAAAAATAGAAAATATAAAACCATAGAAAAAAGCAATAAAATTAAAATATTTTTCCTACCTAAACTAGAAAAAAGAGAAGTCTTAGATATATAAAATCAGAAAACAAAGTGGTGATATTACAATAAACATCTCTGAAATAAAAAGAATCATAAAAAACTATTATAAACAATTATATGCCAACAAATTTGATAGCCCAAAGAATGGATAAACTCCTAGAAACACATAACTTCCAAGATTGAATCAAGAAGAAATAGAAGGCCTGAATAGACAACTAACAAAAAAAATGAGGTAGTAATTTAAAACCTCCAGACAAAGAAAAGCTTAGAACCAGATAGCTTCACAGGTGAATACTACCAATCTTCAAAGAAGAATTAATACCGATACTTCTTAGATTCTTCAAAATAATAGGATGCATGGACTATTTCCTAACATATTTTATGAGGCCAGGGTCACCTTGAAAGCTAAGAATACAAAGACAATGCAAGAAAACAATGCTACAAGCCAACATATCTCATTAACATTGATGCAAAAATCCCTAATAAAATATTAGCAATTATATTTCAACATCACATGAAAAAGATTATACTTCATAGTAAAGTGGGATTTATCCCTGAGATCCAAGACTGATTTAACATTCTTGAATCAGTGTGATACATCACATTAACCAACGTAAGACAAACCCACATGATTATATCAGTTGATGCAAAAAAGTATTTGAGATATGGGAGGAAAATGGCAGATAGAAGACAGGACTAACATGCAGCTCCCATTTTGATGGACAAAACAGCATATGGAGAATCACACTATGAATTTTTGATCCAAGAACCACTGCAGGAATATACCAGGACAACTGAAAGAATTCACAGATGCTTTGAAAGAAGTGGCTTGCCACGGCAAACTCCATGAGACAGCTGAAAAACTGTAAGTTCCCAAAGTGTGAGGGGTGGGGGGATGTACGCCTCCAAAAACACATCCCCACTGGAGAACCTGAAAATCCAAATCACAGGAAAGGATTTAACCTTACTTAGAGATGAAACGGATTTAGGGAGCCAAGCAAAATATAAAAGTAGAAGAAGCAGTGAGAAGAGCCCTGTAGGCCCTTCCAGTCCCCAGCTCAAGCCCAGGGAAGCCATTTCTGACATTATCTCACAGGTGTCCTTGGGGAGGGCAGCCGGTATAATTTGGGAGGGGCCATAGGGTGAAGGAAGCTTCTAGCTTAACTTTGTAATGATTTCAACTGAGCATGAATTTTCCTAAGCAGGATACAGGAATGGTGCAAATGAGAAGTGCAGATATGAGTGCAGAAGCTGCAGCTGATGGTGCAGGCAAGTGGGGAGGGGTGAAGCCTGAGAGGCCTGCTTGCTTTCTCAGCAGGGTGGCTTGTAGCCTGGGGCAAGATCTTAGCCCTGCTCACCAGCTGCCTGGATATAAACTCAGTGCTATTGATGGAGCATGGCAGGAGTGAGACTGGCCTTGCTAGATGCATAGGAGCTGGGTGAGGCCTGTCACTGCCAGCTTTCCCCTACTTCCTTGGTGACTTATATTACATAGCATAGGCAGCCATAATTCCCCTGGGATCATAACTCCATTGGCCTGAGAACCATGCCCCCATCCCCCACAGTGGCCACAGCTAGCCCCACCCAAGGAGAGTCTGAGCTCAGACCCACCTACCCTGTCCCACCTAATCATTTTTCTCTATCTACCCTGATAGCCAAAATCAAAAGACATAAATGCTTGGCAGCTCTAAACTCATAAACTATGGTTCCACCCATTGCCCAAGAAACCCGATTACTTATCCTGACCAATGTAGTGTAAGCTCATATCCCCTTCTACTACCACAGCTGGTGCTCTCTTGAGAGTACCACCTCCTGGCTGGTGGCCAACAAATTCAAGCCATTATGGCAACTCATAACAGTACAACCCTGCTCCAAAGAAGGAGTAAACAACAGCTAATTCAACTGCCTGCAACACCATGGTATGGCTAACCGGGGCTTCTGAGTCTGTTTAGGTGACAACATCACTGCTAGCATAATCAGCATTCCAGAACAACAGTTCACTAAACAAAACTACAGCCAAGGACTCCCACTGAGTCCACTTCACTCCCCTGCCACCTTCACCAGAACAGGTGCTGGTATCCGTGGCTGAGAGACTGGAAGACAGATCACAACACAGGACTTTTTGGATATATTCCCCAGCAGCAGCTGGGAGCCCAGTAGCCCTACTGGGTGGCTAGACCCAGTAGCCCTACTGGGTGGCTAGACCCAGTAGGACAAAAACAATCACTGCAGTCTGGCTCTCAGGCAGCCCCACCCCAAGGGGAAAGGGGAGAGCACCACATCAAGGGATCACCCCATGAGACAAAAGAATTTGAACAGCAGCTCAGTTTGATATCTTTCCATTGAAAACAGTCTCCCAAATGAGAAGGAACCAGAAAAGTAATTCTTGTCATATGACAAAACAAAGTTCTATAACACCCCCAAAAGATCACACTAGTTCTCCAGCAATGAATCTAAACCAAGAATAAATCTCTGAATTGCCAGATAAAGAATTCAGAAGGTGGATTATTAAGCTACTCAAGGAGCTACCAGAGAAAGGTGGAAACCAACTTAAGGACACAAAAAACAATACAGGATATGGATGAAAAAGTCTCCAGAGAAATAGATTTCCCAAAGAAAAGACATGCACAACTTCTGGAAATGAAAGATACACTTTAGAGAAATGCAAAATACACTGGAAAGGTTTGATAATACAATTCAAAAAGTAGATGAAAGAACTTCAGAACTTGAAGACAAGGCTTTCAAATTAACCCAAGCCAACAAAGATAAAGAAAAAAGAATTTAAGAAAATGAACAAGGCCTCCAAGAAATTTGGGATTATGTTAAATGACCAAACATAAAAATAATTGGTGTTCCTGAGGAACAAGAGAAATTTAAAAGTTTGAAAACCTTATTTGAGGAAATAATGCAGGAAAATGTCCCTGGTCTTTCTAGGGATCTAGACATTCAAATAGAAGAAGCACAAAGAATACCTGGAAAACTCATCACAAAAAGATCATCACCTAGGCACATAGTCATCAGGTTATCTAAAGTCAAGACAAAGGAAAGGATCGTAAGTGTTGTGAGGCAAAAACATCAGGTAATCTATGGAAAAAAAAAAACCTATCAGATTGACAGCAGATTTCTCAGCAGAAACCCTACATGCCAGAAGGAATTGGGGTCTTGTCCTAAACCTTCTTAAGGAAAATAATTATCAGCCAAAAATGCTGTACCCAGCAAAACTAAGCATCATAAATGAAGGAAAGATAGTCTTTCAGACAAACAAATGCTGAGAGAATTCACCACTATCAAGCAAGCACTACAAAAAAAAAAAATGCTAAAAGGAGTTAAAAATCTTGAAACAAAACCTCAAAATACACCAAAATAGAACCTCCTTAAAGCATAAATCTCACAGGGCCTGTAAGATGATAATACAATGGAAAAACAAAACAAAACAAAACAAGGTATTCAGGCAACAAGCAGCATGATGAATAAAACAGTGCCTCCCATCTTAACACTAAGTTTGGAAGTAAAGGGCCTAAATGTTCCACTTAAAAGACACAAAATGGCAGAATGGATGAAATCCACCAACCAAGTATCTGCTGTCTTCAAGAGACTCACCTAACACATAAGGACTCACATAAACTTAAGGTATAGAGGTGGAAAAATATATTTCATGTAAATGGAAACCAAAAGCGAGCAGGAGTAGCTTTGTTTATATCAGGCAAAACAGACTTTAAAGCAACAACAGTTAAAAAACAAAAAGAGGGACATTATATAATGATAAAAGGATTAGTCCAAGAGGAAAATATTACAATTCTAAATATACATGCACCTAATACTGGAGCTCCCAAATTTATAAAGCAATTACTACTAGACATAAGAAATGAAATAGACAACAACGCAATAATAGTGGAAGAATTCAATACTCTTCTGACAGCACTAGATAGGTCATCAAGACAGAAAGTCAACAAAGAAACAATAGACTTAAACTACACCCTAGAACAAATTGACTTAACAGATATTTACTGAGCATTCTAGCCAACAACTGCAGAATATACATACTTATTCCCCAAGACAGACCATATGAGAGTCCACAAAACAAGTCTCAATAAATTTAAAAAATTTGAAATTTTATCACGTACTCTCTCAGACCACAGTGGAGTAAAATTGGAAATTAACTCCAAAAGGAATGCTCAAAACTATACAAATACATGGAAATTAAATAACCTGATCATGAATGATCTTAGGGTCAACAATGAAATCAAGATGGAAATTTAAAAGTTCTTTGAACCGAATGATAATATGACACAGTCTATCAAAATCTCTGGGATACAGCAAAAGAGGACTACGAGGAAAGTTCATAGCATTAAATGCCTACATCAAAAAGTCTGAAAGAGCACAAATAGAAAATCTAAGCTCAAACCTTAAGGAACTAGAGAAATAAGAACAAACCAAACCCAAACCCAGCAGAAGAAAAGAAATTACAAAAATCAGAGCAGAACTAAATGAAATTGAAACAAACAAAAATAAATACAAAAGATAAATGAAACAAAAAACTGGTTCTTTGAAAAGATAAACAAAATCGATAGACTGCTAGTGAGATTAGATTAACCAAGAAAAGATGAGAGAAGATCCAAATAAGCTCAACTAGAAATGAAATGGGAGATATTGCAACCAATACCACAGAAATACAAAAGATCATTCAAGGCTACTATGAACACCTTTATGCACAAAAACTAGAAAACCTAGAGAAGGTGGATAATTTCCTAGAAATATACAACCCTCCTAGATTAAAACAGGAAGAAATAGAAACTCTGAATAGACCAAAAACAAGTAGCAAGATTGAAACAGTAAGAAAAAAAAATTGCCAACAAAAAAAAAGTCCAGGACCAGATGGATTCACAGCTGAATTTTATCAGACATTCCAAGAAGAATTTGTACCAATCCTACTGAAGCTATTCCAAAAGATAGAGAAAGGGGAAATCCTCCCTAAATCATTCTACAAATCCAGTATTACCCTAATACCAAAACCAGGAAAGGACATAACAAAAAAAAAAAAGAAAATTGCAGACCAATATCCCCAATGAACATAGATGCAAAAATCCTCAACAAAATATTAGCTAACTGAATCCAACTGCATATCCAAAAAAATAATACACCATGATCAAGTGGGTTTCATACCAGGGACACAGGGATGATTTAACATACACAAGTCAGTAAATGTGATACACCACATAAACAGAATTAAAAACCAAAATTCTATGATCATCTCAATAGATGCAAAAAAAGCATTGACAAAACCCAGCATCCCTTTATGATTAAAACACTCAGCGAAATAGGTATAGATGAGAAATATCTTAAAGTAATAAAAGCCATCTATGACAAGCCCACAGTCAACATTATACCAAATGGGGAAAAGTTGAAACATTCCCCCTGAGAACTGGAACAAGACAAGGGTGCTAATTTTCACCACATGATGAATAGAACCATACCTCACATAGTACTGGAAGTCCTAGCCAGAGCAGTCAGACAAGAGAAAGAAATAAAGGGCATCCAAATTAGTAAACAGGAAGTCTAAGAGTAACTGATTACTGATGATATTACTATATACTTAGAAAACCTTAAAGACTCATTCAAAAAGCTCCTAGATCTGATAAATGAACTCAGTAAAGTTTCAGAATACAAAATCAATGTAAAAAATCAATAGCACTGCTATACACTAACAGTGTCCAAGCTGAGAATCAAATTAAGAATTCAATCCCTTTTACGATAGCTGCAAAATAAAATAAAATACTTAGGAATATACCTAACCAAGGAGATGAAAGATCTTTACAAGGAAAACTATAAAACACTGCTAAAAGAAATCATAGACAACATGAACAAATGAAAACACATCCTATGCTCATGGATAAATAGAATCAATATTGTGAAAATGACCATATTACCTAAAGTAATGTATAAATTTAATGCAATTCTCATCAAAATGCTATTATCAATCTTCACAGAACTATAAAAAACAATCCTAAAATTCATATGGAACAAAGAAAGAGCCCACACATTCACAAGACTAAGCAAAAAGAACAAATCTGGAAGCATCACATTACCTGACTTCAACCTATACATGGCTATAGTTACCAAAACATCATGGCACTGTTATAAAAACAGGCAAGTAGACCAATGGAACAGAATAGAGAAACCAGAAATAAAGCCAAATACTTATAGTCAACTGATCTTTGACAAAGCAAACAAAACATAAAGTGGGAAAAGGACACCCTATTAAGCAATGGTGCTGGGATAATTGGCAAGCCACACGTAATAGAATAAAGCTGTATCCTCATCTCTCACCTTATACAAAAAGCAACTCAAGATTGATCAAAGACTTAAATCTAAGACATGAAAACATAAAAATTCTAAAAGACAACATCAGAAAAACTCTTGCAGACATTGGCTTAGGCAAAGAGTTCATGACCAAAAAACCAAAAGCATATGCAACAGAAACAAAGATTTAAAAAGGGGAGACTTAATTAAACTCAAAAGCTTCTGCACAGCAAAAGAAATTATCAGTAGAGTAAACAGACAACCCACAGGGTGGGAGAAAATCTTCACAAGCTATGCATCCAACAAAGGAATAATATCCAGAATCCACAAGGAACTCAAATAAATTAGCAAGAAATAAACAAATAATTTTATCAAAAAGTGGACTAAGGACATGAATACACAATTCTCAAAAGAAGGTATACAAATGGTCAACAACATGAAAAAATGCTCAACATCAGTAATGATCAGGAAAATGCAAATCAAAACCACAATGTGATAGCACCTTACTCCTGTAAGAATGGCCATAATTTAAAAATAGATAAATAGATGTTGCCATGGATGTGATGAAAAGGGAACACTTTTACACTGCTGGTGGGAATGTAAACTGGTACAACCACTATGGAAAACAGTGTGGAGATTCCTTAAAGAACTAAAAGTAGAACTACCATTTGGTCCAGCAATCCCACTACTTGGTATCTACCCAGAGGAAAAGCAGTCACTATAAGAAAAAGACATGTGCACATGCATGCTTTTAGCAGCACAATTCTCAATTGCAAAAATATGGAACCAGCCTATATGCCCATCAACCAATGAGTGGATAAAGAAAATGTGGTGTACATATATGCCATGGAATACTACTCAGCCACAAAAAGAAATGAAATAATGGCATTAGCAGCAACCTGGACAGAGTTGGAGACTATTATTATAAGTGAAATAACTCAGGAATGGAAACCCAAATATCATATGTTCTCACTTATAAGTGGGAGCTAAGCTATGAGGACACAAAAGTGTAAGAGTGATATAATGAACTGTGGGGAATTGGGGGGAAGGGGCTGAGGGATTAAAGACTACACATTGGATGCAGTGTACACTGCTTGGATGATGGGTGCACCAAAATCTCAGAAATCACCATTAAGGAACTTATCTGTGTATCCGAACACCAGCTGTTCCCCCCAAAACTATCAATATAATAATAAGAAGAAAAACTAAAAATATTTGACCAAGTTCAACATTCATTCTTGATTAAAAAAAAAACTTTTAACAATTTAGATAAAGAATAAAACGTCATCAAAATAACAAAAGTCAATTATGAAAAACCCACAGTTAACATCACAATCAATGTTGAGAAACTGTAAACTTTTTCTCTAAGAACTACTACAAGGCAGGGTGCCCATTCTTGAAACTTTCATTCAACACAGTACCAGAAGTACTATCATGAGCAGTTAGACAAGAGAAAGAATTAAAAGATATACAAATTGGGTAGGAAGAAATAAAATTATCTCTATTTGCAGATGACATGATACTATATGTAGAAAAACACAAAGACTCTGCCAAAAAACTGTTAGGCCTAATAAATGAATTCAGTAATGTTGCAAGTTATAAAATTAACAAACAAAAATTTATGGCATTTCAAGCTACAGTGATCAAAACAGCATGCTACTTGCATAAAAGCAGACACATAGACCAATGGAACAAAATAGAGTAACCCAGAAACAAATCCACACACCTACAGTGAACTCATTTTCAACAAAGGTGACAAGGACATACATTGGGGAAAAGACAATCTCTTCAATAAATAGTGCTGGCAAAATTAGATATCCATATGCAGAAAAAGGGATCTAGACCCTTATCTCTTACCGTATACAAAAATCAAATCAAAATGCATTAAATACTTAAATCTAAGACCTCAAACCAAGAAGCTCCCACAAGAAAACATTGGGGAAAATCTCTAGGACATTGGTCTGGGCAAAAAATAGTTGAATAATACCCCACAAGCACAGACAACCAAACCAAAAATGGATAAATGTGGTCATAACAAGTTAAAAAGACTCTGCACAGCAAAAGAAACAATCAACAAAGTGAAGAAGCAAACCACAGAATGGAACAAAATATTTGCAAAGTACCCATCTGACAAGAGATTAATAACTAGAATATTTATGGAGCTAAAACAACTATATAGGAAAAAAAACCTACTAATCCAATCAAAAATGGGCAGAAGATTTGAATAGACATTTCTCAAAAGAAGACGTACAAATGGCATATGACCTAAAACCATAAAACTCCAAAAAGAAAATAAAGGGGAAAATATTGAGATTGGCCTTGGCAATGATTTCTTGAGTATCACAACTTAAGCTCAGGCTACAAAAGAAAAAATAAATAAATGAGACCACATCAAACTAAAAAGCTTCTTCACAGCAAAGAAAACAATTACCAAAATAAAAAGGCAACCTACAGACTGGGAAAAATATTCACAAACCATATATCAGGTAAGAGGTTAATATCCAAGCTATATAAGGAAGTCATACAACTCAATAAGAAGAAAATATATTACCTGATTTAAAAATGGGCAAATGGCTGGGCTCTGTGCTGGGTGCCTGTAATCCCAGCTACTGGGGAGGTTGAAGCAGGAGAATGGCTTACCCCCGAACCCAGGAGGTGGAGGTTGCAGTGAGCCAAGGTCGTGCAACTGCATTTCAGCCTGGGCGACAGAGTGAGACTTTGTCTCTAAATAAATAAATAAATAAAACCTGGCAATGGACTTGAATAGACTTTTCTCCAAAGATGACATTAAAATGGCCAACAGGTACGTGAAAAGGTGCTCAACACCACTAACCATCAATAAAATGCATATCAAAATCACTAAGAGATACCACCTTACACCTGTGAAGATAGTTATTCTCAAAGACACAAGCGATAACAAGTGTTGGCAAAAATCTGGAGAAAATGGGACCCTTGTACACTGTTGGTAGAAAGGTACATTGGTGCAGTCACTATAAAAAAAACAGTATGGAGTTTCCTAAAGTTCATCTCCTCTGTTGACGCATTGTGTCCAGCTTCTCACCTGAAGTCCAACACAGTGGGCCTCCACCTTGGTTGCATATTGGAATTACCAGAGGCTTAAAAATTACTGATGTCTGAGTTTCATCTCTGGATATCCTAACAGACTTTGTCTGGTAATGAGAAGAAAAGAAAACAGTTGATTCTAATGTATACACAAGATGGACAACCACTAATCTAGAGAGATTCAGAGTGGGGGACTTTGATGAAGTCTGCCAACAAAAGGGGCTAAGATAAGGGGTGCATTTTAAGGTGCTGAAATAAAGTGGCTGACGAGATTGGAGAGGACATTGAATCAGCTGAGCTTGGTGATGATGGGGGTCAGGGCAGGGAGTCCAGCGTAGCTTCCAGGGTCCTGGCTTAGACAGCAGGAAGGATGAGGCAGGGAAGACTGGAGATAGGAAAAGTACTTGCAAGGGGAGACATATTACACTTGAGATGCCTGTTAGAGTTCCATATAAAGATGGTGAGTATGGAGTTGGACACAGTAGTCTGGAGCCTGGGGAAAGAGCCACTGCGCAGGTAAAATTGCATATCATTTAAAGGCTGAGGGATTGGTGAAACCACCCTAGGGAGGAAGTATAGAAAAGAAGAAAGCTCAGAAACAAACCTTTTGAGTACTCCAATACTGGCTTGGGAAACTAAAACACAAAGTGATTTTTAAAAGCAGCCAATATCTATTAGACAATTTGGGCCAAGCACTGTTCTAAAGGTTTTACTTGCTTTAACGCATTTAATCCTCTCAACAGGTCTATGAGTCAGGTCATAACTAACTCTAAAAGTTAATTTTAGAGAGAGA
This sequence comes from Homo sapiens, assembly GCF_000001405.40. NCBI lineage: Eukaryota > Metazoa > Chordata > Mammalia > Primates > Hominidae > Homo > Homo sapiens. The sequence goes on from NC_000023.11 coordinate 149,432,250, forward strand.
AAGTTCTCCACTGAGAACTTTCAAGTTCAGTCCCTATTCCTTTCCCTTTGCCCCATATCTGAGCAAGATAGGTGCTTTGTCCCTTGGTACCAGTAGAAATTGCAAACCATTAAAAGACCAACCCCATGCGTAAACCTTCACCCCAGCTCCACCCTTAACCACAATAAAAACCCAAAGCCACCCACCACTACTTCACTCCTAATTCACTCCAGACAGAGCCTAAGGCTTTCTCTTTGGGGAATACTTTTGCTGTTTACTATGTGAGTAATAAACCGTATGCTTTTCCTATGGCTGCTGTAAATTACCACAAAATTAGTGTCTTAAAACAACAAAAAAAATTATTTTCTCACACTTCTAGAAGGCAGGAGTCCAAAATCAGTTTCACTTGTCTGAAATCAAGGTGTTGACAGGACTATACTCCATGCAGAGGCTCTATGGGAGGACCTGTTCTTTGCCACTTCAAGCCTCTGATGGCTGCTTGTATCCCTTGGCTTGTGACTGCATCACTCTAATCCTCAAAACCAGCATCTTCAAGTCTCTATCTGCTCGTCTTTATATTGGTGTCTCTTCCGTGTGTTTGTAAAATCTTTCTGTGCCTCCTTCTTATAAGGATACAAGTCATTGCATTTCTGTATCACTCAGATAATCCAGGATAATCTCCCTATCTCAAGATCCTTAATCGCAGAAAAATCCACAAAGACTCTATTTTCAAATATGTTGACGTTTTCAGTTTCCAGGGATTAGAATCTGATGTATTCTGGGGCTCTATTTCAGCCTACTGCAACATCTATTGGTGCCTATGTGTCATTTGTGCCAACATCCATAAACCTTTGGGGTGAACATTACATAGTGTCCAGCAGGGGATCCTAAACCCTCAAACAAAACAATAATAGTAGCAGTTCGCAGATGATTGAACTGAAGGAACACTGGAGGTTGGGGAATTGGAGAAAGATGTGTTTGGTTTTCTTTTCTTTCAACAGGACTACTCCCTCATTTCCTAGAAAACTCTTGAGTCCTTAACAGCAAGGCCACAAGGAGTGAAAAGGCTATCTGGGGTACAATACGCTGGCTTGGAAGTGTCGAGGGGAACAAAATAAAGAGATGTCTAGACTCAAAGGAGCACACCAGTTCATAATTATAGAATTAGCTGATTGCACTGTGACCGGAGAAAATACTCTGAATGCATTCAGGGAACTAGCAACGGTCTACAAAGCTGGAGTGGATTTTCAGGTCTATTTGTACGGAATTAAAGCTACAGTTGTTCTATATCATCCTACTTTTAAGAAGCAGCAGATATTCAATTTACATCAGTAGTTACCTTGACAGTAGTTACTTTTGAGTTCTGTTTTTCCTGATTATTAGGCTTCCTCTGGCATTTTGTTCTTTATAATTCTTTATCAGCACCTCCTGCAGTTTCCTGTGACAGTTTATCTAGTGCATATGATTAGTTGTATCCTTCAACAGTTTTCAATGAGTTTAGATTAAGTTCACTTTCCCCACGAAGTCAGAATACTGGGTCCACACTGCCACTAACTTACTATGTGACATAGAATAATCCCTTCTTCTATTCAGGTTTCAAGTTTTGCATCTGAACGGCAAGGGAAGTGTACGGCCCTGTTTGAAAGTGTACTGTCCTTCATGGCTGCTGAAGCATCCTGGGGTGACCCAGAGAGAGATAATTATAAACAAGCGTCATGATGCAAACGGAAACTTAAGCATGCCTCTTAAACCACAGTACTGCTGACCAACATAGGAGGCTGGTGCCCTGCAAGGTCTCAAGGTGATCCTAAATTCTACTACATGGCATTAGGCATAGAAAGGCAATCATTCTTGGAAGGACTGTAACAGATCTCATTCTCGGCAATTACTGTAGGTGGGAATGAGAAAATTCTTTTATGTTGAACAAAAGCCTTTAGGTCTTTTCCAAGCAGTGGAAAACTGCCTAGATGGACACACCAAACCACCCTGATGGAAGAATTTAGAATGTCTAATTTAAAAAACAGGCACATGGCAATGCAATGAAGGCCTCTGCCTCTTTTCCATTTCTTTTCCTCTACCCTGCTTGCTCCACTGTGTTTAAACAATGTTCTCTGGAAATTTGAAAGCTTCACTGTAATCATTTTTATTAGGTTTAAGCAAGTATTAAATTAATTAGCAAAATACAGCAGTCAAATAACCAGCTTAATGTGCTCATGGGGTATACAGCCTTTAAAGAGTCTCTTTATTCCACTTGAATTAAGCCACCTCCCTCTAGCATAGGACAGTAAGGAGAGCATGGGTTTTGAGCCTGATAATGCTGGGCTGGAATCTCAGCTCTATTGCTTTCTATGTGACCTTGGGCAAGTTGCTTAACCTTTCTGGGCCTCCATTTTCTCATTTATAAAATCAGCTACTCACTATGTTAAGTGGTTTACATGAATTGTATCATTTAATCTCACAGTAACTTCTGAGTTGAGTGTCATCTGCTTTTTGCAACAATTAAGTGAGATCACTCAGGTGAGCATATACTCAGGTGAGATACTCAGCTGAGTACATAGTAGGTATTCAAGAAAATTGTAGCCAGTTGTTACTATATGCTCAGCTTTATGCTGTGGAAAAAAACCATGAAGTATTTACTCATCAAGTATAAATTGAACACATCATATGTGCTTATTTAAAAAGCAGAGAAGCAATGTCCAAAGGAAGACCATGACTCAGTTTCTGAATCTTGACTGGTTCTCTTTTTGGAAGGGTTTGAATGAGGTTGGATTAAACACCCCTGCTGGACAGATGAGCCCCAAGAGTCACAGGGCTAAATATAAACCAAATGAAAGGCAGACAAGACTTGAGACATTCAAGTAGTCTCTGCAAGAGAAGACAGGGGCTTGCATTCCTCTCCCACAAAATCTTTACAGCATGATCTCCCCTCAAGTTGGCCTCGATTCATTGACCACATCCCTCCCCTCTCACTGTCTGTCTCAAATGCTCCTTGCAGAGCTTGCCAACCTCCTACTCTTTGATCTTCCTGGCCTTCTTCAGGTTATTCCCCAGTTCTAACAGAAGACATACATTTACATTGAAATTCAACTCATCCTACAAGTTTGAATGGCACCCTCCTGAGGATGGTATCAAGATTGAAGGTTGAGGCTTTATATGGCATATGGTGAAAATAATTGCTCTTTAATATAATGAGAACTGATTGGAGTAGTTTGATCCCTATTAAAAGCATCACAAATGTATGGTTAATTTTCTAAATAAAAGCAAGAGTGATACGTATGTAGTATGCATAAACCAATTATAAACACAAAGCAATTAATAAAATGTTAGCACTCCCCATCAGATGTCAGCTTATTGCCAGATACCAATAATGTGTAACCTTAGGTATCTATATAATATACATACTGTGCTGCATAGATTAACATACAAATACTTTTTAATTACATGATTACATGTGACTTATAGATTTATATATGAAGAAAACACAGTTAACCAATGAAAAAACTATAAAGATGGCTGAGGCACTAAATAGCCTAAATAATAAAGGAATGTCAGAGGCTAAAATATGGTACCAATAGCATCAGTAATTTAAAATGAGAAATGCAGGACTGCAGCCAAGATGGCCGAATAGGAACAGCTCCGGTCTACAGCTCCCAGCGTGAGCGATGCAGAAGAGGGTGATTTCTGCATTTCCATCTGAGGTACTGGGTTCATCTCACTAGGGAGTGCCAGACAGTGGGTGCGTGCACCGTGTGTGAGCCGAAGCAGGGTGAGGCATTGCCTCACTTGGGAAGCACAAGGGGTCAGGGAGTTCCCTTTCCGAGTCAAAGAAAGGGGTGACGGACGCACCTGGAAAATCGGGTCACTCCCACTTGAATACTGCGCTTTTCCGACCGGCTTAAAAAATGGCGCACCACGAGATTATATCCCGCACCTGGCTCGGAGGGTCCTACGCCCACGGAGTCTCGCTGATTGCTAGCACAGCAGTCTGAGATCAAACTGTAAGGCGGCAGCGAGGCTGGGGGAGGGGCGCCCGCCGTTGCCCAGGCTTGATTAGGTAAACAAAGCAGCCCAGAAGCTTGAAATGGGTGGAGCCCACCACAGCTCAAGGAGGCCTGCCTGCCTCTGTAGGCTCCACCTCTGGGGGCAGGGCACAAACAAAAAGACAGCAGTAACCTCTGCAGACTTAAATGTCCCTGTCTGACAGCTTTGAAGAGAGCAGTGGTTCTCCCAGCTCGCAGCTGGAGATCTGAGAACGGGCAGACTGCCTCCTCAAGTGGGTCCCTGACCCCTGACCCCCGAGCAGCCTAACTGGGAGGCACCCCCCAGCAGGGGCACACTGACACCTCACACGGCAGGGTATTCCAACAGACCTACAGCTGAGGGTCCTGTCTGTTAGAAGGAAAACTAACAAACAGAAAGGACATCCACACCAAAAACCCATCTGTACATCACCATCATCAAAGACCAAAAGTAGATAAAACCACAAAGATGGGGAAAAAACAGAACAGAAAAACTGGAAACTCTAAAAAGCAGAATGCCTCTCCTCCTCCAAAGGAACGCAGTTCCTCACCAGCAACGGAAGAAAGCTGGATGGAGAATGACTTTGACGAGCTGAGAGAAGAAGGCTTCAGACGATCAAATTACTCCGAGCTATGGGAGGACATTCAAACCAAAGGCAAAGAAGTTGAAAACTTTGAAAAAAATTTAGAAGAATGTATAACTACAATAACCACTACAGAGAAGTGCTTAAAGGAGCTGATGGAGCTGAAAACCAACGCTCAAGAACTATGTGAAGAATGCAGAAGCCTCAGGAGCCGATGCGATCAACTGGAAGAAAGGGTATCAGCGATGGAAGATGAAATGAATGAAATGAAGCGAGAAGGGAAGTTTAGAGAAAAAAGAATAAAAAGAAACGAGCAAAGCCTCCAAGAAATATGGGACTATGTGAAAAGACCAAATCTACGTCTGATTGGTGTACCTGAAAGTGATGGGGAGAATGGAAACAAGTTGGAAAACACTCTGCAGGATATTATCCAGGAGAACTTCCCCAATCCACCAAGGCAGGCCAATGTTCAGATTCAGGAAATACAGAGAACTCCACAAAGATACTCCTCGAGAAGAGCAACTCCATGACACATAATTGTCAGATTCACCAAAGTTGAAACAAAGGAAAAAATGTTAAGGGCAGCCAGAGAGAAAGATCGGGTTACCCTCAAAGGGAAGCTCATCAGACTAACAGCGGATCTCTCGGCAGAAACCCTACAAGCCAGAAGAGAGTGGGGGCCAATATTCAACATTCTTAAAGAAAAGAATTTTCAACCCAGAATTTCATATCCAGCCAAACTAAGCTTCATAAGCGAAGGAGAAATAAAATACTTTACAGACAAGCAAATGCTGAGAGATTTTGTCACCACTAGGCCTGCCCTAAAAGAGCTCCTGAAGGAAGAGCTAAACATGGAAAGGAACAACCAGAACCAGCTGCTGCAAAATCATGCCAAAATGAAAGACCATCAAGACTAGGAAGAAACTGCATCAACTAACGAGCAAAATAACCAGCTAACATCATAATGACAGGATCAAATTCACACATAACAATATTAACTTTAAATGTAAACGGACTAAATGCTCCAATTAAGAGACACAGACTGGCAAATTGGATAGAGTCAAGACCCATCAGTGTGCTGTATTCAGGAAACCCATCTCACGTGCAGAGACACACATAGGCTCAAAATAAAAGGATGCAGGAAGATCTACCAAGCAAATGGAAAATAAAAAAAGGCAGGGGTTGCAATCCTAGTCTCTGATAAAACAGACTTTAAACCAACAAAGATCAAAAGAGACAAAGAAGGCCATTACATAATGGTAAAGGGATCAATTCAACAAGAAGAGATAACTATCCTAAATATATATGCACCCAATACAGGAGCACCAAGATTCATAAAGCAAGTCCTGAGTGACCTACAAAGAGACTTAGACTCCTACACATTAATAATGGGAGACTTTAACACCCCACTGTCAACGTTAGACAGATCAACGAGAAAGAAAGTCAACAAGGATACCCAGGAATTGAACTCAGCTCTACACCAAGTAGACCTAATAGACATCTACAGAACTCTCCACCCCAAATCAACAGAATATACATTTTTTTCAGCACCACACCACACCTATTCCAAAATTGACCACATAGTTGGAAGTAAAGCTCTCCTCAGCAAATGTAAAAGAACAGAAATTATAACAAACTATCTCTCAGACCACAGTGCAATCAAACTAGAACTCAGGATTAAGAATCTCACTCAAAACCGCTCAACTACATGGAAACTGAACAACCTGCTCCTGAATGACTACTGGGTACATAACGAAATGAAGGCAGAAATAAAGATGTTCTTTGAAACCAACGAGAACAAAGACACAACATACCAGAATCTCTGGGACGCATTCAAAGCAGTGTGTAGAGGGAAATTTATAGCACTAAATGCCCACAAGAGAAAGCAGGAAAGATCCAAAATTGACACCCTAACATCACAATTAAAAGAACTAGAAAAGCAAGAGCAAACACATTCAAAAGCTAGCAGAAGGCAAGAAATAACTAAAATCAGAGCAGAACTGAAGGAAATAGAAACACAAAAAACCCTTCAAAAAATTAATGAATCCAGGAGCTGGTTTTTTGAAAGGATCAACAAAATTGATACACCGCTAGCAAGACTAATAAGGAAAAAAAGAGAGAAGAATCAAATAGACGCAATAAAAAATGATAAAGGGGATATCACCACCGATCCCACAGAAATACAGACTACCATCAGAGAATACTACAAACACCTCTACGCAAATAAACTAGAAAATCTAGAAGAAATGGATACATTCCTCGACACATACACTCTCCCAAGACTAAACCAGGAAGAAGTTGAATCTCTGAATAGACCAATAACAGGATCTGAAATTGTGGCAATAATCAATAGCTTACCAACCAAAAAGAGTCCAGGACCAGATGGATTCACAGCCGAATTCTACCAGAGGTACAAGGAGGAACTGGTACCATTCCTTCTGAAACTATTCCAATCAATAGAAAAAGAGGGAATCCTCCCTAACTCTTTTTACGAGGCCAGCATCATTCTGATACCAAAGCCGGGCAGAGACACAACAAAAAAAGAGAATTTTAGACCAATATCCTTGATGAACATTGATGCAAAAATCCTCAATAAAATACTGGCAAAACGAATCCAGCAGCACATCAAAAAGCTTATCCACCATGATCAAGTGGGCTTCATCCCTGGGATGCAAGGCTGGTTCAATATACGCAAATCAATAAATGTAATCCAGCATATAAACAGAGCCAAAGACAAAAACCACATGATTATCTCAATAGATGCAGAAAAAGCCTTTGACAAAATTCACCAACCCTTCATGCTAAAAACTCTCAATAAATTAGGTATTGATGGGACGTATTTCAAAATAATAAGAGCTATCTATGACAAACCCACAGCCAATATCATACTGAATGGGCAAAAACTGGAAGCATTCCCTTTGAAAACTGGCACAAGACAGGGATGCCCTCTCTCACCACTCCTATTCAACATAGTGTTGGAAGTTCTGGCCAGGGCAATTAGGCAGGAGAAGGAAATAAAAGGTATTCAATTAGGAAAAGAGGAAGTCGAATTGTCCCTGTTTGCAGACGACATGATTGTATATCTAGAAAACCCCATTGTCTGAGCCCAAAATCTCCTTAAGCTGATAAGCAACTTCAGCAAAGTCTCAGGATATAAAATCAATGTACAAAAATCACAAGCATTCTTATACACCAACAACAGACAAACAGAGAGCCAAATCATGAGTGAATTCCCATTCACAATTGCTTCAAAAAGAGTAAAATACCTAGGAATCCAACTTACAAGGGATGTGAAGGACCTCTTCAAGGAGAACTACAAACCACTGCTCAAGGAAATAAAAGAGGATACAAACAAATGGAAGAACATTCCATGCTCATGGGTAGGAAGAATCAATATCATGAAAATGGCCATACTGCCCAAGGTAATTTACACATTCAATGCCATCCCCATCAAGCTACCAATGACTTTCTTCACAGAATTGGAAAAAACTACTTTAAAGTTCATATGGAACCAAAAAAGAGCCCGCATTGCCAAGTCATCCTAAGCCAAAAGAACAAAGCTGGAGGCATCACGCTACCTAACTTCAAACTATACTACAAGGCTACAGTAACCAAAACAGCATGGTACTGGTACCAAAACAGAGATATAGATCAATGGAACAGAACAGAGCCCTCAGAAATAACGCCGCATATCTACAACTATCTGATCTTTGACTAACCTGAGAAAAACAAGCAATGGGGAAAGGATTCCCTATTTAATAAATGGGAAAACTGGCTAGCCATATGTAGAAAGCTGAAACTGGATCCCTTCCTTACACCTTATACAAAAATCAATTCAAGATGGATTAAAGACTTAAACGTTTGACCTAAAACCATAAAAACCCTAGAAGAAAACCTAGGCATTACCATTCAGGACACAGGCATGGGCAAGGACTTCATGTCTAAAACACCAAAAGCAATGACAACAAAAGACAAAATTGACAAATGGGATCTAATTAAACTAAAGAGCTTCTGCACAGCAAAAGAAACTACCATGAGAGTGAACAGGCAACCTACAAAATGGGAGAAAATTTTCGCAACCTACTCATCTGACAAAGGGCTAATATCCAGAATCTACAATGAACTCAAACAAATTTACAAGAAAAAAACATACAACCCCATCAAAAAGTGGGCGAAGGACATGAACAGACACTTCTCAAAAGAAGACATTTATGCAGCCAAAAAACACATGAAAAAATGCTCACCATCACTGGCCATCAGAGAAATGCAAATCAAAACCACAATGAGATACCATCTCACACCAGTTAGAATGGCAATCATTAAAAAGTCAGGAAACAACAGGTGCTGGAGAGGATGTGGAGAAATAGGAACACTTTTACACTGTTGCTGGGACTGTAAACTAGTTCAACCATTGTGGAAGTCAGTGTGGCAATTCCTCAGGGATCTAGAACTGGAAATACCATTTGACCCAGCCATCCCATTACTGGGTATATACCCAAAGGACTATAAATCATTCTGCTATAAAGACACATGCACACGTATGTTTATTGTGGCATTATTCACAATAGCAAAGACTTGGAACCAACCCAAATGTCCAACAATGATAGACTGGATTAAGAAAATGTGGCACATATACACCATGGAATACTATGCAGCCATAAAAAATGATGAGTTCATGTCCTTTGTAGGGACATGGATGAAATTGGAAATCATCATTCTCAGTAAACTATCGCAAGAACAAAAAACCAAACACCGCATATTCTCACTCACAGGTGGGAATTGAACAATGAGAACACTTGGACACAGGAAGGGGAATATCACACTCTGGGGACTGTTGTGGGGTGGGGAGAGGGGGGAGGGATAGCATTGGGAGATATACCTAATGCTAGATGAGGAGTTAGTGGGTGCAGTGCACCAGCATGGCACATGTATACATATGTAACTAACCTGCACAATGTGCACATGTACCCTAAAACTTAAAGTATAATAAAAAAAAAAAGATTATAGAACTAAAAACAGAAAAAAAATAATTTAAAAAAATAAAATAAAATGAGAAAAGCAGTGCATAAGACCTGACACTCAGGTTTCAGATTACCATGACTGAAAAGAAACAGGTTCCAAATTACAAAAATAAAATAAAATAAATAATAATCTGCTTAATTTTCCTGAGCCACTGTACTGGGTTGAAGAGTGTCTACCCAAAATTCATTTCTACCTGGAAGCTCAAACTGTGATCTTATTTGGAAATAGAGTCTTTGCAAATGTAACTAGTTGAGGATCATATGGTGAAATCATTTTGGATTTAGGATGGGCCCTAAACCCGATGACTTCCTTATAAGAAGAATAGAGGACACAGAGACACACAGGGAAAAAAGCCATGTGAAGATGGAAGCAGAAATTGGAGTGATGCATCTATAAGTCAAGGAACAAGTCAAGAATCTTAAGAACCACCAGAATCTAGGAAAGAGGCATGGAACAGATTTTCCCTCTGAGCCCCCAGAAGGAACCAACCCTGCTGACACCGTTATTTCAGACTCCTGGCTTTCTGAATTATGAGAGAATACGTTTCTATTGTTTTAGGCTACCCAATTTGTGATAATTTGTTACAGCAGCCCCAGGAAACTAGTACAACCACCTTAACTTTGATATCAAAACCTGACAAAGTACCAAAAATAGAACTGAAAACCAATATAATTTGAAAATATGGATGCATAGCAGCATAAATTCTAAATAAAATACTAGCAATGCAATTACTGAAGAATAAAAAGTATTAAAAGACTAGTTCACCATGACTAGGTAGGTTTTATGTTAGGCATGCATAGGTGTTCGATTGTTAGGAAATCTATGAATAGCACTCATCACATCAGTATCAAAGGGATAAAGTCATCTTGATATATGTCAGGAGGACATTTGTTAAAATCCACAAGTTCGTAAGAAATATTCTTAATAAAATGTGTTATAAAAACATTTCCTTAGCAAGACATATAATATGCATCTGAATGTGTATATGTTTCTGTGTATATACACATATACTTTGCAGCTCTGCTCACTAAGAAGACCCCAGAAGCAATGGCCCTGGTAGCAACTAACACACCTAGTTCCCAGATTTTGATTTCAAAATACCATTCTCCTTGGAGAAGTGGACTGGATCAGGGAATGGACAAGATGAGCCTGAAGCATCTCATAGTACCAGAAAGTAAAGAAATGCTCAAAGAATGAAGGGATGGGGACATGCCAAAAGGACTCAAGAGCTAACCTGAAAAGGCACCCAATGGTTACAGTTAAAACAATTTGTGCGACAAAACAAATAACATAGTATTGAATTATAACCCAAAGTATGAAATATACATGAGTCCATACAAAACGTAATTGAAATAAATAAATGAGGGAGAAAGGAAAGCTCTTTCATTTAATAAATATAGAAGGAGTAACGGAAACAGAAAAGCACCATTTGCAAACACCACAGTGATACTTGTTTCAAGAAAAACCATCAATGGATGCTAAAATTAGTGGATAAAAGCATGATGAAAAACAGGATGTTTACATATTCTCAAAATATCTCCCCACAGGATACTTATACTTACGAAGGGAAAATAGTACCCTGACAGTGGAGAAAGCAGGCAAACAACAATCAAAGTTGTCATCAATATTGGAACATATCGACATCTTATCTCTCCAGACAGGATGCCCTATGAAGCCTCAGACAAACTCAAGTTGAACAACATTCTACAAAATAAATCGCTAGTTTTCTTCAAAAGTCTCAGAATCACTAAAAATAAAGACTAAAGAAGTGTCTCGGATTACAGGAGACTAAGGAGACCTGACAACTAGATGCAATGTGTGGTGATGGATTGGATCCTGGATCCCCCTCAAAAAAGATATTAGTGGGATAATTGAAGTCTGTATAATGTCTGTAGATTTATTAATAGTACAGATGGTCCTTGACTTAACAAAGGTTCAACTTATAATTTATTTTACTTTACATATGGTGTGAAAGTGATGATATACATTAAATAAAAACTGGTATGAAAGTGACAATATGCATTAAATAGAAACTGTACTTGGAACATTGAGTTTTGGTCTTTTCCTAGGCTAGTGATATGTAGTGCAATGCTCTGAGGATGCTGGGCAGCAGCCGTGAGCTGCAGCTTCCAGCCAGCCACGTGATCACGAAGGTAAACAACCCATATTCTACAGTGTATTAAATGCATTTTGTACATATATTTTCAATGTATGATGGGTTTATCAGGAGGTAACCCCATTGAAAGTTGAGGAGCATCTGTATTGCATCAATGATAATAAGCTGGTTTTGATAATTTTACTATGGTTATATAAGATGTTAATATTTGAGGGAACTGGATGAAGGGCGTATGAGAATGCTATGCATTCTTTTTTGAATTTTTGTAAATCTGAAATTATTTTAAAATCAAAAGTTAAATAAATATTTAAAAATGAAAAATAATGTAAAAATAAATTATAGTGCACCTTATACAATGCAATTTTATGCAAATATTAAAATTAGGATTTTCTCAAAATAGTAGAGTGCCAATGAGGAAATTCTCACACTATATTAAATTATCATACTATATTTAAATTATATTAAATCCTACATATATTACATTATATATGTGCATTGTGTGAATTTTATGTTCTATATAATCCCAAATTTATAGAATATATTTATAAACATGCATATAGCAAATCAAGAAGAAGAAATTAGGTAATATTGGAAATTAGAAGACAAAATCATCTTTGCAGATGCTGTCGCACTCTACTTAAGACATGTAAGAGAATCAACTATAAGAACTACTAAGACAATTCAGTAGGTGGTTACAAAATAAATGTATAGGATTTACAGTACTCTATATGCCCGCAATAACATGTTAGAAAATACAATTTTAAAAGGAGATCCCATTTAGAAACAAAACCTATAGAACACTAGAAATAATACTTCCATTTTATTTATTTATTTATTTTATTCATTTTATTTATTTTAGAAATAATACTTCCATTTTAGCAAGAGGGATTTGAAATCCAAGTTAGTAAGGAGCTTGTATGGAGCTGGTACAATTGGTTAAATATGGGGAAAAATGAAGTGAATAGGTTTATTGCAATGCATGTCATTATAAATAATCTATGAATTAAATAGTTAAATGTGAAATATTTCAATACTGGAGGCAAATAAGCTAGAAATAAAATAGGTGAATTTTTAATCTCAGAGGAAGGAATAATTCTTTGAGCATAAATAAGAAGTTACAAAGGAAAAGACTATATCAAAAATTTTAAATTTATTTCAACAAGACCATAAATAAGAATAAAACATAAATGACAAATTTGAAAAAAAATATGGTTGTAATATCTGTGATAAGCAAGAATCAATACCTTAATGTATAAAAAGAGGTCTTAAAAATAAGCGGAAGGAAAGATCCCAACAGACCAAAAAATGGTACATAAAATTTTATTTTATTTCTCCAAAACTGGCAAAAAGGAAGTATAGTATGTGAAGTGAGTTTGGTGATGATACAGAGAGATAAGGCCATTTGCATAATATGTCATGGATGATGATATAAATTAATACAATTTCTCTGAAGTGCCTACAGTGTTACTGTAGCACTGTGGCATAGTTTGAAGTTGGGTAGCATGATGCCTCCAGCTTTGTTCTTTTGTTTAGGATTGTCTTGGCTATTCAGGCTCTTTTTTGGTTCCATATGAAGTGAAATTTGGCAATATAACAAGAGCCTTAAAGAACTGCATTCACTGTGATCCAATAATTTCCAATTATCCTAAGCATATATCAGAACAGTTCCCAGAAATAAGGATAACACACCCTACTATTTATAAGAGCAAAATATTGAAGATAGTATAAATATCCAAAAGTAAGGAAATGGTTAAATAAACTCTGATCTATTTATAAGACAGCATACAGCCATGAAAAATTATGTCAGAATTAGTAATAAATGTACTTAGGAAATATAGTAAAATACAATATAATGTAAAGTAATAAAAATCATGCTGTAAAATAGTAATAAAGTATGATCTCAACTTTTTAAAAATATATATTTACAATATATAAATACCCCTAACATTTGGCCTACTTTGAATGTAACAAGAAAGTCTATTTTGAATATACTGGGAACCTGCTAAGAAGAAAAGAAATGTAAATATAATTTAAATTGAAATGCTGTGATATTTTAACAAAAGAAAATTCAATTATATGACTTGGAATCATGTTCGTGTGCATGTGTGCGTGTGTGTCTGTGTGTGTATGGTTAATTCATTTATTCAATAAATATATGTTTTCTGATTTTTAAATTTTAAGTTCTGGGGTACATGTGCAAGTTATGTAGGTTTGTTACATAGGCAAATGCACGCCATGGTGGTTTGCTGCACAGATCATTCCGTCACTTAAGTATTAAGCCCAGCATCCACTAGCTATTCTTCCTGATGTTCTCCCTCCTCCCCACCCACCCTCCAACAGGCATCAGTGTGTATGCCCCTCCATGTGTCCATGTGTTCTCATTGTTCAGCTCCCACTTGTAAGTGAGAACATGCAGTATTTGATTTTCTGTTCCTGCATTAGTTTGCTGAGGATAATGGCATCATCCATGTCCCTGCAAAAGGACATGATCTTGTTCCTTTTTATGGCTTCATAGTATTCCATGGTGCATATGTACCATATTTTTTTATCCAATCTATCATTGATGGGCATTTAAGTTGATTCCATGTCTTTGCTATTGTGAATAGTGCTGCAATGAATATACGTGTGCATGTATTTTTATAATAGAATGATATATAGATTTATATTCCTGTGGCTATATACCCAGTAAGGGGATTTCTGGGGCAAATGGTATTTCTGCCTCTGGGTCTTTGAGGAATCACCACACTATCTTCCACAATGGTTGAACTAATTTACACTCCCAGCAACAGTGTAAAAGGGTTCCTTTTTCTCCACAATCTCACCAGCATCAGTTGCTTTTTGACTTTTTAATCATAGCCATTCTGACTGGTGTAAGATAGTATCTCATTGAGGTTTTGACTTGCATTTCTCTAATGATTAGAGATGTTGAGCTTTTTTCATAGGTTTGTTGGCCACATGTATGTCTTCTTTTGAGAAGTGTCTGTTCATGTCCTTTGCCCACTTTTTAATGGGTGTTTTTTTCTTGTAAATTTAAGTTCCTTGTAGAAGCTGGATATTAGACCTCTGTCAGATGGACAGATTGCAAAAATTTTCTCCCATTCTGTATGTCATCTGTTCACTCTGATGATAGTTTCTTCTGAGGTGGAGAAACTCTTTAATTAGAACCCATTTGTCAATTTTTGCTTTCATTGCAATTGCTTTTGGCATCTTCATCATGAAATCTTTGCCCATGTCTATGTCCTGACTGGTATTGCCTAGATTTTCTTCTAGAGTTTTTATAGTTTTGGGTTTTACATTTAAGTATTTAATACATCTTGAGTTAATTTTTGTATATGGTGTAAGGAAGGGGTCCAGTTTAAATTTTCTGCATATGGCTAGCCAGTTCTCCCAGCACCATTTATTAAATAGGAAATCATTTCCTCACTGTTTGTTTTTGTCAGTTTTGTTGAAGATCAGATGGTAGAAGGTGTGTGATCTTATTTCTGGGTTCTCTATTCTGTTCTGTTGGTCTGTGTGCCTGTTCTTGTACCAGTACCAAGATGTTTTGGTTACTGTAGCTTTCTAGTATAGTTTGAAGTCATGGCATGTGATGCCTCCAGCTTTGTTCTTTTTGCTTAAGATTGTCTTGGCAATTTGGGCTCTTTTATTGGTTCCAAATGAATTTTTAAATAGTTTCTTTTAATTCTATGAAGAATATCAATGGTAGTTTAATGGAAATAACATTGAATCTATAAACTACTTTGGGCAGTAAAACCATTATGTTTTTTTCTTTCTTTCTTTCTTTCTTTTTTGTTTGTTTGTTTGTTTGTTTGTTTGTTTGTTTGAGATGGAGTTTTGCTCTTGTTGCCCAGGCTGGAGTACAACGGCATGATCCCAGCTCACTGCAACCTCTGCCTCCTGGGTTCAAGCGATTCTCCTGCCTCAGACTTCCAAGTAGCTGGGATTACAGGCATGCACCACCACGCCCAGCTAATTTTGTATTTTTAGTAGAGACAGGGTTTCTCCATGTTGGTCAGGCTGGTCTTGAACTCCTGACCTCAGGTGATCCGCCCGCCTCGGCCTCCCAAAGTTCTGGGATTACAGGCATGAGCCACCGTGCCTGGCCTCAGTAGGACCATTTTCACAATATTGATTTCTCCTGTCCATGAGCATGGAATGTTTTTCCATTTGTTTGTGTCCTCTCTGATCAGTGGTTTATAGTTCTCCTTAAAGAAGTCCTTCACTTCCCTTGTTAGCTGTATTCCTAGGTATTTATTCTTTTTGTGGCAATTGTGAATGAGAGCTCATTCATGATTTGGCTCTCTGCTTGTCTGTTGTGGTGTATTGGAATGCTACCGATTTTTTGCACATTGATTTTGTATCCTGATATTTTGCTGAAGTGCTTATCAGCTTAAGAAGCTTTTGGGCTGAGACAATGGGGTTTTCTATATATTGGATCATGTCATCTGCAAACAAAGATAGTTTGAATTTCTCTCTTCCTATTTAAATACCCTTAATTTCTTTCTTTTGCCTGATTGCCCTGGCTAGAACTTCCAATGCTACATTGAATAGGAGTGGTGAGAGAGGGCATCCTTGTCTTGTGCCAGTTTTCAAGGAGAACGGGCTTTTGTCCATTCAGTATGATATTGTCTGTGGGTTTGTCAGAGATGGCTCTTATTATTTTGAGGCATGTTCCTTCAATATCTAATTTATTGAGAGTTTTTAACATGAAGGGATGTTAAATTTTATCAAAGGCCTTTCCTGCATCTATTGAGATAATCATGTGTTTTTGTCTTTAGTCCTGTTAATGTGATGAGTCACATTTATTGATTTGCTTATTTTGAACCAACCTTGCATCCTGGGAATGAAGCCTACTTGATCATGATGGATAAGCTTTTTGATATGCTGGTGGATTCGGTTTGCCAATATTTTGTCGAGAATTTTGCAGTGATGTTCATCAAGAATATTGGCCTGAAGTTTTCCTTTTTTGTTGTTATCTGCCAGGTTTTGGTATGAGGATGATGCTGGTCTCATAGAACGAGTTAGGGAGGAGTCTCTCCTTTTCAGTTGTTTGGAATAGTTTCAGTAGAAATAATACCAGCTTTTCTTTGTACCTCTGGTAGCATTCAGCTGTGAATCTGTCTGGTCCTGGGCTTTTTTTGGCCAGTAGGTTATGTATTTCTTTCTCAATTTCAGAACTTGTTATTGATCTATTCACGGATTCAATTTCTTCCTGGTTCAGTCTTGGGAGGGTGTATGTATCCAGGAATTTATCCATTTCTTCTAGATTTTCTAGTTTATGTGCATAGAGGTGTTTATAGCATTCTCTGATTATTGTTTATATTTCTGTGGAGTCAGTAGTGATATCCCCCTTATCATTTCTGATTGTGTTTATTTGGATCTTCTATCTTTTCTTCTTTATTAGTCTAGCTATCTAGCTAGCAGTCTATTTTGTTAACTTTTTCAAAAAAACAGCTCCTGGATTTACTGATTTTTGAAGGGTTTTTCATGTCCCTATCTCCTTCAGTTCAACTCTAATCTTGGTTATTCCTTATCTTCTGCTAGCTTTAGGGTTTGTTTGCTCTTGGTTCTCTAGTTCTTTTACTTGTGATGTTAGGTTGTTAACTTGAGATCTTTCAAGCTTTTGAATGTAGGCCTTTAGTGCTATAAATTTCCCTCTTGACACTGCTTTAGCTGCATTCCAGAGATTCTGATATGTCATTTCTTTTTTCTCCTTAGTTTCAAAAAACTTCTTAATTTCTGCCTTAATTTAATTATTTACCCAAGAGTCATTTAGAAGCAGGTTGTTCAGTTTCCATGTAGTTGTGTGGTTCTTAGTGAGTTGCTTATTCTTGAGTTCTAATTTGATTATGTTGTGGTCTGAGAGGCTGTTTGTTATGACTTCAGTTATTTTGCATTTGCTGAGGAGTGTTTTATTTCCAATTATGTGATCAATTTTAAAGTGCCATATGGTGATGAGAAAAATGTATAGTCTGTTGTTTTTGGGTGGAGAGTTCTATAGATATCTATCAGGTCTGCTTGACCCAGAGCTGAGTTCAGGCCTTAAATATCTTTGTTAATTTTCTATCTTGATGACCTGTCTAATATTGTCAGTGTGGTGTTAAAGTCTCTGATTATTATTGTGTGGGAGTCTAAGTCTCTCTGAAAGTCTCTAAGAACTTGCTTTCTAAATCTGGGTGCTCCTGTATTGGGTGCACATATATTTAGGATAGTTAGCTCTTCCTGTTGAATTGAACCCTTTCTCAGAGGTTTTGTTCATTCCTTTTCATTCTTTTTTCTCTATTCTTGTCTGCCTGTCTTATGTCAGAAAGATAGTCTTCAAGATCTGAGTCTCTTTCCTCCACTTGGTTTATTCTGCTATTAATACTTGTGATTGCATTGTGAAGTTCTTGTACTGTGTTTTTAAGCTCTAATAGGTCAGTTGTGTTCCTCTCTAAATGGGCTATTTTTGGCTGTCAGCTCCTGTATTGTTTTATCGTAATTCTTAGCTTCTTTGCATTGTGTTACCACATGTTCATTTAGCCTCAGCAAAGTTCATTATTACCCCCCTTTTGAAGCCTACTTCTGTCATTTCAGCCATCTCAGCCTCAACCCAGTCCTGAGCCCTTGCTGGAGAGGTGTTGCAGTCATTTAGAGGAAAAGGGGCATTCTGGTTTTTTGAGTTTTCAGTATTTTCATGTTTTTTTTCTCATTTTTGTGGGCTTATCTAACTTCAATCTTTGAGGTTGCTGACCTTTGGATGGGGTTTTTTGTTTTGTTTTGTTTTGTTTTCTTGTTTTCTATTTGTTTCTTTGTTTGTTTGAATAGTCAGGCCACTCTTCCATAGGGCTGCTGTAGTTTGCTGGGGGTCTGCTCCAGATGCTGGTTGCCTTAATTTTTCCCGTGCCTGGAGGTATCACCAATGAAGGTTATGAAACAGCAAAGACGGCAGCCTGCCCCTTCCTCTGGAAGCTTCATGCCAGGGGGGATGAAGGAGGTGGCTGGAGACCCTGGTTGGCAGGTCTCAGCCATTCAGGAGAAATGGGATCAGGCATCTGCTTAAAGAAGCAGTCTGGCTGCTTTTTGGTAGAGCAGCTCTGTTGTGTTGGAGATCCCTTCAGCCCTTGAATTGGGCTTTCCAAGGCCCACAGGTTGGAGCAGCTGAGAAGCTCAAATGGTCAAGGTAGTGGCCTGCTCTGCCCTCAGCCACTCCGTCCCAGGGAGAACACTAGCCGAGGTAGCCGGTGGCCCCCACTGGGAGGACCCCCCTTCTCGCCCCCCCACCACCCCCGCAAGGAGGAGTGGGATTGGGATCCCGCTTAAAGAAGCAGTCTGGCCATGCCTCCACCAAACAGCTGCGTCGTGGTGGGGAACCACCTCTGCCCCTGTTGGCTCGGACTCTCCATAGCCTGAAGGCTGGAACAGCTGAGTTGTACAACCAGCCCAGGTGGCAGTCCTCCCCTTCCCCGGGCAGTCCGTTCCATCTATTTAATAAATATTTATCAGATGCCTATTGTGTGGTAAGCACTCTGATAGGCTCTAGAGATACATGTTATCTCAGTCTGTTTGTGCTGCTATAACAGAGCACCACAGACAGTAATTTATAAAGAACAGGAATTTTATTTTCTCACAGGCCAGGAAGTCCAAGATCAAGGTGCCAGCATCTGGCACAAGAACACAAAATTCTCTTCATGGTATTTACATTCCGGTGCAGCAGATATATTAAACATATAAATACAAAAATAAATACTGTTTAAAATTACAGACTTAAGTACTTTGAAGAAATATTACAGGTTTACTACTACAGTACAAAATGGGCTACTGATTTGTTGGGAGGGTGAGAGTGATAGGCAGAACATACAGAAAGTATTAAAAGTTATTTTCCAAAATTGTAAAAGTGGTTGTTATTTTAATATAATCATTAATGATTATTAGCAATTCTTCCTTTTTATCATTTTTGCTATATTTTCCAAAATTTTAGCAATTAACATATGCTATGGTTTAAATGTGTCCCCCAAAATTTATGTGTTAGAAACTTAGCCCTCAATCCAACAGTGTCAGAAGATAGGACCTAATGGAAGATATTTAAGTCATGAGGGCTCTGCCCTCAGGAATAGATCAATGCCATTATTAAAGAGAAAGTTTGGCTCCCTTTGGCCTCTTTGCCCTTCCACCACGTGAGTACACAGTGTTATGGAGCATACAGCAGGGAGACCCTCAAAAGATGCCAGTACCTTGATCTTGGACTTTCTAGCCTCCAGAACTCTGAGAAAATACGTTTCTATTCTTTATAAATTATGCAGTCTGTGGTACTCTGGCACAAACAGATTAATACAACATGTATTACTTTTATAATCTTAGAAATAAACAGTAAATGTAAAAGAAAACATAACAAAAATAAACTAGATATTTTAAATATTGCTGAATAGTTTGCCAAGGCCCCAAAAGTCATACTGTCTAACAAGGGCAAGCTGACCTTTGGGTCCTTGAGTACACTCACCCTAGTGGCCTGATGAAGTGGCCGCCAACATGAAGGAACACCTAAACAATAGCTTTGTCCAAACTACTCTTCAAGTTCTCTTGTAAAGTTGATGTCAGGACATAAATACCTTCATCATTTATTTACCTCAAATGCAAAAATGAAGTCTATTTTGAATATAATAGGGACCTGTTAAAAACAAAAATTTTAAAACATAATTGAAATTGAAATACTATGACATAGACCAAAAGGAAAATTCAGTTATATTATACTATCTGAAATCATCTTTGGAGTAACCTCCAATTGGATGAAAAAGATACTGGGATGATTTGTGTACACCGGTGTCTTCCTATGTTTATAGAACATAGATTCAAAAGAGAAATGTGACAGATGCTAGATAGAAAGAAGTCTGGTTCAAATAAGGTGTGATTCTTAAAGATCAGTTAATGCCACCAGACAAAAATATATTGTAGCCCAGGCAATGCAAAAGTATGGTGTAGGACCATTTATCATAATCTCAAATTGAAAAATCCACAGTGAAAAAAGGACCAGAAATCAGAAGGCTTTTAATCAACTGATCTAGTTGCTGCAGTAACTAGGGGTAGGCCCAAATATTGTGGTTTTCCTGCTGGACGCACATATAGAATTGAAATTTCCTAGCCCATTTAGAAAAATTAACTTTAATCTTCCAATTTGGATTGATCAAGTCCTTGCTTCAGCCAGTGAAATGTGTGAGGAAGTGAGGAGTGGCCAGTGTCACTGTGATCATGGAAGCCTGGGTAGGGATGGAGGCTCCAGCAATGAGTCATCACAATGAGCAGAGTTCCCGTGACCTGAGTCAGGCATGCTGCATGGCCAGTAAATATGTTTTGTTTTTTGTTTTTTGTTTTTTTCTTTTTTGGCAAGCCATTGAGATTTAGGGGTTATTTGTAACTACAGCAAAACCTAACCCATACTGTTATTAATGCAAACCACCAGCTGTCCTTGATCAAATTTACTTAAACCTTTATTTCTAGTGATAGGAAGTTTAGTAGCTGGTATCCAGCTAGTTACAAAAGACAGACTGTTCCAAGCTTCACAGGACAGTGAGAAAGAATAGCTCATAAAGAATAGCACAGGCTTTGAAGTCAGAAAAAAATTTTAAAAAGAAAAGAAAACTGTGTTCAGGTGCTGGCTACTACTACCTCAGCACAGGGACATGTCATTAACCTCTCTGAGCACCAATTCTTTTTCACCTGTAAACAGTATAATATTGGCAAGTATTTATCAGGGTCATTGTAAAAATAAAATAAGTCAATGCATGTAAAACATTTGACACATTAGGTGGAAGATAGCGAGTGGTCAATATATGACTATCAATATCATTATTATTATTATTACTTCTCAGTATGTATTTATAACCTTACTTTTTAAAATACCATAAAGCCAATAACTTGTTAACTTTATGGCTCTCCACATGGTAGGGATGCACATTTTTTGCATACAAATATACATTTCTTGATTCCTCTGTCCCTCCTCAATGGAAGAAAATAGTGTTGGTAGAAACAAAGTATCAGCCTCAATTTGTACATATACTCAAGTTCATGTAAGTCATTACAATGTGTTTTTGAGAGTTGCCACTTCACTGCTCTATAAAAAGCTTCCTGGAAAAAGTATTAACAGATGGCCTCTTACTCTCGGAGACTGTTAGTAGCACACCAGATGGCAACCCAAATGAGAAGATTCAACTTAAATTCTCCAAACTGAAGGAAATGTGACACTAGCTTTTTTAATAGGTGTGCAGCATTAGAGGTAGCAAAGAAATTATCAGTTAAAATAGAAACTCATTTTCTTGCCTTATTTCAATGTGGAATCCAGCCTTCATTGTCTTATCAGTTTGCAGACAGTTCACGTGAAACACTGGAAATAGTTTTCACAACATAAACAGAAATTTTATTTGAAATGACTGACAGATTTATGAGGTGTAAGGCTAGTCTAAAGAATGAGAATGCAAGGCAGTGCCCCAGGGATGAGTGCTCTATGCTGCGGACACTCCTTTCTCTCCAGGATCAGTCATTAGTTTGCAACATTTTGGAATTATTGTTAGAAATATTAGGTTTCAGCTCAACTGTCAAACTTTCGACAGGGAAGTAATAACTGTTTTAAGATACTTGTCATCCTTCCAGAAGTCCAACTCACCCACTGATGAATAAAAGCCTGGACTGGGTGTGGTTCCCTTCCCAGGCATTGGTACAGTACAAATTCTACCAGATGCCTTTGCATTCTGAAATAATGTTGTCCCATTAGGGTTTAAGAGAGGCCAACAGTTTTCGTGTTAGGGTAGAGATGTGTCCTTCTGCCGTATTAGATTATATGAGTCAATGAGGATGTTTTGGCCATTAGAGAACTCCTAAATATAAACATTTTAAGAGGATTATGAACCAACTTTGGGGACAAAGTTGACATTCAACTATTCCATTC
Source organism: Homo sapiens (assembly GCF_000001405.40). NCBI lineage: Eukaryota > Metazoa > Chordata > Mammalia > Primates > Hominidae > Homo > Homo sapiens. The sequence continues at coordinate 149,454,888 of NC_000023.11, forward strand.
AAACCCCCTTGGATCTTCAGACATTTACACCAATGGGGGCACATTGTAAAGATAGTTTTTTGGCAAAGTGGCTGGAAATATGGTCCAATGCATGAATACACAACATTAAAATATGCATATATACTCTGAACCAGTCTTTTGGGAAATGTGAATCACAGCCTCCCTGACTACACAAAACTTTAACCGAGAGTTAAACCTGGGAATTTTTCAGCCTGGACCACTGCTGTCTTCTCCTGTCCAAGTCCTAGCTCAGGGCTGGGGTAGACACAAACAAAACATGACTGCCACAAACCACATCAAATTTACAGGAACTCCTTCAACTTTTCTTGTGAGTTCCTGGAACAACTAGAGTCAATGAAAAGCACAGATTGGGTCCATCTCTGCTCTCATGAATCCTCCATACCTGTGGAGCTAAGATTGCAGCATCTTAAAATTAGAAGAAACACACGTGGCTCCAGGGCTTAAGGGAACAGGTATTGTCTAAAGAAAGAACGTATCAATTGAGCGGGCTAACCAGCATGGAAAACTGAATTCAAAGAAGCACAAGTTGTCATGTGTATATCCAGCACTGTCTAAGGGAGAGAGATCCTGGATCTGGAGGCCACTGAGAAGAGGATCTTTACTCTAGGACAGGGACAGATCACTGAGTTCCCTCATTGATGGAGTAAAAAGTTCACCCTCGGGCCACTCACCTCTCCAAGTAATATTTGGCTAAATGATTCTATTTCCCATATCTCTGGATATTGAGAAGTGAACACAAAAGCATTCTGGTTATTGGAAAGAAGGAAGCCCTGTTATAAATTATTTTGCCTTATTCATCACTGTCTGGTATTTCAGTTAGCATGAGTCTATCCTCATCTCTGGCACCCCAAGACGGTTTAAAACTAAGAACCAGGCCTGAGAACTGGAGTTTTTAACCTGGAATCCATGGTCCTTTAGGACAAGTCTTTGGAAGCTCAGTGGACGCCCCCCTTAAACTATATGTATAAATGTGTGTAGATGAGCATATAAGCATGTGGGAGTGTGGGGCAAACCATAGGTTCTCTCAGATTTCCAAATTGGTCCAAGACTCAAGAAAGATTAAACCCACTTCTCTAGAATGTGGTGACCTAACCAAGAAGGTTACTCAAGAAAGGTTAAACCCACTTCTCTAGAATGTGGTGACCTAACCAAGAAGGTTACTCAAGAAAGGTTAAACCCACATTCTCTAGAATGTGGTGATCTAACCAAGAAGCTGCTCTTAAGAAACCTTTCTTACCACCAACCATAACCCTTAGATGGCACCTATGTGCCTAAATGGCATCATCATTGCATCCCCCAAATTGCAACAGTGCAATACCTAAACCAAGCCAGTCATGATAATTTTGATTATGTCTAAACATTGTCATGAAAGATTTTACCACTTTCCTCAGTTATTCTTCCTCAAACTCAAATAATTATCCTTTTATGTGCTACCAATTCCTCGCCTTACAGATGAGTTTGTGGTTTTTGTACTGCTAAGTCTTGGTATAATTGGCTGATATTTCAGGAATTAGAAGAGAGGTCTGGTGGCAGGCTAGTTCTGTTCAACCCAAAAATGTCTGAGTTTTATTTGCCATGTGATGTATTAGGGCTCAAAAAGAGGTTACATTAATCTCATAAAATTAAATAAAAACATGATTGCCAATTAACAGCGTAGGATAATGTATAAACATGCAAACAGATATCCTCTTAGACAAAGAAAGCATTTCATTAGAGCCAAATACACTGATGACAACATCACGTGCTTACCACGGTGGTGGATGCAAGCAACATCCCACAGAGACAGCCTTCCTCTTGGCTTCAGCATTGGCTGCCATCCAAAATTCACAGACTATAAACAATTAAAAAAAAAAAAACTTTCCATAGAGAAAAGTTAGGGATAGAACTCACTTGGGGTCCCCAACTTTCTGAGGAAGTGCTCATGTCATAAGTCAAAGCGACATTTTCATCAGCCCAAGGTGGCAGGCAGGATAAACGACCTGGCCGTGAATGCACACGTTGAGAGGGAACAGTGAAAAGGGCCCTCAGGAAATACCTGTCGAATGCTGACTCCTAACCCAACAGGGCTGGGCTGGAGAGGAAGGCCCCATTGAAGGTGTTAAACCACAGTGGGAAGCTTAGCTCCTCCAATCCTGTCTCACTCCAATGAAACACAACGGCTTCATTGTTGACTTTCTGTTGAAACAAGTCTCTGGTTTTACCAGCAGCCTAGTTCAGGGAATGTGCTGGCTGGACTTTTATGTTATATAGAACTAAGAAGGTTGAGGATGACCCTAAGTCAGGTCCTAGGCACTAAAGCCTAATGCTGGTCTAGTCCAGGGGATTACAATTTTCTCTGTGATTACTGCTGCTTCAGGTGAGCAGATGTCCACATATTTTACACCATATTTTTCTGAGGTGTTGATATTTTCTAGCTTTTGAAGATGTAAATTTGTGATGTGTGAAATGAAAAGTACAGTACCAGCTTCTTTGAAAACCTGAAAAAAAAATCATTTCAGAAATTCTTTCCTCTTGAGGTCACTGGGTTGAATCCACCTCAGTCTGGTTGTTACCAAACCGCATTACTAAGGTTTAACTTCTAAATACCAAAGTTTCAGGGCATCGAGAGAAGAGGGGAGAAAGTGGTACTGAGGCACTGAATGGAGACAGAGGGGAGATGGGTTGACCAGAACTCTCAGCAGCTAGGCCAATTGGGTTCTAGATTCCAAAGAAAGAGGTCCATTATTGCTGGGATGCCCAGAATTATTGTCCCAAATCCACTAGAAGCTTGTGGGAATTAACACTCTTTATTCTTTTTTTAAGCTGTGAAATATCTGCAGCGTGTTCTTGGGATAAAGAAGGAGAAAGAGTCACCTCCTCCTCCCCAGTGAATCACAGTCATGCCCTGCGCAAGAGTGTATTCAGAGGTCTGGTCTCTGGGAGCAGAGTGGAGAGTGGAGAGTTAGAGGTAATGATGGGAACCCATTCGTAATGATAGAGTTAGGGATTAAAGAAGGCTATACATAATACAGATCTCCCCATGAAAGGAAGTATTTCTGGAAAATTTCATGGGCACTTTTGGATCCCAAATTAGAACTTCTTCTGTGGCAGTGATGGATGGAGAAGATCAAAACCATGTGAATCTGCAGATACTGGGTATTGGGCTATAGACTTTTTCCCACACACCAACCTCCAGTGCCTCCATCAGTTACAAATGGCTACGTGTTATTAAACAGTCGCTGAAACCACATATTAAATAAATACATATGCAAAGAACAAAGGGCTACTGAATATGTAAAGTGGCTGGCACAGTATAAAGAGTCAACACATGGTTGATTGATATTGCTATTATTGAATAATCGATTGAAACTGTGAACAAGTTCTAACACTGCACTGAGCTCCCTGAGAGCAGAAACCTCTTGGTATCTCCTACAGTACAGAGCACAGTTCCTGAAAGATCGCATTAATATAGTCAGTGTTCAGTGAATGTATTTCAGTGAATACATGGATTGAAAAGAAAGAATAAATAAATGAATAAAAGAAAAAACACTGCATCAGCATAACATGAAAAGAACATTCATCCCCCTTATTGAATCAATGCTGTTGATTTTACCTCCTGAAATTTTAAAAGACATTCTTCTACTTTTCTTTAACATCACTGCCACCATCCTATCATCAAGTCAAGCCTGGCCTCTTCAAAAATTTCTTAACTGGTCTCTCTTCCACCTATCTCAATTCTCCTTCCAATTTATGCTCCACTCTGAAGCTAAAGAGATATATTTAAAATTTATCTGATCATCCTGTCACCCTCATTCTAAAAACACCACAATAAGTTCATTGCACTTGTGACAAATACAAAACTCTTTATCATGGTGTGACAGAATAAAGATGGATGCAAATTCTTTGCAACCTCACCCCCACCCAACCTCATTGAGAGGTGGAATCTACTTTCCCTCCCCTTTTATCTGGCCTGGACTTATTGACTTGCTGAATTAATAGAATGTGGCAGAAGTGATGTTCTGGGACTTCTGAAGCTATATCACCATCTGCCCAGCTTTCTTAGAGAGCTCACTCTGGAGAAAGCCAGCTGTCATATAAAAAGGCCAAATGTCCTGAGATGGCCATACCGCAGGGTAAAATGCAGTGTGGAGACAGAGGTCAAAGAATCCTGAAATTTCAGACATGTAAGCAAAGAAGCCAACTGAAAAGTGGATTCTCCAGCCCTATCCCCCACAAGATGATGCCATGTGGATCACAGGCAAACCAACCAGCCACCCTTCCGAGATTTCTGACTCATAAAATTATGAGCAAAATAAAATGGCTGCTTTAAGCCACTAAGTTTGGGGGTAGTTTGTTATGCAGTGATAGATAACTAGAACGAATGTCTTAAAAGATCACACATGACCCAGCCCCTGTTCTTTATCCCCAGACTTGTTGCATGCCATTATTCCCTCACTCCACATCCACCCGTACTGGTTATCTGTGATATCTTCTGTCTCAAGGCTTTGCACACACAATGTCTCACTGCCACATAACCACCGTTGTCCTCCACCATTTGTCTGACTTTTTCTTCCAGGTCTTAATATTATTTCAGGGAAGCCCTCCCTAAACCCCAAGACTATGTCAGGTCTCACTGTTCTACTCCCATAATAGCACTTGCCACACTATCTTGTCATCATTTATAGGTCTGCCTTCCTCTCTCAGATGAAAGTTCTTCAAGAACAAAAATTGTCTTCTTCATTAACCCAGCATTGAGCATACTGCTTAATACACATAGCTGCTCAACAAATGTTGATTAGTTAGCTGATTTGAGGAATGAATTAATGTATAGGTGCATGATGTAATTCCTGGAGAAACAGAGGAACAAATGTCAGAAAATGCCAGGATCTAATCTGAGCTCAGTGATCCCTTTCTGGTGGACCTGGAGGAAATTATCAGCCTCCCCATGTGCACAGCACTTTAATGTTTGTAAGTCACTATTCCATCCATCATTTCATTTCCTTTAAGTTAGCCTCTTTGGCCTGTTTATCTCTCAAATGGAAATAATACTTACAAATTATCTGTCATATGGGAGGAATATTATAGAATTGGTATGAAAATGAAGTAAGATTATGAAAATGAACATGATTTTCTTTAAAAATACAATATTTTCTAATGGATGTGGAATATCTCCACAAATATATCCCATAGGCACCTCAAACTCAATGTATCCAAAACATCATCTTCCCACTAAACCTCCTCCTTCTTTTTCCTCTGTCTCAGAGATTGGCCCCACCACGTACCTAGTCACCTGAACCAAAAAGATGAGCATAATCTTAGAATCTTCTCCCTATTCTTCAGGATGGAAAAAATTGATAAACTCCATCCATAATTGAAAAACTCCAGCAGATAGCTCTCCATAATGGGATCTGTACAAAGGCATATCATCTAAGGCTGAAGTCTTTGTTGTATTTGAATCCTAAGTAAAATGGACTTTGAACATTCACCTATCCTAAAAGTTCTCTAGACCAGGCAGAATTTGTAGTGTCTCCATGAGCAAAGTCTGGCTAGCAAGGGTTTTTTTTGTTTGTTGGTTGGTTTGCTTGTTTTTGTAAATATCAGGCCAACCCCTAGAACACTAGGACTACAGAGACTTTCCAAGATCAGCCAGTGCAACCCCTTCTCCATTTTACATATGGCAAATGAGGGCCAAAGAGGTGGAATGACTTGTTCAGGATCATTGCACAAGTCAGTGGCTGCCAATCCAGTGGCTTTCTTCCCATTGCACTAACATAGAAACAATAGCATTAAGTTACCACTTTAGTCATTTAAAATGGAAGTCTGGCTGAACAAGAGAAGGCAAAGGTGTATTTAGCAGAAACAGGATGATAAAACATATTGAAGGGGAGGAATGGATCATCTAGGAATGTTATTATTCCTTTGTCCTTAAAAAGGGAATCACTGGCCATCTCTTCTAGAGAGTCAGCCACCTGAAGGCAGGCCCTCACTGGATGATCACCGATATCCCTTCTATCTATGTGATTTTAGTGAAGACTTGGAATACCTGAGTCATCAGTGCCAAGTCTCCCCTCTCACAAGAAGTAAACCGACTAATGTTTCCAAATGTGTAATACAATTTGGGGTCTGTTTTTCAGGTTCTGTTTCTGTGGTTGTTCTGGAATCTGATATCTGTATGTGGGTTGGAGGTGGGTCTGAGGGGTGAACAGTTGTTGACAGGGCAGGGAACCATCCTCTTCATCTGTGCGATGCTGATGTCATTTACTTAAATAAGGGCTAAGAAGTGTCCATTGTATGTTGTGACAAGGTCATTTGGAGTGGAGCAGAGTGCAGTGATGGGAGTTGATGGCAATGGTCCGAAGGCTGAGTCTCAGCTATGGGGAAGTAGAAGACCAGCATAGCCACATGACAGACTCATTCGGCTCCTGAGGAATAAGACAACCCAGGCAGTTGCTGCTGAAGAAGGCCACACTGTACCCAGATGTTGAGAATCCCTGTGGCTAAGACAGAGGAGAATACAGCATTATAATACATTTTGGACTTTAATTTCTCTGGACATAGAAATTCTAAGCTTTTGACTTTCACTTACAAGGAGAAGATATTTCAGTTTTGAACCTTAACTTCTTTAGGTCTTAACTCTAAAAAATAAGAAGATTTAATTGTGAGCTTTAATTTCCCTCCATGAATTAGATCATGGGGGAGGAGGATTACATCCAAATTCAGGACATCTCAATGTTGCCAGCACTTCATTGTTAGAGAATCTTTACTTTGCCATTTGACACCAATAAAGAATCTCTAAAGAGCTCTCCTAGATAAGATGAATGAACATAATTTGTAATGGAAAATAGGCAGTTAATTTTCATCCTTGACTATCCAGCAGTCTTGAAGTGAAGTTAATTTGCCTATTGTTCTGACCCATTCTAGAGCCTTCTGAAAGCAAAAATCTACATTGCTCCCCAAGAATCCTAGGAGGTTACTCAAAGGACCAATGGTTGGTATTGGGGGAGTGTGAGCTCAGGACTACTGAGAGACTACTAATCTGCCCTTCCTGACTGAGGAGGACAGCTGCACCTCAGATGACCTCAACAATAACACAAACTTGTTAAGAGAGCAAAAGCCAGGAAGGATTAACAGGGAATAAGAAGGAGTAAGAAACGGCGACAAGTAACTCAGTCTGTCAAGGAGATGAAACTAAGGGTTAAGGAATCGTCAAGAGGTGAGAAGGGGCAGTTATTATCCTAGTTTCTCCTGCTTTGCAATGTCTGTAACAGTCTCTCTCTCCTTCCTTCCTCCAGACACCCCATGCACTGGAATACTCTATGTAACAGACTTACTTAAGGCTTGGGGATAGTGGAGGGGAATTACTGCACAGAACAGAAAAGGGAACAATGCAGAATTGAAGATTAGACATCTCAAAGTTCCTTGGTTTCCCTACCACAATGTTTGTCCTTGGGTATCTTTCTTCTTAGACTCCAATCTCCTCTCTTGTTGCTTGTGTCTGTTCTCTCTATAGAAATCATTTTCCTACCTCTCCTCTTGTACAAATTTCAGAGCCCCATCTCATCCACTCTCTATGACATTTGTCAGCAAACTTTTTCTGTAAAGGGCAAAACAGTAAATATTTTATGTTTTGCACACCATAAGATCTTTGTCATCACTGCTGAACTCTGCTTTTATGGAGCAAAAGCAGCCAAAGATAATGCATAAATGAATCGACATGGCTGTGTTCCAATAAAGCCTCATTTACAAAAGCAAGTGGTGGGCTACATTTGGCCCTTGGGCCATAGTTTACCATCCCGTGCTCCAGCAGAAAATTGAAAATTGAAAATTCTCCTCAAGTTCTTCAGTTCCTTTATTACACATGGTGATTGAACTCTTCTTTATCTCAACTCCTCTCATTACGTTCTTCCTTCTGGGGCCTCCCTGTGTGTACTAAAGGGGAGTATAAAAAGCTTTCCTAGACCAAAGATCCTTTTATTTTTTGTTGAGGCACCTTCATTCCTTAGTGTGTTGGTCAGCTTTTCTGCAGTAACAAACAACCCCAGAATCTCAGTGGCTTACAAAGGAAACATTTATTTCTCATATACAGTATAGGTCACTGGTTTGGGTCAATTCTGCTCCATGTGTCTTCTCATTCCAGAACCCAGCCTGAATGATGCAATCTCCCTTTGGGAGATGATGTTCTTATTTCTGGCAGAAGGAAAGAGAAAGAATGCTGGCAGAAATTCACAATGGCTCTTAAAGCTTCTACTGGGATGTAGTCGGTTATATCCACTCACATTCTTTAGCTAAAGGAATGGACATGGCAGGTTAAAACTCCATGGGACAGGAGTTTATGGTCCTTCCATATGGGGAGGAGTTTACTGCAGGTAACATGACAATCACAGATGATGTTTCATCCCCTTACAGGTAATTAAGAAGAGAGAATAAATAATACACTCTACCAGAGGTGTGGTAGAGTGTATTATTCTCTCTTCTTAATTACCTGTAAGGGGATGAAATGCAGAAGTTGTTTCACTTGTTCCATTTATAAAGTAGCTTTTTTTTTAATATAATGCGGCACTGAGGAAAAACTCTTGTCGCCCTCATTACACCCAGTGCTTTCTGAAGCCTTTATCAGCAGCACATTTACAGGTCCTGTGAGAGGATGGGACACTTCTGCAGATGGCTCAGTTCCTCCAACATGCGTTGATTCTTATGAGCTCTACTTACAGAAAGAGATCTTATCTCTGATTGGGAGACTCTGATATACTGATGAAATCAGCCAAACCTCATTTACGTATATTCTATGATTTTGGAACTTGTGATATAAGATACAGCCTAGCCTGGAATTTACCTTTGGAGTCTATGCCATTAAGGCTATTCACTAAATATTTCTGGTACTCCTTCTGGGAACCTGATCTCCAGAAGTTAAGTATGGATAACCGCATGACCATGTCACTCTCTGCCAGAAAATTGAAAAGGCAGCACATAATTCTCCATGTTCCTTGTTCCCACCATGGTGATTGTGAAAGCAAATTTTGACAAGAGGGCCTCTACCAGCCTGAATTCCTGAATGAGTGTGAGGAATGAAGCCCCCTGCTGATCTGCTTTGGAGAAATCATGTGAATAAGAAGTAGAACTTTGTCATGTTACACCACTAAGATGTGTGGGGTTGTTTGTTACCACAGCATAATGTAACTGATACCGACTAATAGACTATGATGAAAGAGTTTCCCACTGAAATTAGTAGTGTAAACATAATTTCAGGGGTCAGACAATCTACTTAAGAAAGTACTTTTCCTCAAGTGCTTTAAAAGCACCTATTTACTTATGAATAATTGCCATATTGATAAAAAATCATTCTTTTCTCTTCATTAAGGCACTTAGGTTCCTAAAGATACTTTCTCAATGTAGTATGAGTCATAGTATGAATTTAGTTTACAGTATTCAGTAATTCATTATGGATTTCAAGAAAGGTTTTCTGCCATATCTCTTTAATTTTTTAATCAAATATTTATTGAGCACCTACTAGGTGTTCTACATGTTCTAGGTACTCTGCTAGATGTTGGGGAATTATTAATAAACAAGAAATATATGGTCCTTTCCTTCAGGGAGCTGGGAAACGTTCTGAAGGAAAATAAAAGAACATGGGGCTTTGAGAGTGTATAACATAGAACCTGACATAGCTAGAGGTGACAGAGAAAGCTTCCTGGAAAATATGACATCCTCACTAAGATTGGAAAGATGAATAGAAATTAGCCTCACATGGCATTTGTCAGCAAAATCTTGATTAAATGGAATATTCATGAATTAGGGTATTTATGTTAATTTGAAATTATAGCTTTTGAAATAGTCTTTTTTATTTAAATGGTTAATATCTCATTTATAAAAACTAAAATTCCAGTATTGTATTTTCATGTCTATTTTTCTCATCTTACCATTAGAAATGAAATAATAAAGTTTGAGAATGCATGTTTTTCTCTATTTTGTAGACACTTTCTGTGTCCCACCCATGTCCCTTAGCCCTTGCCATTTCCATATATATTGGCCCAATTTCTGACTGTCAGTATGTGAGTCTCTGCCTAGACACTGTCTCTGACCACTAGTGTCAGCTTCACCTGCCCACATAGCATCCCTGTAGGATGAGGAATTGACCTCCACACTGTAAGCAGCTCTGGAACATTGACTGATGGAAATTAGTATATTAATGGCCCAATTCTTTCCTACTGTGGGCAGGGTGACTCTGAGGGATGTATTCTACTCTGGTACTGTATTCGTCCATTTTCATGCTGCTGATAAAGACACAACCAAGACTGGACAACTTACAAAAGAAAGAGGTTTATTGGACTTACAGTTCCATGTGGCTGGGGAGGTCTCACAATCATGGCAGAAGGTGAAAGGCATGTCTCACATGATGGCAGACAAGAGAAGAAAAGAGAGCTTGTGCAGGGAAACCCCCCTTTTTAAAACCATCAGATCTCATGAGACTCATTCACTATCATGAGAACAGTGCAGGAAAGACCCTCCCCAGTAATTCAATCACCTCCCACTGGGTTCCTCCCGTGACATGTGGGAATTACAATTCAAGATGAGATTTGTGGTGGGGAACTGTGGGAATTGCAATTCAAGATGAGATTTGGGTGGAGAAACAGCCAAACTGTATCAGGTACCCAGAGGTCTCCACAAGGATTCAGCTCTAGTTGTCCACAGTAGTAACTCACTTGACAACACACCCTTTATTGTCTACTTTCCCTTCCCTTTATCACTTCTTCGCCTTCTACCAATGTTTCCTGAGGTCACCTCTGTAAGGGTTGTTTTTATGTTTCAACTTGGCTAGGCAAACAACAGTATAGATGCTTTTGGTCAAACACCAGTCTAGATGTTGCTGTGAAAGTTTATTTTGAATGCAATTAACATTTAAATCAGTAGGCTTTCCTTGAATAAAGCAGATTCCCCTCCATAATGTGGGTGAGCCTCATCCAATCAGTCGAAGGCCTTAAGAGAAAAAGACTGAGGTCCCCCAAGAAAGTAGGAATTCTGCCTCCTAGCTGCCTTTGGACTTGAGCTGCAACATCATTTCTTCTCTGGGTTTCCAGCTGACCTGCACTTCAGATTTTTGACTTTCCAGCCCCCAAGGCCTTGCGTAAGTTAATTCCTTAAAATAAATCTCACTCTCTCTCTCTCTCACATATACACGCATATATATACATATACATATCTACACACACACACATATATACACACATATACGTATGTGTGTGTATGTGTGTGTATATATATAGTTGTGTATATACCATGTGGTGTGTATGTTTGTGTGTGCATCTATATATGGGTTTACCCTTGAATAACATGGGTTTCGAGTGCACAGGTCCACTTATATAAGGATAAATTGACACCAATAAAATTTACACCAAGTGTGCCTGCCTCCCTTTCCACCTCCTCCACCTTTTCTACCTCTTTTACCCCTGAGACAGCAAAATCAACTCCTCATCTTCCTCCTCCTTCTCAGCCTACTCAACATGAAGACAATAAGGATGAAAATCTTTATGACAATCCACTTCCACTTAATGAATAGTAAATTAATTTTATCATCCATATGATTTCCTTAATAACATTTTCTTTTCTCTAGCTTACTTTGTTGTAAGAATACAGTATATAATATATATACAACCTATAAAGTATGTGTTAATTGACTGTTAATGTTAACCATAAACCTTCCAGTCAACAGTAGGCTATTGGTAATTAAGTTGTTGAGGAGTCAAAAGTTATACATGGATTTCTGACTATATGCAGGGTCTGCGCCCCTAACTGCATCATTGTTCAAAGGTCAACTACATACACACATATGTGTATATACACATATGTGTGTGTGTGTGTGTGTGTGTGTGTATATATATATATATATATATATATTTTCCTATTGGTTCTGTTTCTCTGGAGAATCCTGACTAATAAAACCTCCCAAATAAACTACTTGTATCTGAATCCTTGTCAGGCTCTGCTGCTAGGGGAGCTGAACTAAGACATCATCTTATAGATGAAGATTCAGATTCCACAGCGGAGAACAGGTAGGTGACTTGCTGAGGTCACAAGACTACTTAGATGTAAACCTCAGACTAGAAACCCTATCTCTTGACCTGCACTGCTTCCACCTATAAAGATCAGGCCAACACTTGCCTACTGATCCCCCACCCGGGTCCATGACAGCCTTTGTGGATTGGCCTTTTCCTCTGGGCCCAGTTGCATCCTCTGAATACACTCTCAGCAGTCTTTTGCAGTCAACAGGGCTTGGCATGCAAGAAGAAATCTACTTGCCATCCCTCTTCTGGACTGTATTCCAGTCCAGACTGAATTCAATTATGCTTTCCAAGCCTGCTCCACCTTATCCTACCCCACACATACTTACATGCTGATTGAAGCCTATTCCATTTCCTGATAGAGGTCCCCTCCCCAGCCCCATCAAAAATAAATAAATAAAACCCACACACATCAAAGGGACTGGAGCTTGAAATTAAGTATCACTCCTAGAGCCCAGATCTGATCAGCTGAGGATCTTGCCCCAGGCTCCTTTGAAGCCTTTCAGCCTAGTGTGTGCACGGCCAAGAGTAGGTGGTACTCTGTGTTGATGGATTAAGAAAATGAGCAAATGAATGAATGTACATCTTTAGGTAAAGTGAATTATTTTGAAGTCTCTTATTCCAGTGGCCTTTAGGGGAACTGGCCAAGAAAAGAACAAAAAAATCACAATACTGGTTATTCCTGAGTCCTCACACGTGAGCTCCGAGCTCATTCTAATATTTGCCAAAGTGCTTACAGATGCTGCAACTTCTCTTGTTACAGAATCTAACTAAAGCCATTGATTTAGGAAAGTGGATTGGCAAGATAAACTTGGCAAAGATGGCAAACCCTAGCAGGTTAGTAGCAGCAAAACTAGCTGGTGCAGGGACTTCTGGCCCAGTCAGGTTTCTTTGCACTGTCTCCTGGGACAAAGCTGTCTACATTGGTCTGGGCAGCTCCTAGAAAAAAGAGCCTTGGACAGGGTCTGCATTTAGCCTTAGCAAAAGTGTACCCCTATCCCCATGAATGCTGCAGCTCGGCAGCATACACAGCTGCAGCCCATCAAAAGAAGGATGAAAACCAAAGGGGCCTGGGCTGCATGTTGAGTGGGAAATGATGACAGAGACAGTGGAGCCTTCAACAGAGGAAACATTTTAGGAAACAAGTCTTGGCCTCTGCTCCCTCACCCCCACCTTTGACCCATCATCCTGTGAGAAGAGTGGCTCAGGGCCAGCTGGGGAAGCAAGGATGCTGGGAACTAGGAAATCTGAGTCCGGTTTTTCTTCTACATGAGTACGGACAGTTTGCCAAGGTCACTCAGATGGGGTCATTAACTGTGAATCAAAAGTCGTCTGGGCCAGGGATGAGGGGACCGGATTCCTAGTGTCAACATCACCACTAACCCCTAAGTGCCTCACCCAAGGTCAAGGGCTGTCCAAATGCATGACAATATTGCTGTAGTATAACCGTTCTAATACCTTGAGTTTAGTCTGAACAGTTCACATAGTCTGATCATATCCTAAAAACAACTCAGTGAGATAGATAGTACTATCATGCCCTTTTACACATGAGGAAACTAATTAAGGCTCAGAGAGGTTCATGCGCTTACCCAAAGCCACACGGCCAGTCAGGGTTGGAGTCAGAATTCACACTCCAAATTCAGGGCACATTCTCATATGCCACCGTTTCTCTCACGAGCTTTCAAATAAACATTAAAAAGTGATGAAATACATATTTTTCACACATTTGTCAGGACCTATTCTAAGTGTTGAGAATACAGTGGTAAGTAAGATGCCACAAGGTCCTTGCTCTCTGGACTTGACATTCTAGCAGGGAAGTGTACAATGACCCATTAACAAGAACAGAACTCAAGTTCAGAAAACGGTGGATGCTATGAAGGAAATGAAGCAAGGTAATCAGAGGGAGATGTGGCAGGTCTAAAGACTTGATGGCCAGGGAATGAGGCAGATGGTGCTTTCCACAACCCAGCATCTTTGGAGGAAATCCTGCTCCCCTGGCCGCTGAAGGTGATAACCTGTGGGGTGATCCCACATCTGCATACCTTCTGCCAGGAAGTGTTCCCCAGGCCTGGTCCTCATCATCCTGGAAGTGGCTGTCAAGCTACAGGCTGCCCTGGTACCACATAAGTCTGGGATTCTCTGCCCCTGAGGATGTCAGGAAATATATATGTGTATGAGGTTGGAGGTGGAAGATCCTTCAAAGCCTAGTGTCTACAAAAAGAAGGAAAGTAAATGCATAAGATGTATATTGCTGCTCACAATGAACACAGCTCCTATGTCCAGAACAGCTGGCTTCTTACAGGACTGTAGAGTATGACAGCTGGGAAGGATGGCCCCTAGATGGGAAGACCCGAGCCCAGAAAGGAGACTTATCCAGGGTCACCCACATGGCAGGGTCAGGATCAGGGTCACTTTCAGGTGGATCACACCCTTCTCCACGGCTCATGAACAAGGAAAAAGAGGAGAAGGCACACTTATGGAACAGATGCCAGACACTGCTCAGGCATCGTATGTTCTCAATACCCGCTCACTGAGGGCTCAAAAACCCACTCAAGAGGAGCACCTACTTTCCCCAATCCACTGAACAAACAGACCCAGAGAAGGGAAGTGGCTTGCACAATGTTGTCCAGCTCTCAAGTGGCAGAACAGGATCAATCTGGGGCCACGAGGGCTCTTCCCTTGCTGTTGCTCTTGAGATCCCCCGGCATTTTTTTCTGGGCTTCCTGAATTGCCAAGCAGACCCCCAAAAGGGAGCCAGAGATTGGAGGCTCTTCAGTTGCTCTTGTTTATCCACCAAGCCATAAAATACAAATTTCCAGGGATGCAGGTCACCACCGACTCATGGAGAGCTCCACCTAGAGTGGAGAGCCTTGTGAGGAGTTGGGGGAGGTGAACATTAATATGTTGGGACCTCGGGAACTTAAGGAGCCCCAGGTCCGAAATGCTTGTTGTGCCACCTATGATACAATGAAAATCCCCCTCTGCTGCCCTCCACTTCCTTCTCTGGCTGCCCAGAATGAAGTCTACTGCTGGCCCAGTAGTCTATGAAGTCTACCTGCAGACCCAGGTTCACTCTGGGACCTGGGGTGATCACACCAGGGGCAAGGCCTACATCAGCGCAGTGTGTGTGTGCTCGACCTTCCAGAACCAGGGCATGATGGCGCTTGGTTGAACTCAATAGAACTGAACTCTGCCTTTCAGTGAAGCTTGGACTAATGCTACTCGAAGCTCGTGTGCCTATGTAGGTATTAGGGTGAAGGCAATAACCAAAAAGTGAAAAATGGAACATTACCTCCAGTTACTGTACAGATCTCTTCCTCTGAGACCCCTTCCCAACAGGCAGGTCTAAGAGCCTATTTGTTCTCTGTGAGAACATGTGACACATATTACCGCCCACATTGGAATAGAACTCTGTGCTCAGCTTCAGTTCTGACCACTTCCCAGCTCTGAGTGCCCTCAGGGCACCAGGGTACCTCCTTGCTACCTCACCGGAGTCACCCTTTCTGTGAAGGGAGGCCAGATTTTACGGATAAAAACACAGGACTCCCAATTAAATTTGAATTTGAGATAAACAATGAATAATTATGTCGTATAAATATGATCCATGTACTACGTGGGACATACTTATATTAAGCAATTATTTATTGTTCATCTGAAATTCATATTTAACTGGGCATCCTGCATTTTATCCAGCAGCTGTATTCCTGCGGCCCACGTGGTGGTTGGCACCTGCCGCCAATACTGCTTGATAGAGAAAATAGCATAATATTTTGCAATAGTATTTGGGGATGAATACTATAGGCTGCAAGGGTAACATTTGTGCATTTGTGTCGTTTTTGGAAGACGTTTCCATCATGTATAAAGCCTGTGCCTCGTGGATTGCAAATGAGACCCAGTTCCGGGGGGGGTGGGAATGAGAAAGCAGTTAGAAAAGAACCCCAGGGGATCTGAGACCCGAGCTTCATCTGCCGAGTATTTTATTCTCGTTAATTCATAACAGTGTCTTTAAAATCCTGGACTAGAATTTGAGAACAGTCAGTGTGTGCGACAGTCATTACTCCTTGGAGACTCCCACTCCGCCAGCCGGGCGCCCTTCGTGCGTTCTTGGTGCCACAGCGGCCTCCAGTGGTTCTCTGAGGAACCACACGCTGTCTCCACCGCCAGGCTCCAGCTTGTCCCTAAAGCCAGGGCGGAAGGCGGCGGCGCCCTGTGGCTGCCCAGGGGCCTGGGCTGTGTGGCCGGATCAGAGCTGTAAGGCACAAATCCAAGTGCGCGCCGCCGTGGAAACAAAGCCCTTCCCTGTTGCTGTGAAGCTCAGACCAGACAGGGTTCTATTTCATCTTCCACGCCAACGTGTAACGTATCTGCTGACCCAATTTTACAGATGTTCTCTTCAAAACGGACTCGGCTTTGTGAATATTTTTCTCTATCAAGCTGTGGTGATAGAAATGTCAAAAAGCAGGTTGGGGGGGGCTTGAAATAGAATGAGACACTGTTCTGCTCAGAATTGATTCTTATTCTATCAATTGGTTGGACTGGAATGAATAGTGGGAAAGGTAAAACCACTGGAATTAGGACCCCCTACCCCTGCCCAGTGCCTCTTACCGCCAACCTAGCAACAGCCTCGCTTCATTTCCTAGAAAGGGCGGCACCAGCGATCCATTATTGAAAACACGCGACTCCCATAACCTTGTTCATTTTCATATGTGTAGCTCAGGGCAAGAGGTTCTCTGCTACGGCTTCCCTTTGATTTGAAAGCAATACAAAGAATAAAGGAAAATCAAAACTGTGGCCATAGCAAGGCTGACGCTTGATCCTTCCACACACATGTGTGCCCCCCAGTTACTACAAAGGCAATTTTCCAAACGGGTGGTCGCCAGCCTTCTTCCTTTCACAAAGTGATTTTCTGGCGGTTTCATAGCTTTGAGGTGGCTCCTTTGCACATCATTTCAGCTGAAATCTACTCCCTGGATCGGGAGACCCAAGAAGAGAAACCTTGTGGAAGCAGCAGTCCTTGCAGAAGACTGGACTTGGAGGTGGGCTGAAAATAGACTTGGTGGACTTGGATCTGAGGCTGCTTCCACTTGGCTAGCTGTGTCTCCTTGGTGGAGCTGCTTGCCTCCTCTGGGCTTTAAGCTCCCACCTCAGAATAAGGAGCTGCAGTGGTGCATGCCTGTAGTCCCAGCGACTTGGGAGGCTGAGGTAGGAGAATCGCTTGAGCCCAGGAAATCGAGGCTAGCCTGGGCAACATAGGGAGATCCTGTCTCTAAAAAAGCAAAAGGAAAATAAACAAATAAGGAGGTGGATGAGTGTCCTTCCAACTCCCAGTCTCTGATTCAAGCTACGGTACCTTTGGTCTTTCTCAAACTCTTTAAAGACAATTATTTTCATTCATTCATTTAGCAAACATGTAAGTGCCTAAATTTGCCAGGCCCTAGGTTAGAGGCTTAGTCTAGAAAAATGAATAAGAAATGTCCCCTTCCTTAGAAATAGGTCATTGCAAAGCAACGTAAGAAGTACTAGAGGGAAGATAGGAACTCAGGTTCTGTGCACTCTGCTGATGGGAGTGTGAATTTGTGCTACCTCTCTGGAGGAAATTTGGCACTAACTTCCAGATTTTCAAATGCAGACACTTCATCAATCAGGAGCCCTGGTTGTTTTACTGACTAGTTAATTTAAGCAGAAAAAAAAGGTTTTTTCTTTTTTGTCTGTTTGTTTTTGAAAGGCTTGAGTAGCTCATAGAATCCCAGAGAAGGCCAAAGTCTCAAACCTAAAAAACAGGTAAGGACAAAGGTGACCAGGCAAGCTGCCATAACCACACAAAAACAGTTTGGTAACCATAGTGACACTACCAGTGCTGGACACTGGTGGTTAACATCACCACAGAGCCTTCCTCTGGGGGAAGATGAATTCACACTGGTTCCTGCTTTACCAACTCAAGGAGGAAAGCATCTTGCTGAGTTGAGTCAAAGTCATATGCCTGCTGTCTAGCCACAAGGAAGTCATGGGAAAATGAGCTCCTGGCACTTTGCACCTCTGCAGTGGCAAGAGGGCTCTCCCTGCCTGCCACTCAAAATAATTGAGTGCAGAATTTCCCAAGTAGAGAAAGGCACTTAGGATGCTGGTGTCCAACATCATGTCAAATGTCCTCTACACATGCTTTTGACCCAAGAATTCTATTTCTACAATTTTATCCTTTAGAGATACATTAATACACAAGTGCACAAAGATGGCTGCATGGTGATGTTCTCTGCATCATAGTTTGTAATAGAAATGACACTGGAAACAACCTAAAGAGTCAGCAATAGGAGCTTAGGGAAATGACAGAAAACAATGCGGCCATTATGAACACTGTATTCATTCATTCCACAAACATTTGTTGTGGGTGTTACTGTGTACTGGGCACTAGGAGGCAATGATGCAAAAATAGACACTCTCTACCCCCATGGAGCTTTCTGGGGAAACAGATACAAATGAAATAATTACACAAACCAGTGAAAAAGTACAACCAAGCTGAGGACTATGAAGAAGTGGTATGTGTGTGATGCAAGCTGCTATGCAACCTAGTCAAAGGCATCAGGGAAGAATGCCCTTGGAAAGGAAGGGTTAAGTTGGCCATGAAGATGGAGTAGGAGTTAAAACAAGGAGGTGTGGCAGGTCAGCAGGGGGCAAACCATGAATGGTCTACACAAAGGGCAGGTTCAGGTGTTTTCTGCTTGTCCACATAGTAATGGGAAGCCATTGGGAGGGAGGGAGAGCAGGGAGGTACAAGCGGTAGGCAGAGACACAATCAGGTTTGCATTTTGCAAAGATCATATTCAGAACTGTGTGAACTTGTTTGCAGTGTAGCAAGAGTAGGAGATCAGTTAGGAAGTGGTTCCATGTCCAAGTGATAGGAGATGGCTTCAGAATGGTACCCGGTGGAGGTAGAAACCTGGATGGATACACTGATACACAAAGTATCAGTGGATGCATGTATCAGATGGATACATGGATACACAAAGAGGTAAAATCCACAAGGCCTGGTGATGGATGTCTCTATTCCATAGAGTTTCTGGGCTATCCAGGGCACTCTGTGAGCAAACAGAGTCATGAAACTCAAGGCTAGGAAAAGCAGCATCCTCAGTATTATCTTTTGTGGAAACACTCACATTTATTAGACGTCATGGGAGAGGAAGGAAACTCAGAGGTTTCTAGTTTTGTCCTCCAGGAAATGGCCTCACATGTTTATATGGAAATTCTTCCAATTTGTGTGTCACAGAAATTTGGAATTGGGGAAGCCCTTAGAAATCACACAGTGTGAAAAGCAGACTAGAGGTGCCATGCCACCACACACCCAGGTTGTAAAACAGGATGTAGAAAAACCAATAGGAGATAGAGTATGAACCATTTTTTTATATATGTATTATTCAGGGGAAGGACTATGCCAAGTAAACAGTGGTGTTAGATTATTTTCTTTGCTTTTGTATATTTTTCTAATTTTTCTGTGATGAATATGTAATAATTTTTCAACTGAGAAAAAATGCAATATTATTTTTTAAAAGAAATCACCTATTTAACATCTTTTCTATGGGTGAGG
Organism: Homo sapiens; assembly: GCF_000001405.40. Classification (NCBI taxonomy): domain Eukaryota; kingdom Metazoa; phylum Chordata; class Mammalia; order Primates; family Hominidae; genus Homo; species Homo sapiens. The sequence continues at coordinate 149,474,523 of NC_000023.11, forward strand.
AAACTCAGATGGGAGGGTCTCTCCACTGAACAGGAAGAAAGAGAAATCCAATCTACTACTACTACATGAAATGGTTTGTTATTAAATCATCTTGATTTGAAAGCTCCTTGCAATCTTTAAAAATGTATTCAAGGCTATATGCAAAGGGCCAATCACCTGATATAGTCAGCATGCTATTTTAATAATTGAGCATGCATTCTCCAATCATAGAAGTCTCAGAGAAAGAGGGGATTTTAGTAGTTTTTCTTTCTGTAGCAAATGTTTGCCTATGTTAGAGTTTCTCGGCCTTGGAACTATTGCCATTTGGGCCAGATAGTTCTTTATTGTTCTGGGGGAGGGGGTGCTGTCTGTGTGTGATTCCTATCATCCCTGGCCTCTACACACTAGATGCTAGTAGCAGCCTTTCCCCAGTTGTGATAACCAAATATGACCCTAGACACTGACAAATGTCCCAAGAGGAGAACTGCTCTCTATTGAGAACCTCTTGCCTACGTGATGCTTACATAGCTCAGATGACAGCTCACCACACTTAGGAGCAGGCTCCTTCAATGGTAAGCTGCTATGTTAGAAAGTTCAGCCTCTGTTTTTTAATTTTTTTTTTTTTTTTTTTTGGCGGAGTCTCACTCTGTCACCAGGCTGGAGTGCAGTGGCACGATCTCAGCTCACCGCACCCTCCACCCCCCAGGTTCAAGCAATTCTCCTGCCTCAGCCACCCAAGTAGCTGGGACTACAGGTGCACGCCACCAAGCCTGGCTAATTTTTTTTGGTTTTTTTTGTATTTTAGTAGAGACAGGGTTTCACCAAGCTGCCCAGGCTGGTCTCGAACTCCTGAGCTCAGGCAATCCACCCGCCTTGGCCTCCCAAAGTGCTAGGATTACAGGCATGAGCCACCACACCCGGCCGAAAGTTCAACCTCTGGATGGCCATCTGTCTCCTTGCAGGGTCCAGTGCTGGATCTTCCCTTGGGGCTCTAGATATCATGTGTTTAATCTCTCTTGCCTCTGATGGTTCTTCAGAAATTTCAAGATAGTGCCATGCTCTCCCCCCAACCCCCTACTTTTACCCACCCGAGTCTTTTCTCTCCCCATTTGAACACTTCTTCAACTGTTCCTCACATGATATGCTGGGTCTCACCCATCTTAGGGCTGTCCTCTGAACAGGCTCCAGTTTGTCCACATTTCCATGACAGCTCCATGTTCGCAACTAAACACAATTCTCCAGGTGCTGGCTGACCGTGACACGTAGGCAGAGCAGCTTACCTCCTCCTTCCTCCTGGATATCCATTTATGTAGCCTGAGATGCCTTTCACTTCCTGGCAGCCACATCACACCGCATCCCCATTCTGAGCTGTTGGCCACAATGTAAAAGGGTTGCATGTGCAATACTGCTCCCTTGGGTCACCCCTCACTAGCACCTTGGTTCTGGGGCCTTCCTGTTAGGTCTCCATTTATCCTTTTCAAACTTCAGCAGTTTCCAAGAACTGGTAGGCATGCTTGCCTCTGAGGATAATAGGGTAGCTGGGAACAGCATGGAAGAGGAAATGACTCTTCATTGTATACATGTTTGTGCCTTTGTTTGAGACAAGGTCCCACTCTGTCACTCAGGCCAGAGCGCAGTGACATGATCAGAGCTCACTGCAGTCTTGAACTCCCAGGCTTAAGTGATCCTCCTGCCTGTGCCTCCCGAGTAGCTGGGACTAGAGGTGCCATGCCACCACACCCAGCTAATTTCTTTAAAAATTTGTGTAAAGATGGGTGTCTTGTTATGTTGCCCTGGCTAGTCTTGAGCTTCTGGCCTCAAGCAATCCTCCCTCATGTTTGTGCCTTTTAAACTTCGCACCATACATAATAAACAAGCCAGTAAATGAATACATTGAAGTTACTTCACCTGCTGAGATTTACTCAATCCTTCCAGCCTGCCTTTATCTATTTGGAAATGTATGTCTTCCAATGTCCTCACCAATATAAGAAGCACTGCCTTCCGAATTTTTAGTCGAAACCAGTAGGATAGGTAGAAAAAGATAAACTAAGGCTCATGAAGACACTAAGCCAAGACCACTAAACAGGCAAATTTCCAGTTGGAACCCCAAGAACCCACTAATTTGCTTCCTTTACCTTGTTGCTATTGCATATATGGTTTCCCTAAGCCTACCTAATTGGTCAGCCCACTTCCTCTTTCTTTCTGGGGAGTCTCTGTACTGTAACTGCAGGGCAAGCTGAGAGACATACCACTGCCCAGAAAAGTGTGTCTATGGTCAAGTGCAACTCACCATCTACCCTCAAGAATTCAACTCCCTAATAAAACCCACACCACAGCTGCCTTGGCCCTCACATGGGGAGGAACAGGTTGGATACTTTAAGGGGGCACACCTGTACCACGGTATCAAGCTCTGTTAAATGGCTCCTTTTATTTTAAGGCAGCACCAAGCGGTCCCAAACCAGCAGCAAGAATTGCACACACGATAATGGCAAATTTAATGTGATTTATTCATATAATAACTCATGCTGCACTTAACACAATACAAACTTATGTTTTTCAATAGTGTAGAAGATGTGAATTCATAAAAGCTGTAAGTTAATGAGTACTGAATAAAAATCACCTGCAAAAGGTTCTTTCAGAAACACACCCAAAACTACAATAAATTAGGGCAAGGGGTTTGTAAATGGCAGCTTCAGTCCTACTCCAAACCTTCTCACCCATATAAATCATAGTCCCTGACTTTTATAGAGGAAAAACCAAAAGCAGTTAACCCCTGGCCTTTGCTCCTCTCCTTGTCCACGTCCCAACTCTTGTTTCCTAGCATGTGCTGAATACACTACTAGACCTTGAGCTTTTGTTCCTCATTGGCAGTGGGAGCCCTCTTGCCTGGGCCGTCACATTACTCAGAGCCAAGTACCTGAGGGTTGGCTCCCAGCCACCTCATCTGGAACCAACTTGTCGGTTTGTTCTCTCCCACCCAAACTCTTCCCCCATCAGAGGATAAGGACTATCACCTAGAATCCAGAATCAAACAAGGGCATCCTTTGGTGATTAGCACCATACATGACAGTGATGTCAGGCAGGGCATGGAGTAATAGCCGGGAAACTCTGATCCCAAAGAAAACCCTTGAGCGTGGGCTCCCCACAACAGACTGTGTTTTATCAGACACTCAGAGGAAAGTGGCATCTGTCCCATCAGGTGAGTTAGTGGACAGGGACACCAACGGGAGCTTTCAGTAACATGTGGAAAGGCAAGACCCAAGAGCAGTGAGGGCTCTTGGCCATTATGGCCAAACGATTGGTGATGTGAAGGCAACAACTGACAGTCCTCTCTGCTTGAAGTTCTCATGTGCAGAAGAGAGAAACTGTCCTGAAGTACCAGGGGACCACTGAGTGCAGTGGGGCTGATGGCAGGTTCCACCACAACGGGCTATGCCTAAGGCCCCAAGGGACACCCTGGGTTCTACTTTAATCCCAGATCCCAGGCCAGAATTCAAGAGATTCCTCTGAAGAGCTATAACCTGCAGGATGGACTTGGGAAAGGAAAAGGGGCTGAGCCTCTATTTGGGAGTTTATACCCAAAGCGCTTCACACAGTAAGGTATGGACAGCTTGGGAACCTGACAGGCGGCAAAAGATTGGGCAGAGAGGGAAGAGTCAGTTTCCCTCTGTAGCTAGGGTGAGGCTGCTCCAGAGTCACTTGGTTACCTCCCAGCACAAACCCCAACATCTTAAGTGATTAAAGATTAATGTAGGTTGGGTGTATACCCAAAACAATTAAGAGCAGGGACTCGAACAGATATTTGTACATCCTTGTTGACAGCAACATTATTGCAATGGCCAAAAGGTAGAAATGACCCAAGTGGTCACTGGTGGATGAATGGATAAGCGGAACGTGGTACATACATTTCAGTCCAAAAAAAAAAATTAATGAAGCAGGGCTGTGCAGCCATTACAGCTGTTAATCAAGAACTGTCAATGACATAAAAAACCAAGCTAACATTGTGTTAGATCAAAAAAACAAGATATAGATTATATGTGGTAGTCTGCATGTATGTAAAGCTAAATATGTCCATATCTGCATATATGTCTTTAGGCAGGTAAAAGAATGAAAGGAAATATACAAATGTCAGCAGTGGGTATGTCTCAAATGCTGGGCTTCTTTTCATCTCCAGTTTTCACATGTTCCAGATTTTATGCAATGAGCATATATTACTCTGATAATGGGGTGGAGAGACACAGTAAGCATAAAACCAAACCCCAAACAATGCAAAGGAAAATGAATATTTATTCAATGTCCAGATTGGGGAGGGGTCTGTGTGTTTAACAGGAAAAGATACAGAAAAAAACCTATCACACAGGAAAAGATAAATATGTTTGATTATTTTAAAAGGTGAAACCCATAACCAAAATTTAAAGGCAAATTCACACAAGTGGAAATACAGATGCCCAACTATCGTACAAAGAGAACCATGATCAAGGTCACTAACAAGCAAAGAATTTTAAGTTTTTTTTGTTTTTTGTTGTTTTTTATTTGAGACGGAGTCTCGCTCTGTCACCCAGGCTGGAGTGCAGTGGCGCGATCTTGGCTCACTGCAACCTCCGCCTCCTGGGTTCAAGCAATTCTCTGCCTCAGCCTCCCAAGTAGCTGGGATTACAGGCGCCCGCCACCACGCCCGGCTAATTTTTGTATTTTTAGTAGAGACGGGATTTCACCATCTTGGCCAGGCTGGTTTTGAACTCCTGACCTCGTGATCCACCCGCCTCAGCCTCCCAAAGTGCTGGGATTACAGGCGTGAGCCACCGCGCCCGGCAAGAATTCAAAGTTAAAACAGGTTACCACTTTCACCTATTACCATCAGGTTGCTTATTTTTGTTTTATGTTTTTTATTTGTATGCATGTTTACTTTATGTTTCAGTTTACTACCCCCTAAGGCAGCAAGAGAGCAGGAAGATAAGCAAAATAGAGATGTTTTTGACAACTTGGCACTGAGAGACTATCCTAAGGGAATAATCTGAAATACATAAAAACATTTTATTCACAAAATTGGTCATCACAGCATTATTTACAATACTGAAAATCTGGAAATAGCCTAAATTTCTAACAATTGAAAGAAGGTTAAGTAAATTATAAGACTACACAATAAAATATATTACCAGCAATATATCTTTGTGAAAATCTATAATAACCACACATAATACTTAGTAAAAAAGAACATAAATTACATGATAAAGAATATGACCAGAACAATGCAAAAAATTCACACCCCCAAAAAAGACAAGATATTATATGGCAATTTTGTGGTAAAATATTCATGTATTTGTGCTGCATTTCTAATTTTTCCGTAACTGACACATCAGTTTTATAATTAGGAAAAAAATACCTTTTTAAAGTAAAGCGAACACAAGATTCTTTAGCAATGTTCATTCCATCCCACAATAGAGTCTAGAGAGTCACAAAAACCTCAGCCTCCTTCGGGAGGGGGGGAGCTTGGTAGTGAAAAATGGTCATGAATGAATGGGTGAAGAGAGGGATGGGACAACCTAGTAGGAGGGAGGTAGGGATAGGCAAGGGAAAGGTGGGGACCAGTAGTCATACTGGTCAGCCAAGGAAAGGGGCATTGTGGAGTCAGGGAAGACTCTGACTGCTCAACAGAGGTCTGTCTAGACCCAGTAGTAGGCACTGACGGTGTTATCAAAGGACAGGATCAAAGAGAGATTTTAGGAAGACACGTGGATTATTTTAGGGACAGGGGAGGAAAGAGGAGGGGTGGGTAAACTACTTGGAAAGAAAGGGAGAAGGACTGAGAAGATGGCAATGGGAGTGGGGAGGAAGGGGCTGATTGCCTTTGTGACCTCACTACCAAACATACTTTGCTCACCTCCAGATAAGTCTTTGTGGGGCAAATGCAGGATAAAGAAACAGCTCATAAGAGGCACTTGCCAACATCCAACAAATTCAGTTCAAAACCACAGAAAATCTAGGAGTCTCCAAAGAAAATCACAGTCCTGCTGTGTTGCCGAGGCTGGAATACAATGGCACGATCTTCATTCACTGAAACCTCCGTCTCCTGGTTCAAGCGATTCTTGTGCCTTGGCCTCCCAAGAAGCTGGGATTACAGGCATGCACCACCACACCCGGCTAACTTTTGTATTTTTAGTAGAGACGGGGTTTCACCATGTTGGCCAGGCTGGTCTTGAACTCCTAACCTCAAGTGATCCGCCTGCCTGGGCCTCCCAAAGTGCTGGGATTACAGGTGTGAGCCACCGCATCCGACTTCTAACGCACTGGGTTTTAACAAGCCCCTCAAGTAGTTCTGATGCTCCCTCATGTTTGTGAGCCACTGAATGAGGGCCATGCAAAATGTCTAGAATCACTAGTTCTGCTGTCAGCTAAACCACATGAAAGAACCCCTGCTCATGTGAAAGAGAGATTTCTACAAATAAAGTGACGGGAGGACCACTAATAAGTTATGTCCAGCTTAGTGGGGTTGGGGAAAGGTTATATGAAGCAACAAAGATACAGTTTCTCTAAGCCAAGTAAAGGTAAAGAACTGTGGAGCAGGCAATAAAGCCAAATGCACTGAACTATGTCATAAGGAATTTACAGGCTGTATTGTAAAAGCCACAGTGAACATGATGACAGCAACAACGAGGATGAAGAACAGCAAAGAAAAAGCTGAGGGAAACCATCGACCAAAGCAAGCGGAGGCTCAAAAGAGAGACGAGCTTCAGGATCAGGAAATGAACAGGGCCCTTCAGTCACGGAGAAGTCGTTGTTGCCAGAACAGTCAGTCACTTAACTGCTTAGAAGATCACCGTGTTACCATATAACCTCTATTGTAGGCTAATTAATTTTTAAAATCTGTCTAAAATTTACTGATTTTAATATAATATCTTGTCATTTTTGGCAACAATACACTGAAGTAACAATGTAGTTTGCTGTATTTTGTTTCACAAATATTTACCTGGAAACACTGGAGACTTTGTAAAGAGAAAATTACTAAAAATTACTCCTTCACTACAGGACAGTAGATATTTAATATTTATTTAGAAAGCTATTGACACTTCTGATGACTACTGATAACTGAGAAGATTCAACATGTTATAAATATGAGTTGTAAATATTCCATCCCTTTTGAGATTATATACACTAAGCTTTTTACTACCACTGGCCTTTCTGGATACTTTCATATTTAGAGAATATAGAACTACATTCTGGGAGATTGACAATGACCTAATATTACACTAATGAAAAGTCTTCACAGTCCTCAAAATAATTTAGAATTTAATGTTTTCTTTAATAAGCAATTAAAATGGAATATTTTCTGCCTCCTGAATAAATACATGTCTGTAACCAACCATCCCTAAAGAAGGATACTAATATATTTTGAGTGATTCAATCCACCCATGGATATAGTCACATCTTTAAATGTTTTCCAGTGTGAACAACAGTCTTTTAATAGATGGCCATTGAGTTCAAGGGTCATATTATTTGCTAACAAATTATTATTTGGGCCAGAAAGTATCTGAAAAAAGTTTAACCAAATTTCCTACACATCTCATATCTCTAGTTTATTAAGCATTATTTATTATTTGGTGTAAAAATTCTACATTAATTACTTCATACATATTTTATCTTGAGATTATGAAATCCCATGGTCTTAGAAACAAAAGATAGACTTTAAGACACTGGCTTCTGCTATTTTTTTTTAACTTTAGATTTGAAAAAGAAACATGGATTACATGTTAACATAATATTTTGAATATATAGGGCTCATAAGATATATTATTAAATTATAAACAAAATAATCAGGAACTTAGTGTGGTGCCTAGTTTGATATATGATTACTTTTTGAAATGCACTAAATTCCACAAATAATGAAAGTATTCTTTGTGTATAATGTTATGTTTGGTTATTATGTATGGTCTTCGTATCCAAAGGTATGACATAACTTGAGTTTGTTTGCTTTGTATTTATTCAGTAAATAAGCCGTAACTGTTTTAAAAAGAGGGAAATTAAAAAAAAAACTGGTCCAATTACCAATTATAAATTTTAATAAAGACTAAACGAAAAGGTTTGGCTGTTACATATTCTCAGGCCAAATTGTTGATGCATGTTTGGATTAACTAGCCCTCAGGCTGCTTCCAATATTATGGGTAATCACAAAACGACCAGCTCTAACTCCTCCTCTCACCAGCTGGAAGGGAGCACATCACATTTGCCATCCATGGTTGGCAAAACTCAAGGCATCAACAACTGGAAAAGATCTCCACCTTGGGAATCATTATACATATTGTGATCCTGCAATGGGTCAGAATCCACAAAATACAGTTCCCCTGCATGGATGTCAGAAAAGTTAGCTAGAAATTCATCAGGATTGAAGCCAACCCACACAGTATACCTATAGTCTATGGTGCGTATGGAATAGCCCATGATCTTTATATCTTTTAAACTCGGCTTGTCAGAATTCCACTGAGGGATGTCTGAAGGCCGGGGATACTGGCTATAGGCAATCAGTTCACGGGGATTACCAGGGAGGTACGGATCCTCTTCCAAGTCACGGAATCGAAAATGCTTCAGAAGGTTCTTGCCTTCTCTGCACAGCTCAACGTGAAATGAAGGAACGGGGCAGCGAGGTGGAACCTGCAGTCCTGCAAGTCCAGCCAGCGTGGGAAAAAGAGACACAAGTTCCACAAGGTCCATGGATTGCCTGCCTGAAACAGGAAGCGACAGAGCAGAATGGGTTACATTATAAAAGCCTGCCATGGCCAGGCAGGAGCAGTAAAGGAACCTGTCTGGGCTCCATATGTTTTCTTTTTTTAATTTACAACATTTATCTTTAGCAACAGACGTTTAGAAACACCACCTCGGCACCTCACCCTGCATTAATTACTCATCCAATCAAATAGCAGGATGCAAAATTAGGGCCCCACGAGGCTGTTGGCGCTTTTTAAAACAACCTGAATTTTGGAACCACCGATTTAATAACTGACTCAGACAAGGATCATCAATTAAGGCTACAACCACTAGGTAAAAGAGTCTGTTGAGGAACAGGATATTCTGACTCCCACAGGATCACCCCACACATTACTCCCTTCTGGATGTCTGCATTAGAGTTATCTTTGCATTTTATTACGATCAAATACACACACCATGACATTTACCATCGTAACCACTTTTTAGTATACAGTTCAGTGGAATTAAGTACACTTATACTGTTGTGCCATCATTACCACCATCTATCTCCAGAACTCCTCTTAATTTACACAACTGAAACTCTGTCCCCATTAAGTAACAACTCCCCTTTCTCCATCCTCACCCAGCAACTGGAAACCACCATTCTACTTTCTATGTCTATGAACTGGACTACTCTAGATACCTCATAGGAGTGGGATTATACAGTATTTGTCCTTTTGTGACTGACTTTTTTCACTTAGCATAATGTCCTCAAGGCTCATCCATGATGTAGCATGTGTCAGTTTCCTTCCTTTTTAAGACTGAATAATATTCCATTGCATGGACGGACCACATTTTGTCTGTTCTTCTGTCAATAGACATCTGAATTGCTTCCACTTTCTGGTTACTGTGAATAGTGCTGCTATGAACAGTAATGTACAACCTTTGATTGAATACCTGTTTTCAGCTCTGTGGATATATACCTAGGAGTGGAACTTCTGGGCCATAGAGTAATTCTATGTTTAACTCTGAGGATCCACCAAATTCTTTTCCACAGTGGCTGCACCATTTTACATTCTTACCAGCAATGCACAAGTGTTCCAATTTTTCCATATAATCACTAACACTCTTAACACTTGTTTCATTCTTTTTTTTTAGACGGGGTCTAGCCCTGTCTCCAGGATGGAGTTCAGTGGCGCAATCTCGGCTCAGCTCACTGCAACCTCCGTCTCCCAGGTTCAAGTGATTCTCCTGCCTCAGCCTCCTGAGTAGCTGGGATTACAGGCATGCACCGCCACACCCAGCTAATTTTTGTATTTTTAGTAGAGATGGGGTTTCTCCTTGTTGGCCAGGATGGTCTTGATCTCCTGACCTCGTGATCCGCCCACCTTGGCCTCCCAAAGTGCTGGGATTACTGGCGTGAGCCACCACGCCCAGCCTTTCACAGCTTTTGTTGTTGTTTTTTATTAATAGCCATCCTAGTGGGTATGAAGTAGTATTTCATTGCGGTTCATCCATATTTAAAGTCTAAATACTGTACTTTATATTGATTCCTGTTAAAATTGCAATTGGATTTGCACTACCATTCTGGCCCTTCTGGATCTTTAAGACAGTGCTTTATCATGCTTGATTTCATTTTCTAGACACTTAATTTTTAAGTAAAATAAAAAGAAAACAAGTAAAGAAAGTTGAAAAAGGTACCTTTACAATGGCAAGATCTGGCTGATGCTAGCTAGCTCTTCAACCGAGTGTTCAAACTTACAATACTAGTAACGCTGGCCATGAAGTGCCCCCACCATGTGACACAATGGGAGAATACAACAGCCCATGTAGCACACGTGTCAAAAATGTTACCCTGAATGTAGTCATGTGGAAGCAATCAGATAAATCCAGGCTGTGGGACACTGTTATAGGACAACTGGCCTGGATACTTATAAAAAGATGAGGTCAGGGAGATAATGGGGCCAGAACATGTAAGGCCACTGTGACGACTTTTACTCAGATCAAGAAGGGTACATAAGAGGCTCCTGTGCCGGGCTGTGACATGACTTGACTTGGGTTTTAATGGAATCACTGTGGCTGCTCTGAGGAGGAAAACCTCCAAGGGATCCAGGGCACAAGCAAGGGGACCATTTAGCAAGCTCTTGCAGTACTTCAGCACAAGACAGTGGCAGTCTGGTCCAAGACAGTGGCAGGCGAAGTGGTGGGAAGTGGTACACAGAGTCTGAATGGAGTGTGACAGGCTTTCTCATAGACTGAATATTGCATATGGAGTAAGAGAAGAACAGGGGTTGAGATTATTCCATGATTTTTTGGCATGAGTGACTATTCTCATTTCTTGAGGACAAGAAGAGTGTTGAAGGAAAAGCTGAAGATGAAAGATGTGAAGTCCAGCTTTGGATATGTTAGGCTGGCTAAGTGGGAAAGACTATTGGAAACAAAAGTCTGAAGTTCAGGGAAAAGACACAGCTAGAGATAAAATTTGGAAATAAACTGAAAGGCCGTGCAGTTACATCAATTTCTAAATTGCTGAACACTTCCCAACAAAAGTTTCAGAAAAGATTCTCAACCAATCAGAAGATCTTTCCCAGCAAACAAAGGGCTAAAATCATGCCTTGAAACTGTTTAACCTTTCTATCAATGACATGAAAGAAGACAGGACATGCAGTGCACAAAAATCAAAGTGCAAAAAATAAAATTGGGTAGTATAAAGCAAGCTCAGAAAGATCCAGAAAGGCCCGAATGATGGTCCAGAACCAAGACAAATTTAAACAGGAATCAATATACAGTACAAGATTTAGATGTTAAGGATGGATTAAATGCTTAAGTCCAGAAAGGGGGCAATCTGGTTTAGCATAGTTCATAGAAGAGGCACTCCAAAAAGAGCAAACGTCATACGTCATTTCAGAGACAGTGTACAACCTGTCCCTGAAATGCACTGGGCAGATCAAGTCAGGATAGAACTCACAAGAACCCATACAGGTTGCCCACACATCCAGGAGGGGTATCTGGTCCAACTGGTATTCTGGAAGTGCTTTCTCAAACTGAAACTTTTTGGAAGACAGAGACCAGGACAACCACGCGTCTAAACACTACCTTGTGACGAATGGTTGAAGGGCTGGGGATTTCAGCCTAGAGAAGAGAAGATATTGGTGGATGGACAGGGTCGGGGGCATCAGTGCTGTTTTCAAAGCTTTGAAGGACTGGCACATGGAAGTCAAAGTAAACTTGCCCTTCACTGCTGGGGAGGGCAGAGTAGAATCACCTGGTAGATTTTACAGATCTAGTGGTTCACTAGATTGATGAGCTGTCAAAATGGAAAATGTGCCCCCCACAAAGAAGGCTGAGTCCCTACCAAAAGTGCGCATCGAGGGAAAGGATTCTCCTCGTCTGTTACGGGGGCAGCCCCTTACTCTAAGCTCTGGAGCAGGCTCTTGTAGACTGTACCACAGCCCTCCCCATCTTGGGGATGCACCTGTTCCTTTGTCCATCATCATCCCACAAGGCTCCTTGTGGACAGGGGCCATACTTGTCAATTCTGGTTCTGTCACTCTTTCCCCACCCAGAGTATGGGAGATGTTCAGAAAGCGTGTGCTGACCACAAAATGTTGAGAAGAAATTCCAACACAAGGCAGGAAGGGGGGGTCTGTGTAACCCCCAAAGCCTATGATTCAATAAAGTGGTTCACATATAAACTAAAGGTGATCTTACTGTCAAGCAATATCATTTCAGCATATTTTATACCTGGCTCCATCAACTGTGAGGCGGAATCAAAAGGGTCGAGGTAAGGGAAAAGCTTCTCGCCTGCCTCCGGAAGTGAAGCCGTCCTTCCAGGAACATAGAATATCAGGGGAACATGGGTAGCAACATCAAAATTGCTGTATTTGGCCCATTCTCCATGTTCACCTAGAGCCCACCCTAGTTCATAAAAAGCACAGAATGACAGAAAATGAATAATCATCATACCACAGCTTGTTTATTTTAGATACCATTTCATTTCCTGTTGTAAAAACCAGAGGAAGTAGAAACTCATCACCTAGAAGAAAAATATTCACTTGGAATTACCACAGAAAGGGTTATTTCAACTGAATGCTGCTTTATTCAAAATCAGGTATTTGTCCTCATGAGGAAACCTTTAAAAAAGAAAAAATAATTAAATTCCCAAACTCAAATATCTTAACAAACTACTAGCAACATATACCTAACGTAGGACTCTGTGGCGGTTCCCACACATGCGTTCCTCCCCTGCTAAGACATGCTCATTCTTGACAGGCTGGGAACCCTGAAAGCTGTAGTGTCACCACTGCCCTGTCCTGTGCCTACCTGTCTTTTGACTCATGCCCTACGAGGTCAGGTTTTCAGTTTGGGGTATGTGCCACCTAACAGTGAGCTGTGGAACTGCAACACACTCGGCAAATTCAAAAAAGACAAGGACATCTTCGTTGATTTTTAAGACATACCATAGATAGGGTAAACCAAAACCTCTCATTTCAGATCCTTAACCTCAATTAAAAACAACCCTTCATGCCTATTTAAAACATCCCTTGCAAAAGATGGTTTGAATATTCCAAGTTGGAAATACCCAGTCTTTTAAAGTTACAGCACCCTTTTTGATACAAAAAATGTGCATGACAGAAATTGTACAGTGAGTAGTGTTATAAAAATAACCAAACACACCAAAAGCTGCCACGGGTAAATTTGAGAAAGTGTTGAAATGTACCGCACAGCATGAGACCTTGCTGGCTCCGTCTAATAGATGACGCTGGGGCTGCAAATGATGTCCCAGCCTTCCAGGGCCTGTGGTCTCCAGAACAGGGCTGAAACCTGTTCTGAGTTGACAGTGCTTTCCCAAGGAGACCCCAAGTTGAGAGGACCCTCTTACCCACTCATCAATAATCAAAGCAGACTTGATGCCCATCAGAGATGCCCAATGATTCTGGTGAGCCGTTCCTCCCTCTGGCTGTCAGTACTGGGGAGTATGGTGGGGACTTTCAGATAGCTCAGTGGAGCTCAGAAAGAGAGGGAGTTCCCCCTGACACCCGCCCCAGTCAGTAAGCCCCGGGGCCTGAGGGGCATCCCCACTGCTCGACCTCTCCACTCTCTCGGGGAGGACGAGGCAGCCTTGACCCACGAGGGCTGATGAATGGGTAGGTTATCGGCAGGCTCCTAGGCCACCAGCTTAGAGGTCACATTGTCCCTTTTAGATTCAGTGTGGCGGGAATCTAAAAGGTCAAGGATCGAGAAGCCTGCAGGATGGCAACGTGAGGGAACCTGGCAGTGCGACCTCAGGAATCCACTCCCGGAACTCTGACTGGGGTGCCTGTGGAGGCTCTGAAGGTACAGCAGCCAGGCGCTCTGTGGCATTCTGAATACTGGCACGCAGCCTTCGGCCTCTGCCAGCTTTTGTGAGCTGCCCTGCACCAGGCAGAGGGGGCCCCCAGGCCTGGCACAGGGTCTGACACATGGCAAATGCTACAGAAATAGCTGTGGACCGCCTGACTGCAAGATCGTATTGAACATCTGGTGCCGGGCCTCAGCCTGTGCTGCTGCAGCCAGGAGCAAATACGGGGAAGTCTGGCTAAGGAGAACGCGTGCCTGTGTGGGCCCCAAGGATCCATCTCCAGATCAGGAGGAACAAGCCCGATGACCTTGACAGGCAGCTCAGGAGGTTTCTGGCTCCTGCCCCAGAGGCCCAAGATGAGGACGTGGCAACATAGGGAGGCCCAGGGAATGATGAGCTCAGGGAGAGGTGGCCAGACCACCTGAGACACCTGTTAAAGTGCACTTTCCCATGCCCAGAACTGCGAGCTCCTGAGACCAGTTGCAGAAACCAGCATGTTTTACTGGCTCCCAGGCGGTTCTGATGGAGGATGTCCCAGGAGGGGACTCTGAGATGGGCTATTTGTAATCTACGGCAACTGCCTCACAACAGAGTGTGTTCGTGGAGAAGAGGAAACTGGGCACCGAGGGCTCAGAAGCAGATGGCAGATAATCAGGAATATGTGAAAAATTATGGCACCTCCATATATAATAAAATATTACAGACATTTCTAAGGGAAAAGGTAGGCTTCTGAGAAATGACACAGAGATTGCCTATGACATTAAGTGTACAAAACCAGGGAACGTTAACAGTACACACAGAACAAGCAATCACATCTTGTGACATACATGTTACAAACATACACATGTATAACATATATCCCTGTGTGCATATGTGCACAACTGATGGCTGGCAGATGGATCCCTAATCCATTGTCATCTGTTAGCCCTGAGCAGGTGGGAGAAAAGGGCAGGATGTTCTGGCCCTGAATTACATGCTCTGTATCCTTTTTTCTTTTCATGATAAGCACATGTTATGATTTACTATTATCCTATTTCATATTTGATGATATGAAAATTATTTTCCTTTCTCTAAGTATAACAGTATTATGGTTATACTTCAAAAGAGGCAATATTTTTCAGAGACAGTGATCGGAAAATGGAACCATCTGGGATTTGCTTCGAAACAATTCAGAGATGGGGGAGTGGGTGAGGATGAGAGGAACAAGACTATGTGAGTGGGAAACGGGGGGAGCTGCTGTTTTATTCCCTGCTCTTGGAATGTTGAAGAATTTAAAAAATGCTTTTAAAAAGATAGTTTCATTTTTGGAAAAGTAGGAAACAGCCTTAGGGGGAGATAAAGACTTGAAAAGCCCAGGCTCTCGGCAGAGAAGACAGCGGGGATAGGGGTGGGAGGGCTGGAGCCAGGCGTGAAGAGCTTGCTGGGCTCTGCCAGGATTGTTCTGGATCCTCTCCACCCAAACTAAAAGTCCTCCAACCCTCCAGGTTAAAAATGGGGGTTACAAGAGCTCTGCCACACAAATGGAGGGTTCCTGCTGCATTCATCAAGAAAAAAAAAAAAGTTGCTGCAAGACCCTCCCCCACCCACCCACACCTATCCGTCAAGCATCTAAGACAGAGGTCTCAGGACTAACAAGCTGATCATAAAAATGCCCCAGGATCCCACTTTGTTTGTGAACCACTGGTTCACAAAAGAGAACACACCCATGTTTATGTCAATGGCAATTTTGCAAAGCATGTTTCACAGGAAAGTTCAGATGTTTTGACTCACCAGGGAATTTCAAAATGCTTACCATGATCCGAGGTAAATGCAATGATGGTGCTGTTGGCCAGCTGAAGATCGTCCAAAGCACTCAAGAGGCGGCCGACCTGTGTATCCAAATATGACACAGAGGCAAAGTAGCTCTGGCGGATTTTCCGCTGCAAATTGAAAAAAAATAAAAATGAGAGTGACTGCAATTTAAATTGCCAAGGCATACAGAGATAATGCTTGCCTGTGCATCTCTCCCAATCCCTACCCCTTAGTTGATGCCCTTAATGATTTTCTCAGCCAAAATGTAACACTCCTTTCCCTACCATCAGCATCACTTCACCCACAGAGTCACAGCAAAATCTGTAGGTCTACAAATAAGATACATTTCTAAGCAAATCAGATTTCACTTTAGGGCACAGATCACAGTGGATGAATGTGTCACCTACTGCTCTGTTGTTTTAAGCTGAAATGTATTGTCTCCTAGCTCTGGAGGCTAGAAGTCCAAGATCAAGGTGCTGGGAGGGCCATTCTCTCCCTGAAGGCTCTAAGTAGAAGAATCTTGCCTCTCCCTAGCTGGTGGTGGTGGCTGTCAGTCCCTGGCATTCCTCAGCTTGCAGCTGTATCACTGTGTCTCCATCTTCATGTGTTCTTCCCGTGTCTCTCTCCCCTCTTCTTAAAGGACACCGATCATATTGGATTAGGAGCCCACCTTACTCCAATATGACCTGATCTTAACTAATTACATCTGCAATAAACCTATTTCCAAATATGGTTACATTCAGCAGTACTGGGGGGTTAGGATGTCAACAGCCCTTTTCAGGGAAAAAAAAATTCATAATTTAACACATAACAGCAACCCTGACTGAGCCTTTCCCTCTGATCACTTGCTAACCCAACAGCAGATTACAACTGCATATCTTCATGAACTATGGCCGTTACGTGGAGCTCATTTCTAACAAACTGTCAGCAGGCAGGAGAAGAGCAAAGGAGATACCAGAGAGCAGCACGTCCTTCACAGTCCCTGAACCCAAGAGGCACTTTGGGAACAGCCAGATCATGCCCTGAAGTAAATGAGCCACCGGCCCCTCCTGGGCTGACTCTCATTCCCAACCTGGTTCACAAATGCTAAGGACAAAAATTAATCTTCCACCCCAAAGAGGGGTGAGAAGAGAGCCGTGTCTTCGCAGACCAGCCCCTGACTTATCAGCTGGACCCACCAGCTTCTTCTCATCACTGCCAGGGTGAGGACAATCATGAGACTCACCCGTTCTCACTTGCAGTCAAGAGAAAAGATATACATCTAGCCTTCCAGCAGGATTATGCTGAGCCCTGGCCTACTTATACTTTCTGGTAGATGAAGTCTTCAGTCTGAAACCTGTGGAACTTTGGTCCTCCTGGGGATGAAAGACACCTGTCAGGATGGCTATGTCCTATACAAAGGTATTCCCTCCTTCCTATGCTAGCCCCTGGACGTAAGGCAATAAGCAGACAAGGTCCTCACCCTTGATGAGCCACCCCATCCAGTGAGGACACAATCATGGAGACAAGAAAATGCTTAATTATCAGTGAGGCCTGCTGGGTCTGTCCTGCAGACCCTGGCCTATGGATGAAATGAGTACTCAGACACAGGTATGCAGCATAAGAGCAGCTAGGTTACTGCCTGGCTCTAGTGGCCAGAGAGCAGCCCCGAGAAGCTGGAGCTGCTGGCTTTTATTCAGTGCAGGCATAATGCCAAAAACCTAGAGCCAACCTGCAGGTAATTAACATTTATTGTTCCCCTTTCAGGGAACCTCACAAGCACAGACGATCAAAGGTCAGTTCCTGGTCAACATAAGTAAACAAGCCTGTTTAAGATAAATTCTCCCACACTCCCTTGTACCTACTCCTTGCCCTCTGCCTCAGGGTTATAGAACAGCTATTCTCCCCTGGGGCTCTGCAGAACCTTCTGACCTTTCAGAAGGTTTGCATCCTTTCCCTATAGTTTTTCCCACCACTCTGACCGATCCCCCACAGAGGCCCAGGGGTGACACAGGGGAATAAGCCCTCAAATCTGCCTGGGAGATTCAGGGAAGGCTTCACAGAGGAGTTAGAATTTGACAAGAAGCACCTGCAGTCAGACAAATGGGGCTCAGATGCTCCAAGCAGGGGCTGCAGGGCACGGAACAGTGTGGAGTTGTGACAGAGCAGGTTGCATTTGGGGCCAATGAAAGGCCCATGTGACTGGAGAATCAAATGGGAGGGCAGAGGGGTGACTAGAAAGTTAGGTCCGGGCCAGATAATATGGACCTGGTGGGTCTATCCAGGGAGTGGAGACTCCAAGTTCTAGGCCAATGGAGTCACTGAGGTCTTTCAAGGCGAGAAATTGACATGATCTGGGCTTCAAGTTATTAAGAGTCCTGTTGCAACAGGACACAGACACAGATTCCAGAGGCTTTAGACAAAATGGTACTAGGCCACTGCTGGGTACATAAGAGGTGCTCACTACACTTGCTGAATGAACAAAACAAAGCAAGGCCCACTGAGGTGGTCCAGAACAATGTGCTGAAGGATCCAGAGGACTGTGTGGATGTGAGAGGAATTCAGGGGCATCAAGCAGACATGGGGGCAGGGAGCAGAGGAGGAGGAGGTGTTGAGGAACCCAAGGGTGACTCCAGGTTTCACATTCAGCTGGTGGCATAATTCGCTGGCATTTGGGGGCAGGGGGCGCAAGAGGAGGAGGAGGAAGGAGAAAAGGCAGGGCAGGGGTGGTGGCCTGACCACGCGGAAGCCTATGGAGCTGAGGTCTCCAGGGTCATCTGCCTAGGAATGGCTCTCACAGGCAGGTCAACACACATATCTGAAAATCAGGAGAGACCTGGGCTGAAGGGGTAGTTCTGGAGTCATCTGCCAAGGCTCAACTGAGCCCAGCAGGGGAAGAAGAGGTGGAAAGGATATAGTGGGGGGCCTGGGAAGTGGCACCTAAGTGGCAGACACAGAAAGGATTGGGAGGCCAACAGTCCCAGAAGGGGTGGAGCTGGCCAACAGTGAGGAAGTGACACAGAGCTCAAGGAAGGTCAGGACCTACACAGATAGATTTTACTGGCCACCAAGGTCAGTGCTGAGGTGAGAGTTTAGTGGATTGGGGAGGTGGAAGCCTGTGTAGAGGATGGTGAAGAACAAATGGACAATGAGGCCACAGACACAGCCAGAACAGCCCAGTGTGCACTCGCTCTGCCTTGGAGGTCAGGTGAAGGAGTGGAAAGCAGAAACAGGCAGGGGCAAGGGGGCTGGCACTTTTGCAGCTGGGAGGGATGAGAGTGGATGGAGAGGCTGCAGGGTAGGTAGGTGAGAAGGAAGATCTTGCTCATTCTGCTTGCAGACGTGGGAAGCAGGGACAGTGGTGGGGAGTTGAGGGAAGAGGCCTCGAGCCCAGAACATGCATACACAAAATTCCAGGTCTCAGTGACAGAGATTATTAATAGAGCCCATTCAGCAAGTACACACTAGGTGGCATCTGATCCTGTGAACGGCACATTAAGGACTCCAAGACTCAGAAAGGTTAACTTGCCCAGAGTCACACAGCTGATAAGGGGCACAGCCAGGATGCGTACCCACATCCACCCTGTCCGATCCCCTACCTCTGGCTGTCCACCAGCTTCCATTTCTACAAGAGGAAAGGTGCTATCCACTGAGAAATGGGGCACAGGGGTGGCAAAGGCCTGGAGGGGAGCAGTGAAAGGGAGTAGAGAAGAGGTCATGCAAACGGAGCAGCTGCAGAGGACAAGTGAGGTGAGCTGAGCAGAGAGCTTGCCTGGGCTGCTGGGGCTGGAGGCGGGGCATCTGAGGGCCTCCCTGCTTCGTGGGGGCATGGATTTTCTCCAGCAGCTTTCAGGACTTGGACTACAGAGCAGAGGGTGTGGCTGGAGTGTCTGACGATAAAGGTACTGCAGGAGGGGCAAGGATAAATGGACAAGTATGGTGAGCTGGGCGGCTGGGAAGTACAGTAAGTCACCTGCCACCAGGCCTTAGCTATTTAGGGAAGCAACAAAGCCAACAGGACCTGGACACAAGGGGGAGATAGAAATCCATACTCTAGCAATCCCCGTGAGGTAGAGCAAGGGAAGTGCTAGGAGAAGAGGTTGTGGTCAGTATGGTGACTCGGAAGGAGCAGGCAACAAACTCCTGAGTGTGGCCCCTGAGGTCACTGGCTCATGTAGAGCTGAGTTAGAGGGCTGGAGCTGAAGAGATCCCAGAGCTGAGTCTCAAGGGTGCAGTGAGATGGGCTTGGATGCGGACATCCAAAGCTACAAGAGGACAGTGAGCAGGCCAGAGTTCAAGGGGAACACAGGGCTGAGACCAGCACATGCAGGCATCAGGGAGGCCCTCTGAGTCATGCTGTCCACTGTGTGTAAGGAGGGGACTAAGAGAACTTGAAGGAGATAGCTCCGTGCAGCCGACACGGTCCTAGATACTTCTACATGCTCTCTTTGGTTCTTGCTGAAAATCTCTAAAGTAGGTGTTATCATGGAAAAACTTTACCTACCTTGTTTCAGTTTTATAGAGAAGAAAACTCAGGGAGGCTCAGGGAGGTAACATGACTTGACAGAGGTTAGGCAGCTGGTATGAGGTAGAACATGAATTCGAACCCACACTGCTGGGAACCAACAGATCCAACCATGGGGCTTTGGAGTTACAGTCCCTGGGGATGAATTGGCTCCACCCAGCACTAATTTTGTGCTGTCAGACAAGTCAGCACACCTCCCATGCCTTGAGTTTCCTCACCTAGACAACAGAGAGCAGGTACCTCACTAAGTCCCCATGAGGACTAAAGGCGATACCACACATGAATCAGCGCCCTTCCTGGCACACAGTCCATTTTGAAGGGTCATTTTAAGTGACCATCACTAATAAAGCATCCAGGTGCAGCCTCAGAGCCAGTTCAAGCCACTTCACCATCAGGAGCCCAGAAACACAAAATTAGAAAACAAACAGATGGATGCATTGCTTTCCAAACTCTCAGTGAAACAGGAATCAAATACATTTGAGGAATGTACACCTCTCACCAACCAAACTCTTGTTGTGCAAACTCAGGGGCCAAGTAAGTTTGGATAGCAAGGGATATCTGTATGCAGTGGTTTTGTTCTGTGTTTGCTTTAAACAATACTCTACAGCAGAGGCTCTCAAACTTCTGATGAATCAGAATCACCTGGTGTGCTTTTTTTTTTTTTTTTTAAGAAATGTCGGTTGTCAGGTCAAGTTCCACCTCCAGCTTCCAATTGTGTAAATCTGAGTGGGCCAAGACTTTGCATTTCCAACAAGCCCTCCCAGAAATTCTAAGGCAGGTAGTCCAGGATGCACACTTTGAAAACACTGCCATCTTCCATCCGCTATAGCTTGCCTGCCACAGCATTCATGTGGTAAGAGAAGGGCAGGGTTCTGTGTGGAATATTCCAGAAAGAGCATTAGTCAATGTGTATTCTGCTCTCCAGGGAGAAAGGGTGACTGATGAGTCAGTGTGAGGATTCTAATTGTGTGGTTGCTCCGCCCCTAAATCATGGCAAAGGAATGCCGGACATCACAGCTGGGTGGCACTGGCCATGATGGTGTCCCAGTTCCCTCTGCACCAAGGGCCTGTTCACCAAGCCACCCCCTGAGAGTGACAGCTAGCCAGGATGGGCTTTCCCACAGAGGGAACCTGCAAGTACCAGCAAACCAAGCATTCTGGGCTGCTCGGGAGTTGCCCATCACTCTACAATTAATGAGCTGTCACCTGAACAGTATCCCCTGGGTTAGGAACGGTCACCCAGGCTGGTTCCCCACCTCTGTGTCCACACACAACAAGTCACCAACTCTCTGGACATTCCCTTCTTTAGAAAGTAAGACACTGGTTGGGAGAGTCCTGATCCAGGCAACACTGCCTGTGTCCTAAATACCTATAGGACACCTCCACCCCAGCACTTTGCCTGATAACTCACACAAAGAAAGCTCTTAATAAGACATTATAGGTGGAGTTGTGTCTACTGAGAAGAGTGGTTTCACCTACGACACTATGTCATCAGTGTCCAATACATCCCCAAACTATGTCCTTGATACCTGAAAGTCCACAGGAATTGGACCATACGGCACACTGATGTTTAAGGCTTGGACGTCTTCCCGTTGCCTGATGTCCATCCAGGGGTTGTAGGCCACAGGGGGTAGGCCATCAGGGACCTCGGGATCGGGGGCCAGGGTGATGTTCTCCAAGGGATACAACTTCTGAAATTCCTTGGGGAAAAACACAAAGCCACAAAGTTGTCACTCTTTTAGCAAAAGCACAAGCTTGTGGCTCTATCACTGTCTATACTGCCTTTTCTCTAAGCCTGGGATGCATTTGAGTGGTGGCTCACTAGCATTCCCCACGTGCTCGGCCCTGACCTGGAAGTCCAGCCTTAAGTTACTCTCATGAGATGCCAATGGCAATGAAATCATACGACTTCTGTTTCCTACAAACTGAGCAGCAACAACTCTCTTCCTTCATACAAACAGACGCCCTTCTGTTCCTGTCCCCACCTCCTGCCTGGCTAGAAAAGTGTGGTGAGGTGTTGGGTTCCCAAAACCACCCTCAGGTTCAGCAATTCACTAGGGGAACTCATAGGATTCAGCATTTAGTCTCACTCACAGCTATGACTTATTACAGTGAAACACACTCAGCAAAGAAAAAAGGCACATGAGGCAAAGTCTAGAGGAAACTAGGCACAAGCTTCAAGTCCTCTTCCAGGGAAGTCACATAGGATACTTACTTCTCCCAGCAACGAGTTGTGTGACAATACATGTGAAATGCTGCTAACTAGGGAAGCTCATTAAAGCCTCATTATCCAGTTTTTATTTGGGGCTGGTCAGGTAGGTACTATCTGTCTGGAACATATCAAAATTCCAGGCTCCCAGAAAAAAAAAAACAAACCCAGGGGTTTATCATCAACCATAATGTTTGTCTAAACGGTTTAAGCATAGTAAGCCAATTCTGGGAATAGTGAGAACACTTCAGAAATCAAAGTTCCCAGATGCCAGCCAAGGGCTAGACTTATAAGCAGGCCTTTCAAAGAATCACAGCCAGGCCAGCTTTGTTAACTGTTTTCTGCAAAGAGGCAGGAGAGGTGAACCTCACAGCCTTCTTCTATCAAGGGGGCTGACAGCTCCTACTAGGAAAGCAAGATCCCCTGGGCCAATCAAAGCAAGATACCTGCAACATCAAAGAGCATACTGCTGGTCTCTACTCTCATTACATGTGAGGGGCATTCTCTGCAAAGTCAAAAGGATGGGATGCTCAGGCCCTCATAAAACATGATAGGGAAAAATGGAAAAGGATTCTAAAACAGAAAAGACTACATGCTCTAAATGACATACAAGCAAGTACAGGATTTGAGGTTCCAAGAAGCAATGCAGTGCTTTGTGTTTAGATGATCTAACCTGACAGGCTCAGGGGGAACAGGCAGTTTTTGAAGAGAGTTTCACATTCCCTGGGGCTGTTTTGGAAGGGCCATCCCTTATTACAGGCTTTGGCAGCCAGCTCTGATTCACTACTCTGTGGTGATCTCACCATCCAACCCAACATCTGCTCAATAAGTTCAAGGAAAGGAAATCAAACCCTCCAGTGGAGTGAAGCGGAAAGCCAAGCATTTCTTACAAGATTCTTACATGTTCTTGGCCTTGACCTCTAAATCCCATCTTTACTCCACTGAGGACACTAGTGCCCATCAGGCAACCATGGTGCCTGGCGATGGCAGGATGTAGCCACCTTCCCTGTGCAAATCCCTCCCTCAACAAACAACACAGCTGTCACAGCTGTGCTGGATCAGCCCTCAACCAGCTCTTCACCTTGGGGTATCTGAAGGGGATGTGTGGCTTATGATACCCAACGGCCAGGAAGAAAGGACTGGCTGACGTTTTCATCTTTTCCAACAACTGTATGGCTTGCTCAGTGCTCTGTTTGTCAGGCAAGGTGCCCTCGGGAACATCCAGCACATCCACAGGGCAAAGCAGGTTGGCATGGAGTTCTCCATCTGGCCCTCGACATGTCTTTCAAAACAAAATAATATAACATCAGCTTTTTAAGTGCAAGAAATGAAGCCATGAAGGCTACACACACAGATTTAATGTTCACATAATCAGCCCTTCACGTGTTAGTCACTCAGACTGAACAGAGACATCAGAAGTAGAACTAAGACAGAAAAGGTGTTTCTTGTTTTCCAGGCAGGGGCCAGAAATCCACTAGCACTTGGTTTCTTGCTACTAATACTCTTTCTCCAGATCATAACTAATTAAAAGAAACCCCGATAGACTAATTATAAAAAAAAATCCATCTCTAATTCAACAATTAAAAAATGCCAATTAAAAATGGGCAAAGGATTTGGATAGACATTTCTCCAAAGATGATATACAAATGGCCAATTGAACATGGAAATGTGGCTAACATCATTAGTCATTAGGGAAATGCAAATCAAAACCACTTCACACCCAAAAGGATGGTTATAATTTTTTAAGATGGAAAATAACAAGTGTTGACGAGGATGCAGAAAAATTAGAACCCTCTCACATTGCTGGTGGGAATGTAAAATAGTGCAGCCACTTTGAAAGCCAGTCTGGCAATTCCTCAAACAGTTAAACATAGTTATTATACCCAAAAAAATTAAAAACATATGCCCATAAAAACACTTGTACAAAAATGTCGAGGGCAGCATTATTCCTAATAGTCAAAAGTAGAAACAACCCAAATATCCATCAAGTGATGAACTGATAAACAAAATGTGGTACAATAGACAATTATGCAGCCATAAAAAGGAATGAAAGGCTGGGTGCGGTGGCTCACACCTCTAATCCCAGCACTCTGGGAGATGAGTGGATTGCCTGAGGTAAGGAGTTCGAGACCAGCCTGACCAACATGGTGAAACCCCGTCTCTACTAAAAATACAAACATTAGCTGGGTGTGGTGGTGGGCACCTGTAATCCCAGCTACTCGGAAGGCTGAGGCAGGAGAATCATCGCTTGAACCTGGGAGGTGGAGGCTACAGTGAGCTGAGATTGCGCCATTGCACTCCAGCCTGGGTGACAAGAGTGAAACTCCATCTCAAAAAAAAAAAAAAAAAGGAATGAAGTACCAATTTATACTGTTATGTGGCTGAACCTCAAAAACATTATTCTAAGTGAAAGAAGCCAGAAACAAATGGCTACATAGTGTATGACTCTATTTATACCAAATGGACAAAATAGGCAAATCCATGGAGACCAAAAATAGTTCAGTTGTTGTCCCACGCTGGGTGCTGAGACAAAATGAGGAACGACTGGTAATGGGTACAGGGTTTCTTTTGAGAGCGATAAAAATGATCTAAGATCGATTTGGGTGATGGCTGCATAGCTCCGTGAGTATGCTAAAAACCATTAAATTATATACTTCAAAAGGGAGAGTTTTATGGTATATGAACTCTATTTTAATTAAAAATTTAAAAAGAAAAAAAAAACCCATTTCAAATTTCAAAGACAGGCTAAGGCTTGTAAGTGACAGGGTCCCAATCAACTTGATAAGGTGACAGTCCATGGAATTTCCAGAACTTCAGCTACACTAGGCACAGAATGAAACCTCCTGCTTTGCTTCCTAAAGTAGACATGCTGGCCGTGAGACCAAAGTTAGTTCTGACCATGATTTGTATACCACAAAGACCGAGGGGCTGTGTCAGCTGCTGTTCCATCTCAAAGAGTGTTGCCTTTTCACAGCCCTGCCTTGCTCACCCCACCCTTGGGCAGGACAGCCCAGCACCCGCCTCAGACCACTTGTTCATCATCTATATATACACGATTTGCAGCACTCGAGGGAGATTTAGTATTGTCAGACCCACCACTTTGAGAAGAAATGGGTAGGGGGCAGTTAGGGCAGGGACCTGGCATTCGTAAGTGAGGCCACTAAAAAGAAGCAAGATGGCTTCAGGGAATTAAGATGGGATCTTCCCTATTCAAGCCACAAGCCAAAGGCCAGAGCTCACAGTTTTCACTGTATTCTGAAATGGAAAGCTGTCAAGAACTTAGAACAATACCTTCCACCTCACTTCCAAATCCTCACCCTTCCCAACACGATGTTTACTAAAACCTCAGAGATACATTTCATGTCTCAGTTCCCTAGCTGGTTTTCTGAGTTTCTTAAATGTGGGTTTTAGTTTCATTTATACATTTGGGATTCCTCTAAACCAAGATTTTCTTTGTAGGTTACTTTTTTTCATAATGCTCTAAAAATTCAAAACCCCTATCAGAGGTCTCAGCTGCTGAACATACACATTAGGTCAGAGACAGATACACGGCATGCCTTTCTCCCATTCTGGGCTGAGGCTCCTGGAGCTCAGCCTCTTTTCTCCCTCCCATGTCTCAGCATCTCCTACAACTCTCAGTCTCATCCAGCGTGAGCACTGGGGAGCTATTCAATGAGTCTGACACGTTAGAGCCCAAGGTTTTAGAACAAGTAGCACCCACCAGCTTCTAGAATGAAGCCACTGCTCCTGTCGGGCCTAATGCTGAAGATCCCAACACTTACTTCTGTCAAAACATTATCACAAATGAAACCCACAACTTCGTGGTATATAACCAGCTTCACAGAACATGCAGTATACCCAGTAGTTTATGTGACAAAGGAAAAAGTGGTTCCTCTTCAGAAATGTCCCTTTCACAGCCTTACCTTAGTGTTTTCATACTTCTCAGAGGAAGGATGATAAGGTGGAAAAGACCAGCTATACGGAGAATCATCGGTATGGTTAGAAGATATCCCTTGGAAAAAAAAAAAGGTTGTTAAAACATGATGAGTCTTTCAACACCCCACTCCCCATAATTAAAACTCTGTAAACAAATGGGCAAGTGGAACCTCCCTTCTTTGGGGCTCAGTTTCCTCATCTACAAAAGGTCCCCTCTAAAGCCAAACTCTCTAGTTTCTATTTGAGAACTAAGCATCTGACTTCCTGGTCCCTAAGCCCTGATGATTTGTGCTAGGCTCTGTGGAAGGGACCCACAAGGACAAGATCAGTCAGCTCCTTAGAGCCCATGCTGAAACCTATCTCTCACCCTATGAAGGAGGCAGCAGAGGCATCAGCACCATCAGGGAGCCGATGGGGGCAGGAGAGGGAGGCTCAGGGAAGGTATGTGACTTACCTATGCTAACCAGATATTAGATAAGGGAGCCAGGACTCAAAACCTTGTTTTAGAATTCCAAGTTCAAGTGCTCATTCATGAAGCAGAAACCCACCCTTAAGCTTAGTAGTTTATAGTTTATTTGTGAAGACAGTATAACAGCACTGGAAACCAAGGAAGGACTTCCAGCTTTCAAAAGCATCGAAGTGCCAAGTGGGGGATCCTCCAAGCACAGAGGTTATTGTGAGTCAGGTGAGGACTGGCAGGGAGGACTTCTAGGAGCCAGTGAGGCCTGTGAGGGATCTGAAGGGAAGTGCTGCCTATAGTGGTTAGCTGGGAGTGGAGGGGATCACAGGCAGAACCTCGTGAGAAAGCATCAGCAGCAGTCACACAGTGGGACTCCCATAGGGAGTACCAGAAGAGACAGGAATGGAGAGAAAGAGGGCAGCGGGTGGAGGGCCTATGAAGACAGCAAGCACTGTGGAAAGAGCACACAGGAAGCCAACAACCACAGGTCCAAATCCTGATGCTGCCTCTTAGCATCCTTGCAACCTCTGGCAAGCTACTTGACTCCCATGAGCCTTCATGTCTTCCTTGGGAAATGATGATGATGATAAAAACCCACCTTGCTTGCTGTTGGGAGGATTAAAGGAGTGGCCAGCATGGTAAACGGTACATACCTGGCACACAGTGGTGGCTACTGTCATCTTGAAGCAGGCCCAATGCTAACAGAAAAAGGTCTTGAGAACAAAGATTCAGCTGAAAAATGTGTTCCCACAAGGGCTGCAGGGAAAGGTTTATTCTCTGAGAAGGACATGGTGCTTAGAGCCTGGTGCCAAAATCCAATCATCAGGAGGGAGGAGGTCAAGCAACATCACTCAGTCCTTGCCTGGTTTCCCCTCCCAAAGCACAATCTCCTCCCTCTGCTGTGTTTCCTCCTCTCTCCAAAATCATCACTTCCCTCCAGCTGCATTTGGGCAAGGGGTATGGTAATGAGAACACCAAACTGCAGAAAGTTCTCCTGACACTGGACTTTTGGCTGTGCAATATGATTCCTGACAGGTTCACCTCTGAAACTGGCCTGACTTAGTAGAGCTGAATGTCACTCTCAACCTGGGCTGGCCAGCTGAGCTCCTGCAGAAGGCTGCCAAGCCTGCCGGTGTAACCACTGAGCAAAGGGAAAGAGACTGAAAACATTCGTCATTCCCAAATGATAAGCATTATTGTCCCTATGGTGCTCTTGTCTTCCAATACTTTTTTCTCCATTTTTTTTCTCAAATACTCATGCATTACTTCTATAAATAAAAAGTTTTAAAGTTTGTTTGCTTTTCACTATCCCCATATTGGCATTAAAGAGAGCCAGTTTATCAGGCAGCATTTGAGGTAAGGAATGTCCGTCTCTGGGACCCTATAGATCCTGGGTACCAGATTACACTCATCTTTCTGACTTAATTTCCAGAGTGGATAGCAGCCCCTACCTAAGCACAGCCCCCTCATTGGGCAATAAGTCAGCAACAGCAATGCTGGCCACACGGGAGGCCCTCAGGTGTCCTCACCCCACCCCTAGGTTTACTGACAGGTACCCTGCAGGGGAGAGGGTGGGGCCCTGAGCTGGACTCCACCCAACACTGCCACCTCCCCAGCCTGTGTCCTCCCTACCACCCGAGGAGCTGAAAGACCCAACAGCACACCCTCAGTGGTTTCTGAAAGGAAGCAAAGCTCTTTCTACCCTTTTTCACTTTGGGTGAAAACGTGGCTGGGTTGACAAGTCAGTTTTTTAGAAAGGAAGCACTGACTAGCGAGGGACTCGCCCAGCCAGAAGAGGGCTCTGCAAAGACAGCCCCATCCCCAGGATGGGAATGCTGGATTCAGACACCACAAACCAAGAGAACCCAGACTCTGGACATGGAGCAGTACCAGGGTGAAAGACTTTTCCCACCGACATGGTCACATAGCCATTCTCCTTGAAGTACTGGGGGATGGTGGAGAAGTTTCCAGCGTGCACCCTCCAGTAGGAGTTGAAGTCGTACAGGCGGGTGGTGTCAGGTCTCCTGCCAGTGAGGAAAGAAACGCGGCTCGGGGCGCACACTGCTTGCTGTTAGGGAGCAGAAGCAGAGGTAAGCATCGCCACAGCAAAACATGTCTGCCATCTCTTAGGTAACCAAGCAACCGCCCTCCCGAGGCTCCTAGCAAACAGCTTGGTAGCTGAGTCATG
This sequence comes from Homo sapiens, assembly GCF_000001405.40. NCBI lineage: Eukaryota > Metazoa > Chordata > Mammalia > Primates > Hominidae > Homo > Homo sapiens. The sequence continues at coordinate 149,503,610 of NC_000023.11, forward strand.
CAGAGCTCAAACCAGACACTGGGATTTGGGTGTCACCTAGGCAACAGACTGCTTCCGGGAGAGAAAAGGGAAGCAATCAGCCCCTGAAACCAGCAGATGCTTATCTCCTCCTACGCAATGGCCTCCCCAGGCACACAGAGCGGCCAGTGTTGCTGGGGGCAGAGCCATGAGGGGGTTCAGGGAGCAGGGCCACCCTGGCTAGCTCTCACCTGAGGCCCAGCCTGCAGACCTGTGGGTGCCCTTCTGCAGCACCCCTTCCTTCTGAGCACCAGGCAAGCGCCCGTTCTGGGAGAAAGCTGGCCAGGGCTGCCATGAACACATCAGGGCCAGGGCGCACCTTGCACCCAAGGAGAAGGCCACCCTTGAAGGTCAAGCTTTCCCATGAGTGGAAAACCAGATTTTCTCCACTACCATTTTCCAGACTATGCTTCCCTCTAACAAGATGTCCCGCACAATCTGTGCCATCTGACAATAGCTGAAGCTCCCCGCCCCCAACCCTCAGTGCACGAAGCAGCACACACCCACAGCTAGAGGTTCCCAGACATACCTGCGCAAAGGCATTCTGGAAGAGGAGGCTGTGGGATGCCAGTTGGTCAATATTTGGGGACCTCACCAGCTTATCCCCATAACAGCCCAGGGAGGGGCGCAGGTCATCCACGATGATGAGAAGAACGTTCAGAGCATCTACACAGGAGGGAGGGGCTTTGGTGAGGTAACCTGCACTGACACTGAACCCTCCCTCATGGTAGGTGCTAGGTTACTAAGAGGCCCAAGGCTGGACCCTGCACCTTAACAGCCTAGCCAGGGAGGGCGCTGTGCCTCAGCAAGGGTGGGAGTGGGGCTCGAGGAGGAAGCCTGAGTCCTGGGTGGCAGGGTTAGGCTTTGGTCATGGCCTCCAACCTGGGTGAGGAAGCGAGATAGTGAGTGAAAGATGGTGGAAAGGAAAGATGAATTTAGGAAAAAAAGAGAATGATGTATGCAGGAAAGGACAGATGGTTGGATGGAGGAAGATAAGGAGGAAAAGATGAATAGCTGAAGGGAAGAAAGGATGGAGAGAAGGAGGGGAGAAGAGAGAGAAATATGAATGGATAGAAGGTAAAAGGGACGGATGGACCAATGGAGGGAGGAAAGGAGGGGGAAAGATGGATGGATAGAGATGGGAAAGATGGGGGGAAAGAGGAAGGGAAGCACGGAGGGATAGGAGATGGATGGATGAATAGATGGAAAGAGGGAAGGGAGGGATGAAGGGACGGTAGGAAGGAGTGAAAAATGGAGGGAGGGAACGAATGATGGATGAAAGAAGGAATGGTAGGAGAGAGGAAGGGTAAAAAGAATGGATATAAACAAAGAAGGAAGGAAAGAAGGAAGGAGGAAGGAAGGGAGGGAGGAAGGGAGAAGAGATGGCAGGGAGGGCGTGGGCGGCACCTGTGGTCGAGTTGGCCTGCGTTTCGGATCCGAGGGCGACGCAGACGGAGCTCAGAACCAGACCCAGCCAGAGAAGGCCTCGGCCGGTCCGGGGTGGCGGCATTTCGGCTTCGACGCGGCCGCTTCAGAGCGGCGGGGACAGGCTGCAGCAGGTGGCGCAGTTAGCAGCCGCCGCCGCAGCCACAGAGACCTCCTCGTCGGGAACCCATGAAGACTGCGCAACACAGCCGCCGCCCGGGCCCGCAGGCCCGGGCGCTGGCCGCAGCGCGAGTGCGTCCGTGCGACTCTTCCCTGCGTCCCTCCCCTCCGGGGCGGGTTCTAGAGGTGCGCGTCATCCTGCAGCAATAGGCGTGGCCGAGAGACAGGCGCAGAGCGGGGGCGGGCCAGTTGCCTTGCAAGCTTCGCAGACCCAGCGGCCCGCAGGCCCCTAGGTGTAGAACTGCTAGGGGTATAGCGATTCAGCCACTGCCCTTAACAACTAGCAGTTACCCGTCTTTTTGCCTTTGCTTGTGCTATGCCTTTCACCTGGAAGCCCTGCCCTTCCTTCTTTTTATAAAAGACACACTTCTTGTAAGCCAGCCTCAATGCCATTCTCCTTCCATGAGGCCTTTTGAGAAAGTCCCTTCCTCCATCTAAAGGGACTCCCTTTCCTATTCATTTCTTCAACTAATTCTTATTAAGTATCGCAAATATGTATACCAGGCGCTGTTGGTGGCACTGGGGCTCTATGTCCCTGCTTTGGTGGAGCTTAAAACAATAAAAAAATATAGAGAGTGTCGGTGGGCATACCCGGTCTGGAGAAAAATAAAGCGTGGGTGCGGGGCATGCTTGTTATTTTCTATGGGGTGGCCAGGCAGGGCCTCACTAGTGAAGTGGCATTTGAACAAAATTTTGAAGCAAGTGAGGGAGCAAGCCGCATTGAGGTCTGCAAGAAGGGTGCGCCAAACAGAGAGAGCAGCAATTGTGGGGAGATGGAATCCTAGCCCTACACTGTACTGTACTGAATACTATTATACCGTCCTAATACTGCAAACACAGTTTGATTTTCAACTTTGAGAATCAATCTATAACAAAGCCCAGATGACTTAATTATGACTAAACAACAATGGACAATGGGAAGGTACAAATACAGCTGTGATGGTGCTGTGGTGCACTGCTCAGATCTCCCTTCAACACCAAAAATTTTATTTCCCTAGCTGGCTTGAGAGCTGTTAGCTGTCGTTAGCCCTCATCAGAAATTGTCTTAGAAAAAGATAGGTACCTCAGCCAAGGTCACCCCTGTTCTCAGGAAGCCCACATCAGTGATTCAACTTGAAGGTACAAAGGTGCAGCCCCTTACCCCAACTTGGGACATCTCTGAAAGGCCATTTCAGCTTCAGAGCTCCCTGTGGGGTTAACTGAAGCCTTTTTTGAGACTGCCCACTTTCTCTGTCTGTTGAATTTTGATTTCTTCCCTCCCCTCCCCTTCTACAGGTGTTGATCCTAAGAGTACTCCCTAAGAAACTTCCTGCACATTACTCTACATCTTAGTCAGCTTCCTTGGGAACCTGGCCTGCAGCAACAGTTGACAAAAAGCTGGGAGGAGGAAGGGAGATGGCAGGAAATGTAGGCACATTAATTTAGGGTTAGCAATTTAGGATTGTCTCCTTTGCCCCAGCCTATCGCAAAAAAATAATAATAATAATAATAATAAATCAATAGTCGCTGTCCCCAGTTCATAGAAAGAGAAATACAGATTTAGGGATATTACTTAAAGATACAAAAGTAAACAATAGAAAACTTAAAAATGGCAATAAATCTATATAGTAAAAGGAGAAGGGAAAATGGCAGGGAGAGATGAAACAAAATTTGTCATGAGTTGATAACCAATGAAGTTCATTGATGAACACCTGGGGTTTATTATACTATTTTCTGTAATCTTGTATAGGTTTGATCAATTTCCAAAATCCAAGGTTAAAAATATGTACATAAAAAGAGGAATGGATAAGTGATCTCATCTATCATAGGAAGAAGTCAGCAATGTCTAAAGTTGAAAACATTAGAAAGTTGATATAGAAATAGCATAGTATTTAGAAAGACAGGGACAATCTACTAGAAGAAATGAAAGTAGAAACATTTAAAATGAGAACAGAAGAGGGAAGGTGCAGGGCAGAGGGCCTTTGCTTTGTATGGTATGTCTTTTGGTCCTTTTTGACTTAGGTGTTAGTGTCCTCCCCCCAAAAATTGTATGTTGGAGTCCTAACACCCAGTACCTCAGAATGTGATCTTATTTGGAAACAGGGTCTTTAACAGGGTAATCAAGTTAAAAGGAGGTAATTGGGTTGGGCCCTAATCCAATATGACTGGGGTCCTTATCAAAAGAAAAAATTTGGACACAGACACAAACACATAGAGAGAAGACATCCATGTGAAGACAATGGATTGAAGTGATGCATCTACAAGCCAGTGGATGCCAATGATTGCCAGCAAACCACAAGAAGCTAGGAAGAGGCAAGGAAGCATTCTTCTTCTATAGGTTTCAGGGGGTGCATGGTCCTGCTGGCACCTTGATTTAAGACTTCTGGCCTCCAAAACTGTAAGACAATGCATTTCTGTTGTTCTAAGCCATGTAATTTGTAGTACTTTGTTACAGCAGCCCTAGAAAACTAACACTACCTATAAACAATTCAAAATTTAACAAGATTGATTGTCTCAGCTGGGATAGAAAATTATATATGCCACTTGGCACAATTGTGTGTGTTTGTTTTTGTTGTTTGTTTGCTCTGGTGTAAGCTCGAGGTTTTGCTGGGGCTCATAGCAGCAGAAGGACAAGAGTGGGAGCAAGTGGAGAGAGCCAGTAAGAGAGCAGTTCAGGTGGCTGACAGTGGTTAAGAAGACTGGTGGACTGGGGACAAACAAAGATCTAGGAGATGGGTGAGGATATAGAGAGGCAGCAAGGGTGTGAGAGTACTGGTTTTAGTCCCAGAATGAGACCCTGAAATTTAAGATTTCTGAGGTAAAACAGATCCTGGTGATTTAAAGGTCAAGGATGTGGCCTTGAAGCTGGGAGGCTGAGGTGGGGGGGAAGAGATTGCTAGAGGTTAGAGATGAGGAAGAAGTCAAGGGTCTGTGAGTGGCACAGGCTGCTGATGAATACACTGCAGTCCCCCAGAATGATGACAGGACACAGGGTACCAAGGTCACCTGTGAGCCTGGTACCTGAGTCTTCAGTGAATGAGGGATAAGGGCCAATCAATGCTATGTAACAAATGACCACAAGCTTAGTGGCTGTAAACACTACTCATTTGTCACCTCCTACTTTCTGTGGGTCAGAAATCCAGGCACAGCTAAGCTGGGTCTTAGGTTCAGGGTCTCAAAAGGCTGCAGTGAAGGACTACATTCTCACTTAAAGCTCGGGATTGTGGATAGCACAATCCACAGGTGCTCAAGTCCTTTATATAAGATGGTGCAGTGTTTACATATAACATACATACACATCCTCCCGTATACTTTACATTACCTCTAGATTACTTATAATCCCTAATACAATGTAAGTGCCATGTAAATAGTTATTATACTGCATTATTTATGAAATAATGACAAGGGAAAAAAGTCTGTACATGTTCACTGCAGAGACAACCACCCATCTTTTTCAAATTCAACAGGTGGTTGAATCCACAGATGTGGAACACATGGATAAGGAGGCTGATTGTAGTACATTCTACCCATACACAAGGGGTCACATACACTAGGAGGCAGGAAACTTGGGGGCCATCTAGAATGGCATCTACCACAAAAGAGCCCTATCTTGAGTCTCAACTCCAACAGATAACAGAAAATTTAATCTAGTCAATTCCACATTTTCCCAGTTACTTCGGGATTGTCTTACTAATTACCAATTATTGTTATCAAGCAATTTAGGATTGTCTCCTTTGCCCCAGCCTATCACCTAAATTCTGTGAGACTCTTAAATTCGGAGAGAGAGAGCAAGAGAGAAGAGAATCTGCTTGTTGTCAATGGCAACCTGTCCATGCCAGCATCCACTCCCAATGTACAATCCCATCCAGCGCTCAGAGATGGCATACCTTCATGCTGTCTTCCAATGTGGTGTCGTCATTCTAACCTGGTTCCTAGCTGCACAGTCCATGCCATTTTCTATGTGACATTTTTTGGAGACGTGCTCTCCCTCTCGCTCTCTCTCTCCCCCTCTCCCTCTCCCTCTCTCCCTCTTTCTCTTTCCCTCTTTCTCTCTCCCTCCCTCTCTTACCTCCTTGGAGGCACGGGAAAATTCAACTGCTTTCCCATGCCACTTTAGTGTCACAGGAAGCTCAGGGGACTGCTCCAGACACTTCTGCAGCTAAGATATGTGGATTTGGTGTGAGAGGAGTTCTAGGACTCTGGACCTTCTAGGGTACCATACAGCAAAGGGAGTCCCCTTGCTCTTGGACTTCTACCCTACCCCCGCCTTTGAGCCTAACTCCAGGAGGAGGGGACAATGCACACTGGCAAATTGGTATATAGTCCCACACAATGGTAGGATGAGGATTCAGGGGAGAATTCAAGATTTGTCTCTCATTCCAGATCCAGGGATCCTTGGATGGGCACCCCTCAAGGGCAGGCTCTGCCCTGTCCATTTACTACTGTATCCCAGGGGCTAGTACCTTCGTGGGGTTTCAAGGGCTCGGGATGAGAACCATGATGAGAACTACCTGGATGAGGAAAGGGAGTGTCCCAGGCTGTCCTCAGCCCAATGCCAGTGAGGGCTCTCTCCCCTGCAGAGTCATAGGGAGGGCCCTGGGCTCTGTAGGCACGTGAAATGGTGTTCCAAGGAGGAGTCTAACGTGGGCTGTGAATGTTACCCAAATGCGCTGGGCACGGAGGGCACTGTTCCCAGAAGAGACTATCTCAAGGTGCGTGAGGCAACGTGCTAGAACTCTGCTCTCAATCTGAACTCTGGAGAGTATAGATGGTCATCCATAGGCATCTAGTTCCGTAGCCAGGTCTGTGCTACCCTGAGGACTAAGGTGCAGCAGTAGCAGCCCTAGGCTCCCTGGGGTTCCAGAGGAGTGAAAGTGAATGGCAACACAGCCAGAATCTGATTCTGTTTTACTTCCCAGGAAGAAGTGAAGCCGCATGGAGCATGAGGGGGCAGCCAAGGGGCTGGGCATCACAGAAGCCCTGACATTTGCTGGGCTCCTACCCTGCATCACATACTATATCAAAAACTTTAGGAGCTGAGATATTCTCTCACAATGGAAGAGGTTAGTCTCAGTCCCGTTTGCCTGTGGACATCTTGCATCGTCCTCTGAACAATCTTTCCCTTCCTTCCTCTTCTTTCCAGTTCTCGTCCCACCGTCTTCCCTCTCTTCTTTTCTTTTTTTTTCTCCCCTCAAGCCCAAGACTTTCCTGTCATGCCAGGCAATGATTCAGCCACTTCAGTTCTGGGTGGATGGATAGGCAGGGCTTAGAGCAGGCAACCCTCATGCTGTCAAAGCCAAAAAGTAGAGGAATTATAAAAGCCTCCACCAGGGGTTGCCTAAGCTCTGGTGTTTTGCCCCCACTACTTTAAAGGCGATTCGTTTAAAACAAAACAAAACGAAAAACAACAACTTACTTTGTAAAGCATAAGCTTAAAATAAGAAAAACAGAAGTGCCTAATCAGATCTTTGGAAGTATTGCATTGCACTGTCACTGAGTGATGTATGACTGGCTGTCTTTCTGTTTGGACTGCATTCATCTGAATGGAGTGGGTACATTGGCTACCGCCTTTTCTCCTGGTTTTCGCTGTTTCTCTTTGATCTAGAAACGATTTATTCTTACTCCCCCAGATTTCTTTATAAAAAGCCACAGGGAAGGGAAACAATGATGGCCGTTTGGGAATAAAGGAGGGCTCTCACAGTTGAAGTTTTCTCCATCTGGGCTTGGGTAAGGAGAAGGGCTTCTGGTCCCTCAGGCCTGTCAGTCATATACCTGGGACCTGTCCCGTGGTCATATAGACCAGACCCTGCACACCTGCAGTCTCAGGTTCTGACAAGCAGATATCTTGCAAAGCGGAGCCCACAGCTGGAATTCAAGGCAAAGCCCATCCCCTCTTGCCAGCAAGGCAGGAGTGTCCCTTCTGAAGTAAAAGCCAGAGGACAAGATGGACTGGGAAACACTGCAAAGACATTGCTCCTCGGCCTTTGGTGACGTTCCTCCAAGGTCCCCTCTCACAGGTGTGTTATGAGACATACCTCAGGCATGAGTGGACGCATCAACAAAAGGAATAGCTAAACACAGCCTGAAATAGGATGCCTTCAAGGGGACAAACAGAAGTGTAGGAGGAAGGATCTTCAAAGACATGCCAAATTACCGTGACTCATTACCATGGCCCTCTTAAGATCAGTGCTCGCAAGAAGTCAGTAGTTTATGCCAAACAAGTATAGCAAGAAGAGCAACCTTGCTGGGTGGGTGAGGAAAATCAGTCCTCTTTTCTATGACATGAGACTAATTATTAAAAGAATTTCAATTTTGTCTTTACCAAGACATGAGTTCCTTATGTACTGCATGCTGTCTTCTGCTTTTTATTTGAAGAAATGTGGCATTTGGGAAGCAGCAGATGTCCCCCCTGTGGAATCAATGTGAAATGATATTTTTGTAACATCATTAAAAAGTCTATCAAAATGGGAAATTTCTCTAACACTTTCTAAGGGACCAATAAAAACACTCAGAGGAGGAAGGCTTATCAGCGGAGATTCTTGCTAAAGGGCAAGTGTATTCACATATGAAACATAGTTTTCAAAGTCCTCAGAGCCCACAGCTGGGATTTCTTTCCATCGAATCTTGGAGCCTAAGCATTGCAGTTAAATCCTGGGCAGGAGCAAAGCCTCGAGGCCCCCAGTCTTAACCCTTACTTTGTATCCCAATGCAGAAACCACCAGCTTGCCCCCAGCTGGCTGCCTGGTTCCCACCTTTCTGATTGATGGTGGCTAAGCAGTCACATGATAGGGCAGTCTAAAGAGTATAAACTCTGTTGGCACAATGTCTCACACCTGTAATCCCAGCAGGCGTGGGAGGGCAAGGCAGGAGGATCACCTGAGGTCAGGAGTTCAAGATCAGCCTGACCAACATAGTGAAACTCCGTCTCTACTAAACACAAAAAAATTAGCGTGGCATGGTGGTGGGCGCCTGTAATTCCAGCTACTTAGGAGGCTGAGGCAGGAGAATCGCTTGAACCCGGGAGGCAGAGGTTGCAGTGAACCGAGATTGCACCACTGAACTCCAGCCTGGGCAACAACAGCGAAACTCTGTCTCAAAGAAAAGAAAAAAAAAAAAAGTATGAACTCTGGAATCAGACAGGCCTGATTTCAACCCTAGCTCCTCTGTGACCCTGAGCCACTGCTAAACTTCCCTGGGCCCCATCAGGAAATGTGAATCCCACAAACAGCCAGCAGAGGGACCCACTCCCAGCCTCCAGAAAGTACTCAATCAACTGGGCCTTTGTGAAGCAGGTTCTGCCTGCCTGGCCAGAGACTAGCTTGTGGAGTTCCAGATCCTAGCCTTCTTAGCCTGCTTCAGCTCCAGCCCAGATGAGGCAAAGCTGTAGCAATTGCTGGCTCTCCTGAGCCCCACATGGCTTGTATCATGGCTAGTGAACTTCAGAGAGATGCATAAGGGCCAGTGAAATATTTTCAGTTCTGAAGCCACAGCCTGTGCCATGTGGGGGTTTTCACCCTGCACTGAGGTGATGCATCTGGCTAGGCTCCAGGGCTTTGTGAGCATTTTCCTGAGGGCCCCATCTATGGCTACCATCATGCAGTGTAACTTGTTTTCAACATCAACAACGAGCTGCTCAAAGAATAAGTTCTCTTTTGAGACCAGCCTGGCCAACATGGTGAAACCCTGTCTCTACTAAAAATACAAAAATTAGCCAGGCATGGTGGTGCAAGCTTGTAATCCCAGCTACTCAGGAGGCTGAGAAGGAAGAATCGCTTGAACCTGGGAGGCAGAGGTTGCAGTGAGCCGAGATCATGCCACTGCACTCCAGTCTGGGTTACCGCGTGAGACCCTGTCTCAAAGAAAATAAAATAAAAATAAAAAAAGATTAAGTTCTCACAACAGCAGGCTGGAGGGAGGATGACATTAGCACTCTTCATACCACTGTCAGTCCACAGTGGGGTCCAAAGTCAAACAAAAGACCCCAACACCAGGATTGTTTTGGTATTCTTTTCCGATAACATCTTTGCGGATCAAATTCATCCCAGACTTTTCAACTCATTGAATCCTCACTGCTGCCCGAGGGACTGTGCACTACTTTTCTCTCCAGAGTAGCAATGCACAAACTGAGGCTTGGAGAGGGTCATTGCTGGCCCAAGGTCTCATAGCCCCTGGCTTCTTAATCACTATGCAACACTGCCACGGGCCAGGGCTCTGGGCTGGGCTGCTAGGCCCTGTGCTTTAAGGGTAACCATGATCTGCTCTCATAGGCAACCAGGGCACATGGAAGGTCACAAGGCTGAGAGCAGGGGTGGATAGGCAAGAGAGTTTCCAGAACATAGGCTGTCAGAAAACCCCAATTTTACATGGGGGAAAAGTACATTTTACAATTCAGGATCCAGATTAGTTCTAAGTTATTACTGTTAGCTACCAAGTCTGAGTGAGTAAGCCCTGAGCACCACTGTCTAAAGAAATTTATGGCCCTACAATGCTGAGATGTGGGTTCTACCATCCTCATGTTACGTGATGAGAAAGTGGACGTAAGCTGTCTAAGGTCACACAGCTAGTAAGTGACAAAGGCAGGACTCAAACCCAGTTTCAGCTAGTGAAAAGCCACCTCACTTATCCCCTGTGCTCTACACAGATTTGGTGAAGAAGGAAACGACAGAACGCGTGACCACAATAAGCACCATGAAGAGACCCTGGGCCATGCACTTGCTATAAGCCAGATCCTGTGCTAACTATTTCAGTTTTGTGGCCAAGTGGTGTCACCTAGCCATCTTGCCTCCTTAATGTTCACCCAAGTCAGGTGCTAGTCATGATAAGGTCTGCATTCGGACTCCTGTCAGGGAGAAAAACGGAGACCACAAAAACAAAAGCAAGACTTCCCTTGAAAAGCTGCTTTCAGGCATCTTTCCATCCTGCCAAAAATTAACCACAAACTTCCTAGGGACAAAGAGAGCTGCCAGCAGAGTAATGTTGAGAAGGCTGCCGCACAGCATCCTGTGACTTCATCTCCTGCAATTAATTGTGTCTCCCACTCGGCACCTGTGAGGAACATGCTATGATAGTAGCAACTGGGTGTCATGACCACATTTCAAAATTGGACTCTTAAAGCAAGTGACACCCCAGAATTTTGTGGGTGGACCCAGGCTCTGTGTGATTGCACTGGGAGGCCACACAGAGTGCAGGATTTCCCGACAGAAGACTTTGCGGGCAGATTTCAGTTATCTGAAATGACTGGTGTACACACATGCTTGCCAAGGGCTCTTCCTATTTTTTTAGCCCTATGTTCAGCCAATTTCCTCCAAGGAAAACCGTGGATGGAACTAAATGAGATTTCACCCACTTGGTGCAATTTGGTCAGAGGGTGGAATATCCAGCCATCCAGGTTGACCCGGGGCAGGGCCTCAGTCTCACCTGTCCTGGGAAGGGCGTCCTCATGAGGTCAAGGCTGGAGAAAAAGCACATATCCAGGAACTCTAGCCCTCTGCAAGGCCTCAACAAATGGTGGCTCTTACTGGTGTTAGTATCACATATGCACAGATAATTTTCAGAATCCAGAAAGGGGATGAAGTGTACAGATCAGTAAGTAGCACCTCTCAGAGTCTAGCCAACACATTGACATTTAAGCAGTGAGATGTATGAATATTAATACAAAATATGATAAATGAAGAAAATTCAGTATTTTATAAACAGTTTCGTATCATCCATTTTAGGTTTTACTAGCAAGAGAATTTAGAGCAGGCTTATGAAAAAGCCTTGCCAGAGCTTTATGGATTAGGGTTTTGTGAATAACAGATCATGGGTATGTATTGCCCTAGGCATCAATTTCCACACAGATCAAAAAAGAGGCTTCCCGCCTTACAGATTCCTGGTACTGAAATAGCCTTCAATTTTCAAACCTGTCAGTTTACCCAAGTCAGAACTCTCACTGCCTCCCTATTGGCCTGGAGCCACTACACATATTTGGTTATAACCCATGGATGGAATCTAAGTCCCCAAACAGGCCATATCCTGTAGGACCTTCAGGACTGGAAACCTATGGTCTCACGGCTCTTCTTCCTTCTCCCCAAGCTGGAGGCTTTTCACTATCTGCCCATTTCCCATCTACAGGCTTTGAGGCTCAGGCCAGCATCCCCACACGCTTATTCAAAGGTCATTCCTGGGAAAACAGAAATGTATCTTCACCACTATTAGTAATACTGTGCTTTATAGTTTACAGATCGCTCCCACAGGAATCTCATCTCCCAGGAGACAGACTGAGAAGTTTCATTACTCCTGCAGGTAGGTGGTTAATATTGTACCCATCTTCTGGATGAGGTAATTATAACTCAGAGAGGTATAGTGACTTTCTCAGAGTCACACATCCATTGAGTGATGGAGCCAGGGGTCAATTCCAGGTTTATAACTACAAAGTCTGTGCTTCCTGCCCTGCTTCCCCTGTGGAGGACAGCAGCCTGACTATCTTTATCTGGGTAGCTTTCTCTTTCTCTCTCTCTCTCTCTCTCACACACACACACACACACACACACACACACACACACACACACCCCTTTCCTTTATAGGACGAAATCTCATAGTTTACCAAAATCTCTAAAGCTCCCTTGCCAGCAATCCCTCAGTGGACTTGAACTGATGGTGCCAGGTTTGGGTCATGGGGTAGCATAAAAGCAGGCACCTCCATCAAAGCAGAGCCCCTCTTCCATTTACTCTCTTTCCATCATGAGGATGATTTTATCTCATCTGTCAGAGTGACCACTTCCTTTCATGGAGATGGTAGGAGGCAAGTTGCTAAAGAACCTGACAAAGACTTAGAGAAGCCTAGAAACTCAGTCCCAGGGACCATCCCTCCTCTACCTCCACACAGACTCACACACACACCTATACTCACACACACTCCCAACAAATTGGGAGCCTACATCTCCCAGGCAGTTTCCACAGCAGAGCTGTGCTGAGAGCCCATGTCTCCCAACTCCCAGGACAGGCTCAGACACAGGAGCCAAATTCTTCTTGCAGCCACATAAAGGCTGTGGTGATAAAAGAGAGATGTTTGGCGAGACACAGCATGAAGCAAATATATCCTTTAACCAAGTTCTGGCCTTACCCTTTGCAGAAAGATATGGAAACAAATAATCATTTGACTACAAGAATTGGCCCTGTGGGTTCTAAAGTGGGAAGTGGTGGGAGGAAGCCAAGAACAGGGAAGTGTAACAGTGACACTTGGACCCCTCTTCCCCGCTCATAGGTAAAGTACTCTGCCGATTCTGTTTTACCCATGTATCCGTCAAACAGGGGGTGATATCTGAGTCCTCCACCATTTTCTTAAGTGGGCTTGTAAGTGTCCAAACAGCAGGTGCCTACAGGGCAGGAGACAGCTAGGGACAGGCAGAAGTGTTGAAGCTTGTCCTTGGAGTCTATCCCACTTGGCCCCTAATACATGCCATGTCAAGCTCTAGTTCTCCTTCCCATTCCAAAAATTCCTTAACCTTTAGACCCTTTTCTTTCTCCTGGCCAAGTCACTTCTCTCCCACCTCTCCCTGCTTCCCCGAGGTCCGGGCTTATCTAGTCTCTTGCAGGAGCAGTTTCAAGAGCAGGCATCAGAGACTTTTGGTGTTAGGTCAGCAGTTTCCTTCAATCTTTGTTTTTGTCATAGTGGGGGCTGGAGGCATGATATTCAGGATAAAAGTAAGAGGAACATGTTGGGGGAGAATACACAGTAAAACAACCAGATCAAGTCTTCATGTGTGACCCTCCAACAGTCCTCCCACAAGTACAGCTTTGTAACCTCCAGAAAAAGATAGCCTCTTCTATCTTAGGTGTTTTATCCTAAAAAATAGGGGCTACATAGGCTCAAAGTAAAGGGATGAAGAAAGATCTATCACACAAACAGAAAACAAAAAAACAGCCAGGGTTGTTATTCTAATATTAGATAAAACAGACTTTAAACCAACAACAGTAAAAAAAGGACAAAGAAGGGCGTTATATAATGATAAATGGTTCAATTCAAGAAGACTTAACTATCCTAAATACATATGAACCCAACATAGAGCACACAGATTCGTAAAACAAGTACTTCTGGACCTACAAAAAGATTTACACAGCTACACAATAATAGTGGAGGAGTTCAACACCTCACTGACAGCATTGGACAGATCATTGAGGCAGAAAACTAACAAAGAAATTCTGGACTGAAATTTGACACAAACAATTGGATCTAATAGACATCTACAGAATACTCTATCCAACAACCATAGAATATCTATTTTTTTCATCTGTACATACTCTAAGATTGATCACGTGATCAGCCATAAAGCAAGTCCCAATACATTCAAAAAAACTGAAATCATATGAAGCAGGTTCTTGGACCACAGTGAAACAAAAATAGAAATCAACACCAAGAGAAACTCTCAAAACCACACAATTACCTGGAAACCAAACTTGCTCCTGAATGACTTTTGTGTAAAAAACAAAATTAAAGCAGAAATCAAAAAAATTACTTTAAATAAATGAAAACAGAGATACAATATACCAAAATCTTTGGGATGCAGCAAAAGCAGTGTTAAGAGGAACGTTTATAGCACTAAATGCTTACATCAAGAAAATAGAAAGATCTCAAATTAACAATCTAATATTGCAGCTAGATGAACTAGAAAAACAAGAACAAATTAACCCCAAAGCTAGAAGGAAAGAAATAACTAAAATCAGAACAGAACTAAATGTAATTGAGGCTCAAAATCCAGACAAAGAATCAATGAAACAAAAAGTTAATTATTTGAAAAGATAAACAAGATTAATAGTCTGCCAGCTAGATTAACAAACAAAAAAAAGAAAAGATTCAAATAAGTACAATCAGACATAGCAAAGGTGACATTATAACCCACAGAAATACAAAAGATCCTCAGAGACTATTCTTTTTTTTTTTTTTTCAATAGAGACAGGGTCTCACTATGTTGCGCAGGCTGGTCTCAAACTCAAGCAATCCACCTGCCTCAGTGTTGCAAAGTGCTGGGATTACAGGCATGAGCCACCGTGCCCAGCTGTTCAGAGATTATTAAGAACACCTCGATGAACACAAACTAGGAAATCTAGAGGAAATGGATACATTCCTAGAAACAGAGGAAATGGATAAATTCCTAGGAACAGAGGAAATGGATAAATTCCTAGAAAAACACAACCTCACAAGATTAAATCAGGAAGAAATTAAAAGCCTACACAGACCATAACAAGTTCTAAAATTGAATTAGCAATGCAAAAAAACCTGCCAACAAGACTGGGCACAATGACTCACGCCTGTAATCTTAGCACTTTGGGAGGCCGAGGCGGGCAGATAACTTGAGCTCCGGAGTTCATGACCAGCCTGGGCAACATAGTGAGACCCTGTCTCTACTAAAAAGACAAAAAAAAAAAAAATAGCCAGGCGTTGTGGTGTACACCTGTAGTCCCAGCTACTAAGGAGGCTGAAGTGGGAGGATGGCTTGAGCCTGTGGGTCAGAGGTTGCAGTAAGCTGAATTTGCACCACTGTACTCCAGCCTGCGTGACAAAGCGAGACCCTGTCACAAAACAAACAAACCAAACAAACAAAAAAGAAAAACACCTACCAACAAAAAAAGTCCTGGACCAAATGGATTCACAGCCAAATTCTACCAGACATCCATAAAACAGAGCTGGTATTCATCCTACTAAAACTATTCCAAAAAACTGAGAGAGACTCCTCTTTAACTCATTCTACAAAACCAGCATCATCCTGATACCAAAATCTGGCAAAGTCATGACAAGAAAAAAAAAGAAGGCCTGGCACAATGGCTCATGCCTGTAATCCCAGCTACTTGGGAGGCTGAGGCATGATAATCACCTGAAACCAGGATGCAGAGGTTGCAGTGAACCAAGATTGCACCTTGCGCCACTGCACTCCAGCCTGGGCGACAGAGTAAGACTCTGTCTCAAAGAAAAAGAAAAGAAAAGAAAAAGAAAAAGAAAAAGAAAACTACAAGCCAATATCCCTGATGAACATAGACACAAATATCCTCAAAAAAAAAATACTAGCAAACTGAATTCAGCAGCACATCGAAAAGTTAATTGTGCATAATCAAGTAGGCTTTATTCCTGGGATGCAAGATTGGTTCCACATACATGAATCAATAACTGTGATTCACCACATAAACAGAAGTAAAAGCAAAAATCATTATCATCTCACCAGATGCAGAAAAAACTTTTGATAAAAATCTAACATCTCTTCATGATGGGCAAAAGCTGAAAGCATTCCCCTTAAGAACTGGAACAAGACAAGGACGCCCACTCTCACCACTCCTATTCAACATAGTACTGGTAGTCCTAGCCAGCAATCAGGCAAGATAAAGAAATAAAAGGCATCTAATTAGGAAAAGAAGGGCTGGAAGGGCCAGGCGCAGTGACTCATGCCTGTAATCCCAGCACTTTGGGAGGCCGAGGTGGGCGGATCACCTGAGATCAGGAGTTCGTGATCACCCCAGCCAACATGGCGAAATCCCATCTCTACTAAAAATACAAAAAATCAGCTGGGCGTGGTGGCGGGCACCTGTAATCCCAGCTACTCTGGAGGCTGAGGCAGGAGAATTGCTTGAACCTGGGAGGCAGAGGTTGCAGTGAGCCAAGATCGCACCACTGCACTCTAGCCTGGGCGAGAGAGCGAGACTCCATCTCAAAAAAAAAAAAAAAGAGGAAAAGAAGAAGTCAAATTGTCTCTCTTTGTTGATGAGATGATTCTATGCCTAGAAAACCTTAAAGACTCAGCCAAAAGTCACCTAGAACTGAAAATGATTTCAGTGAAGTTTCAGCATACAAAATCAATGTATAAAAATCAGTAGCATTTTTATACACCAAAAATGTTCGAGCTGGGAGCCAAATCACGAACACAATTCCATTTATAATAGCTGCAAAAAATTAAAATACCTAGGAACACATCTAACCAAGGAGGTAAAAGATCTCTCCAAGGAGAACTCCAAAACAGTGCTGAAAGAAACTATAGATGACTTAAACAAATGAAAAATCATTCCATGCTCATAGATTGGAAGAATCAGTATTATTAAAATATGCATATATCCACATTCTACAGATTCAAAATTATTCCTATCAAAATACCAATGTCATTTTTCACAGAATTAGATAAAACTAGCCTAAAATTTGTATGGAACCAAAAGAAAAAAAAAAGTCCAAATAGCCAAAAGAATCCTAAGCAAAAAGAATAAAGCCAGAAGCAACACATTATCCAACTTCACGCGATACTACAAGCCTACAGTAACCAAAACAGCATAGTACGAGTACAAAAACAGACACACACACCAATAGAACAGAATAGAGAGCCCAGGAATAATGAAGCACACCTACAACAAAGTCTTCGACAAAGTCAACAAAAATAAGCAATAATGAAAGGAATTACTACTCAATAAATGGTTCTGGGAAAACTGGCTAACCATATGCAGAAGAATGAAACTGGACCCTTACCTATCACCTTATACAAAAATTAACTCAAGATGGATTAAAGATTTAAATGTAAGACCTAAAACTACAAAAATCCTAGAAGAAAATTCTGGACATCAGCATTGGCAGAGAATTCATGACTAAGTCCTCAAAAGCAATTGCAACACAAACAAAAATTGGCAAGTGGGACCTAGTTAAACTAAAGAGTTTCTGCACAGCAAAAGAAACTGTCAACAGAGTAAGCAGACAACCTACAGAACAAGAGAAAATACTTACAAAGTATGCATCCAAAAATGTCTAATATCCAGAATCTACAAGGAACTAAAATCAACAAGCTAAAAACAACCCCATTAAAAACCAGGCAAAGGACATGAACAGACGCTTCTCAAAAGACGACATACAAGCGCCAACAAACATGATAAAATGCTCAACATCACATCTGAGAAATGCAGATCAAAACCACAATGAGATACCATCTCACACCAGTTAGAATGGCTATTATTAAAAAGTCAAAAAACAGCAGATGCTGGTGAGGCTGTGGAGAAAAGAAAACACTTATATACTGTTGGTGGGAGTGTAAATTAGTGCAGCCACTGTGAAAAGCAGTTTGGAGATTTCTCAAAGAACTTAAAACAGAACTACCATTTAACTCAGCAATCCCATTGCTGGATATATATCCAAAAGAAAATAAATTGTTCTACCAAAAAGACACATGGACTGGTGTGTTCATTGTAGCACTATTCACAATAGCAAAGAGATGAAATCAACCTAAGCTTCCATCACCGGTGGACTGGATAAAGAAAATGTGGTGCATCTGTATCACCAGTACTTCACAGCCATAAAAAGATGATATCATGTCCTTTGCAGCAACACGGATGGAGCTGGAGGCCGTTATCCTAAGCAAATTAACGCAGGATCAGATACCACATGTTCTTGCTTGTAAGTCGGAGCTAAACATTGGGTACACATGGACATAAAGACGGGAACAACAGACACTGGGAACCGCAAGAGACGAGAGGGAGGAAGGATGTGGGTTAAAAAACTACCTATTAGGTACTATGCTCACTACCTGGGTGACAGGTTCAATCGAGCCCCAAACCTCAGCATCATGCAATACACCCTTATAACAAACCCACACATGTACCCCCTAAATCTAAAATATTTATATAAGTTGAATGTTTTTAAAAAGAATAGGGGCTAGTGGGGCAATGATTGTACAATTATGTGAAGGTACTGAATGCCACCAAACTGGACATTTAAAAATGGTTAAGACGGTGACTTTTATATGATATATATTTTAACACAGTTTCAAAAAGAATAGGAGCTGGGGACACTGTCCAAGCTCTGTTCGGTGGTATAACCCCCAGTGCCCCACAGGCACCACAGCTGCACATGGAGCTATGTGTTATCTTTCCTGGATGCTTCCACCAGCTGAGAATATGTCAGTTTTGAGGCAGATGTGTTTGTTGGAGGACTGGGGGTAGGTATCATCTATATGTCTTCTCCCGGCCCTGTCCTGGAGCAGGGGCCCTTATGTAGAAATTGGGTACTTAGCTCTTCTGGCCCTCCCTGCACCCCATGGCATCCTTGGTGTTCCCCTGGGTCAGGGACTGAGGACAAAGTCATGGATAGGCCTGTTTCTCAGCACTGCAGGTCATCATTCTGTCCTCTGTTCACTGCCTGTCTCCCTATTCTGACTCACAGCTGGACTCGCACCTTCCATGAAATCAAAGTTAGCTGCTGTTACTTTTTGCTTGGGAACATGTCCTTCCTGCCTCTGCCAATCTCTTTGACATCTAGGTGCTCAAGGGAAGCTTCCCTTGTAAGATCTCTGAGGAGCCATAGGTTATTTCTGCAGAGTCCCTGAACTGCTCCTGTTCCACCCACTCTGGTTCCTTATTTTGTCCCCAACCACACTAACATGGGCAGTGTCTGGGCCTCCAGCTGTCAGCTTATATGTCCTATTCCTCACTCTCCATCCCATAGCTGTGGCCACCATTGCCTAGCTTGATTTTGGCAGTTTGTCCCTAAGACTAGCAGTCCCCAAGAAAGGTTCCAATACATGTGTCATCTCTATCTTTCACCCCCGAACTAGAATCAATGGCTGCCAAACATCAAAAGTACGAGGTAAAAATCCAATGGTCTTGTTTCTGGCCCACTGTGGGTATGCAACAGGAAATTCATGTGCGCCTTCACTGCTCTTTTTCTCAGGGACATTCTCCCAGCATGTTAGCAAGGCCCAGTTAAATTCCTCAGGGTGAGGGTCCCCTTGGAGAAGGGAGTGAGTTGGTGTGGATTTCTGTACTCAAGGTAGAGCACTTCCAATAACCAGGAGCTCTGGGCATCCCGCCCCTGATCTGGGCAAATCTGGCATGAAGTCTACACACTAAAAATAGCTTTCCCAGCACAGGAAAGCAATGGTAGAGGCTTCCTGATCTGGCTTGCACACCACAGGTGAAGTAATTGGTCACTTACCAGTGTCTCCCCACTTAGATTCCAAAGTCCACTGTATCAATGACATCATGCTAACAACTGGATGAGCAAGACATGGCAGAGATTTTAGAGGCCTTTGAAAGACATAAGCACTTCAGAGAGTGGTAGATTAAGCCCACGAAGATTCAGAGACCTTCCATATCAATGAAGTATTTAAGGGGCTACTGGTCAGGGGCATGCTAGGACCAACCCTCCAAAGTCAGAGGCAAATGATTGTATCTCACACCTCCTACAACTAAGAAGGAAGCACAATGCCATGTAGGCCTCTTTGGGTCTGGAAGCAGGGGACCAAGGGGTGAAATGACCCCACTTATTATCTCTCCTAGTGATCCACATGGGAATTTGTGCTTCCTGTCCCCACAATACAGTCACCACTAGCCAAATTCATCTATTTAAATTTAAATTAAGATAAAATTAGTTGTTATTTTATCTGAATTTTAGATAATTAAAATTCAGTTCTTCAGACACACCAGGTACATTTCAAGTACTCAGTAGGCACATGCAGCTAGTGGCTACCTTATTGAACAGTGGATCCTGGCTATTCAAATGGAAATGCTTCCACCAGTAGACACAGTAGGAGCCCCACTGAATTACGAGCCATGGCTGATAACTGAATTACAAGTCATGGGAACCTTGGGTTCATTCCTCCTGCTATGGCTGTGGGACTAAGCAGGTGTAAAGAAGAGTAGCCACTCTGTCAGGGGTATTGGCTCTGATCATCAGGAGGAGGCAGGGTTGTTCTTACACACTGTGAACAGAGAAGGATATATTTGGCACCCAGGTGATCCATTTGAATGTCTCCTAATAATTCCCTGCCCAATTTTTATGGTAAATGGACACATGCAATTTCCACAGTCTGAGAAGGGCACGGGGACCATGGGCTCAGAAACAATCCTCAGGGATAAAGGTCTGTTACTCGACCAGCCAGGTCACTGAGAACGGCAGACATGGTGGCTGAGACTGAGGGTACTCTAGAATGGATAGTAGATGAAGAAGACCATGAGCATCAGTTGTGGCTTCAAAGCCAGCTGCAGTCATGCAGGCCATACACCGTCCCACTACCCTGCCTCATGTTCACCTCCCTAGGAAAAGGGCCAAGCCAAACCCTGGAGAAGTTATTCCCAAATGAGGGGAGCATCCTGTGTGAAGCAAGCCCATCTGAGGCCTGCAAGGCATGGGCTGTAGTCAATGCTGTGGTCGTTCCACAGCCCAGCCTAATGGTGGAGGTCATCATTCCACTGCCTGCCAAAGGTGTTGCTTGATGATGGCACATAACTAAGTCTCTCTCCAAATATCAGTCAAGGGGTCAATGAAGGGTGGAGAGTACCAACACCTGGACTCCAGCCTCTACTTGCAACATCTCTATAGAATCTTCCCAACCATAGAGCTCCCTCAGGGACTGACTGAGACGTCTGATTCAACTGTCATAAAACAACTCCACTTTCCTCCCAATTCTACTTCCCTCACTCTATTACAGGTGGTTTCTTTTTTTTTCTTTTTTTTTCTTTTTGAAATGGAGTTTCACTCTTGTTGCCCAGGCTGGAGTGCAATGGCGCAGTCTCGGCTCACCACAACCTCCACCTCCCGGGTTCAAGCGGTTCTCCTGCCTCAGCCTCTTGAGTAGCTGGGATTACAGGCATGCACCACCACACCCAGCTAATTTTGTATTTTTAGTAGAGATGGGGTTTCTCCATGTTGATCAGGCTGGCCTCGAACTCCTGATCTCAAGTGATCCACCTGCCTCAGCCTCCCAAAGTGCTGGGATTACAGGCATGAGCCACTGTGGCTGGCTACAGGTGTTATTTTCCAAAGCACATGTCCTATCCTTTCAAGTTGCAGGGATGAACTAGTGAAGGCCCCAAACATTGACCAACTGGCATCCCACAGCCTCCTCTTCCAGAATGCCTTTGCGCAGGTATGTCTGGGAACCTCTAGCTGTGGGTGTGTGCTGCTTCGTGCACTGAGGGTTGGGGGCGGGGAGCTTCAGCTACTGTCAGATGGCACAGATTGTGCGGGACATCTTGTTAGAGGGAAGCATAGTCTGGAAAATGGTAGTGGAGAAAATCTGGTTTTCCACTCATGGGAAAGCTTGACCTTCAAGGGTGGCCTTCTCCTTGGGTGCAAGGTGCGCCCTGGCCCTGATGTGTTCATGGCAGCCCTGGCCAGCTTTCTCCCAGAACGGGCGCTTGCCTGGTGCTCAGAAGGAAGGGGTGCTGCAGAAGGGCACCCACAGGTCTGCAGACTGGGCCTCAGGTGAGAGCTAGCCAGGGTGGCTCTGCTCCCTGGACCCCCTCATGGCTCTGCCCCCAGCAACACTGGCCGCTCTGTGTGCCTGGGGAGGCCATTGCGTAGGAGGAGATAAGCAACTGCTGGTTTCAGGGGCTGATTGCTTCCCTTTTCTCTCCCGGAAGCAGTCTGTTGCCTAGGTGACACCCAAATCCCAGTGTCTGGTTTGAGCTCTGCATGACTCAGCTACCAAGCTGTTTGCTAGGGGCCTCGGGAGGGCGGTTGCTTGGTTACCTAAGAGATGGCAGACATGTTTTGCTGTGGCGATGCTTACCTCTGCTTCTGCTCCCTAACAGCAAGCAGTGTGCGCCCCGAGCCGCGTTTCTTTCCTCACTGGCAGGAGACCTGACACCACCCGCCTGTACGACTTCAACTCCTACTGGAGGGTGCACGCTGGAAACTTCTCCACCATCCCCCAGTACTTCAAGGAGAATGGCTATGTGACCATGTCGGTGGGAAAAGTCTTTCACCCTGGTACTGCTCCACGTCCAGAGTCTGGGTTCTCTTGGTTTGTGGTGTCTGAATCCAGCATTCCCATCCTGGGGATGGGGCTGTCTTTGCAGAGCCCTCTTCTGGCTGGGCGAGTCCTTCGCTAGTCAGTGCTTCCTTTCTAAAAAACCGACTTGTCAACCCAGCCACATGTTTTCACCCAAAGTGAAAAAGGGTAGAAAGAACTTTGCTTCCTTTCAGAAACCACTGAGGGTGTGCTGTTGGGTCCTTCAGCTCCTCGGGTGGTAGGGAGGACACAGGCTGGGGAGGTGGCAGTGTTGGGTGGAGTCCAGCTCAGGGCCCCACCCTCTCCCCTGCAGGGTACCTGTCAGTAAACCTAGGGGTGGGGTGAGGACACCTGAGGGCCTCCCGTGTGGCCAGCATTGCTGTTGCTGACTTATTGCCCAGTGAGGGGGCTGTGCTTAGGTGGGGGCTGCTATCCACTCTGTGAATTAGGTCAGAAAGATGAGTGTAATCTGGTTTCTGCACCTGGTCTCAGAAGCTCCCAGGTCTGGGAATGGGAAAGCGCACTTCAACAGGTGTCTCAGGTGGTCTGGCCACCTCTCTTTGAGTTCATCCTTCCCTTGGCCTACCTGTGCTGCCACATCCTCATCTTGGGCCTCTGGGGCAGAAGCTAGAAACCTCTGGGCATGGGATTTAACAGGCTGCCTGAGCTGGCTGTCAAGGTCACTGGGCTCTTGTTCCTCCTGATCTCAAGATGGATCCTTGGGGCCCACACAGGCATGCGTTCTCCTTAGCCAGACTTCCCCGTATTTGCTCCTGGCTGCAGCAGCACAGGCTGAGGCCCGGCACCAGATGTTCAATACGATCTTGCAGTCAGGCGGTCCACAGCTATTTCTGTAGCATTTGCCATGTGTCAGACCCTGTGCCAGGCCTGGGGGCCCCCTCTGCCTGGTGCAGGGCAGCTCACAAAAGCTGGCAGAGGCCGAAGGCTGCGTGCCAGTATTCAGAATGCCACAGAGCGCCTGGCTGCTGTACCTTCAGAGCCTCCACAGGCACCCCAGTCAGAGTTCCGGGAGTGGATTCCTGAGGTCGCACTGCCGGGGTCCCTCACGTTGCCATCCTGCAGGCTTCTCGATCCTCGACCTTTTAGATTCCCGCCACACTGAATCTAAAAGGGACAATGTGACCTCTAAGCTGGTGGCCTAGGAGCCTGCCGATAACCTACCCATTCATCAGCCCTCGTGGGTCAAGGCTGCCTCGTCCTCCCCGAGAGAGTGGAGAGGTCGAGCAGTGGGGATGCCCCTCAGGCCCCGGGGCTTACTGACTGGGGCGGGTGTCAGGGGGAACTCCCTCTCTTTCTGAGCTTCACTGAGCTATCTGAAAGTCCCCACCATACTCCCCAGTACTGACAGCCAGAGGGAGGAACGGCTCACCAGAATCATTGGGCATCTCTGATGGGCATCAAGTCTGCTTTGATTATTGATGAGTGGGTAAGAGGGTCCTCTCAACTTGGGGTCTCCTTGGGAAAGCACTGTCAACTCAGAACAGGTTTCAGCCCTGTTCTGGAGACCACAGGCCCTGGAAGGCTGGGACATCATTTGCAGCCCCAGCGTCATCTATTAGACGGAGCCAGCAAGGTCTCATGCTGTGCGGTACATTTCAACACTTTCTCAAATTTACCCGTGGCAGCTTTTGGTGTGTTTGGTTATTTTTATAACACTACTCACTGTACAATTTCTGTCATGCACATTTTTTGTATCAAAAAGGGTGCTGTAACTTTAAAAGACTGGGTATTTCCAACTTGGAATATTCAAACCATCTTTTGCAAGGGATGTTTTAAATCAACATGAAGGGTTGTGTTGTTTTTAATCAGGGTTAAGGATCTGGAATCAAAGGTTATGGTTTACTCCATCTATGGCGTATCTTAAAAACTGAGCAAGATGTCCTTGCCTTTTTTGAATTTGATGATTGTGCTGCAGTTCCACAGCTCACTGTTAGGTGGCACATACCCCAAACTGAAAACCTGAGCTTGGAGGAAATGAGTGAAAAGATAGGTAGGTACAGGACAGGGCAGTGGTGACACTACAGCATTCAGGGTTCCCAGCCTGTCAAGAATGAGCATGTCTTAGCAGTGAGGCATTTCCACATCTTCTCAAATCCACCTGTGGCAGTTTTTGGTGTCTTTGGTTATTTTTATAACCCTAAATATTTATATACAATTTATATACATGTACAAAAGGGACATGTACATTATATATTTTGATACAAAATATGCACAAGTACATATTTTGTATCAAAAAAAGGTTCTCAGGAGAATTCCACTTCCATTAAGCTGGAGTAGACATACTTTTCCCTATTCTTCCGACTAAGTGACCTAAAACCCCTTGATAATATACACAAAACAAACATAAGACTCTGAAAGGTGGAGTGAAGGCAGATCAGACGGGGACCTTGTGACCTGAGGAACAATGGAGTTAATTAGTTCTCTGGTGTGTGTCTCTCTCTCTTTCTTTCTTTCCCTCTCCTCTCCTTTCCCATTCCTCCCTTCCCCTCTCTTTTTCTCTTTCTTTTCCTCTCTTTCCCCTTCCCTCTCTTCCTCTCTCTCTCCCTCTCCTCTCCTTTCCCCTTCCTCCCTTCCTCTCTCTCCCTCTCTCCCTCTCCTCCTCTCTTTCCCTCTCCTCCTCTCTTTCCCTCTCCTCTCCCCTTCCTCCCTTCCTCTCTCTCTCTCTCTCTCCCTCTCCTCCTCTCTCTCTTTCCCTCTCCTCTCCTCTCCTTTCCCCTTCCTCCCTCCCTCTCTCTCTACCCTCTTTCTTTCCCTCTCCTCTCCTTTCCCCTTCCTCCCTTTCTCTCCCGTCCTCTTTCTCCCTCTCTCTTTTCTTTCTTTGCCCATATATACCAGACATGGAGCTGAAGGAGCTGGGATCTAGAAATGTCAACAAACACAGAGGAAAGAAGAAAGAAGGAATGAAGGAAAAGAGGGAGGAAAGGGGGACGGGAAGGGAGGGAGGAAAGAAGGACCAAAGCCAGAGGACCAGGAAAGTTGTGACTTAGCAAGATAGAAAACTTTTAGACAGTGAGCTGCTTTACTCTAGTTAACACCACAGAAATATAGTTTGATCCCCACTTCCACACATGCCAGCAAAGGCCAACTAGGGGGCTCAGTGTAACATGCTTGCTAAGCTGTAACATCCCTCCTGTCTACCTTGGTGCTGTCGGAGGTGGCCAATTAGGGAGCTGGCACTTTCATCCCTGCCAGGCAACAGCAAGTCCCCATCCCCTAAGGTGTCTGTGCAGGTGATATTGGATACAGTGCTGAAAAATATCGAACCCTCCCAGCCACAAAGGTATGAGTACAGCCCCAGATCAGATCCAAAAAGTCCACTCCTGCCCAGCAGAAACAAGGAGCCCCTCACCCATTTCAGGGATCAATGGAGGCCATGTGGCGAAGGTAGACTACTGCACTCACCACGCAGTAATGCAGCGTGTTCCTTCCCTTTCTTCTGCTGGAGTGATGTCAGAGGATGCCAGCTAAAACAAAGTTTAAATAACACCTTCAACCTACTAACATAATATGAAAATCTCTAGATTTCAATCAAAAGTTA
Source organism: Homo sapiens (assembly GCF_000001405.40). Classification (NCBI taxonomy): domain Eukaryota; kingdom Metazoa; phylum Chordata; class Mammalia; order Primates; family Hominidae; genus Homo; species Homo sapiens. The sequence continues at coordinate 149,529,503 of NC_000023.11, forward strand.
CACATCATACCCAGAACCAGGAAGATCTCAAATGGAATGACAGGATACAATCAAGAGATGTCAACACTGATGACAAAGATGTTAGAATTATCTGTAAAAAAATTGAAAGCCACCATTATATGCTTCATTAAGCAATTAAGAACGCATTTGAAACAAACTAAAAATAGAAAGTCTCAGCCAAAAAAAAAATAAATAAATAGAAGACATAATGAAGAACCAAATGGAAATTTTAGAACTGAAAAATACCATAACTGAAATTTTAAAAACTCTATAAAGGAATCACTGGCAGAATAGACAGAACAGAGGAAAGAACCAGTGAACTTGAAGACAGAACAGAAATTTCCCATTCTGAAAAATGAATAGAAAATGCATGGGAAAACAAGATGGACAGAGCTTTAGGGACCTGTGGGACTATGAACAATGATCTCACATCTGTGTCATAAGGGTTCCAGGGGAGATGGGAAAAAGTGTGGGGCTGAAAAATCAAAGAAGCAATGGCTGAAAATTTCCCAAATTTGACAAAAGACATAACTCTGCAGACTTCAGAAGCTGAACGAATCCCAAAGAGAATAAATCCAAAGAAATTCCACACTAAAACACTTGAGTTAAACTTCTGAGAACTATTAAATAAAAACAAAAAAAAATTAACTGAGCATGGTAGCTCATATCTGTAGCCCTAGCTACCTGGGAGGCTGAGGTGGGAGGATTGCTTGAGCCCAAAAGTTCAAGGTTACAGTCAGCTATGATTGCAATGCTGCTCTGCAGCCAGGGCAATGAAGGGAGACCCTGTCTTTAAAATAATAATAATAATGATAATCATTAAAAAAAAAAAAAAATCTTGGAAGCAATGCGAGAGAAATGACACCTTACCAAACCATGGATACCAAAAGGAAGTGGCACAACTTTTTTCAAGGGCTTACAGAAAATAGCTTTCACCTGGGTGCAGCGGCTCACACCTGTAATCCCAGCACTTTGGGAGGCCAAGGCAGGCGGATCACCTGAGGTGAGGAGTTCAAGACCAGACTGACCAACATGGTGAAACCCTGTCTCTACTAAAAATACAAAAATTAGCCATGCGTGGTGGCATGCATGCACCTGTAATCCCAGCTACTTGGGAGGCTGAGGCAGGAGAATTGCTTGAACTCAGGAGGCAAAGGTTGCAGTGAGCAGAGATTGCCCCATTGCACTACAGCCTGGGCCACAGAGTGAGACTCTGTCTCAAAAAAAAAAAAAAAACTTTCAACTCAGAATCTTACATCCTGTGAAAGCATCCCTCCAAAATGACATTCCATGGCCACATAGGTTTGAAAACCATGTTCTAGACTAACCAGTTCATTTTCTAGATAGCACAACTGAGATTATTCAAAGAACATACAGGATTTTTCCAAGATCACATTGCAGTCCCTTGAACACTGTTGGAAATCTCTGAAATTTGCAAAGCTGAGAGACCAAAAAAAAAAAAAAATCTTTCATCAGTGTTGCTGGAATAATCTCCAACCTGTAAATGTAGAAGCAAATCTTGAGAACCTGAGTCCCAGAAAGAGACAACACAAGGTGCAAGGGTATGTCCCAGCAACAGCCCTGTGACATGAGTGGCATTTGTACCTCCTGGTTTATAGGAGTGGAGGAGACACAGAGAGACGAGTAACCAACAAGGTCACACAGGAAGACAAAGAGCTAACATTCAAACCCAGGTCTGCTAGACACCAAAGCTCAGGCTCTGGGCCTCATTGTTACATACCTCATGGCCATTCTCAGCCTTTCTGTGTGTCTCTATGCATTGCTCCAGCATATGAACTACAAGGACCCAGAGGATGCAAACAATGGGCTCCTATGTCAATGCCTGGGCTGACCCATACAGGCCATTTGTAAAGAAAATGCAAACAGTGTTGCCATGTTTTCATGGTACCAAGCATTAGGAATTTGGGTTTGTTTTAACATCCATTGTTCTATATCTGAAATCTGATGTAAAATGCCTTGGGAAAGTTAGAAAGATGAAGAAGGCAGGAATGGTTAGAGGAGGGAAAGGACAGAGGAAATAGTTTACAATGTATGGACATATTCGTCTTAGCACCTCAAACTTACACTCACATCCCCCAAGAACTACACAGAACTTTCTGCCATGGAAGCCACTCACTGATCATGACTCTCATCACAGCCCACCTTTAATTAAAAGTGAAGCTGTATGAGTCAGCCAGCAGATGGCAAAATGAGGAACCAAGGAACATATGACTAAGGTCAAACATTAGCTGGTGTCATTTCATAAATGAAGTGGGCCTCTTTCCTAAAGCTTTTTCCAAGTATCATCTGCAAATGTTCCAGTTGGGTGCTACAACATGCAGAGGCCACCCTGTCTCATCGTCTTGTCTTCACCACCCACCCTTCTCTTTCAAAGGCAGTATGATCAGACACAGTAGACGGGGGGCCTATCCTACCAAATCCCACCTGGCCCTGGATGCTGCAGCTTAGGGCATCCAAGAGCCCACCAGGGCAAGCCTGCACTGTACCTTCTTTCTCTGGGTTGTCAGTGGCAGGCCACTCTGCTCAGGCCTGCCAAGTGAGGGTGGTACACTGGGCAAATCAACTTTCTGGTAGAAGCACAGGAACATCTGGCCCCAACACTCTTCTCTCCCTCTGCCTACCCCACAGTAATCCTCAGAACCTAGAGACCTAATGACAACTCTCCAAACTTCATTCTAAAGTCAGGAACAAGAATTGGAAACCTCATCACAAGTCAGAAGATTGAGACATGCTTAAGGTTACTACCTATGTGTTCAGATTAGCAAGGACAGGAGCACACTGTAGGTACCAACCGCTTATCCATGGAAGGCTGCTCCTGAGCTGCACTGGGCTGCATGTTATATTTGTGTGCCTGTTGTCTACAAACACTCCTATCCCATCAGAAGTACACAAGGGTTTGTCAGATGACTTACTGGCCACGAGTGAATCAATGAATTCTTCTCAGGAAGAGAACCAGTTTGCCTTTTAAAAATGCTGACAGTGAAACCCAAGTGAGGAAACTCACCTGCTGCACCCAGCGTGCAGCCCACACTCCTTCAGTGGTCCTTTAGGAGTTGGAACCAATCTAGTTTCCCAGCCTCTTCTCCCATGACTTCACTCTACGAATGCGTCTGCTCCAGCCACGAACCTTCTCTGGGCTCCTCGAATGTACCTAACCCTTTCAGGCTGTCCTTCCCCCATTTCCCACCTAACAAAACCCTTTTGACCTTCAAGGCCCAGCTCAAACACCCCCTCCTCTACGAAGCCTCCCCCAGCCCCCTGCCCAGAGTGAGCAGTTCCTTCCTCTTCACATTCACCTAACTCCTCTTGCCTGTAAGATGCCCCCTTACAAGTAACAAAGACATGAGTGTGCACCTACCTTCAAGGAGCCTCTTTCAGGAGGGGGCCTGGCTTCCATCTGCTTTCTGACATACTTTGCATGGAGATCTGCCCTCTCCTGCCAGGCTGTGCTCACACCAATACCAAGAGATCACGAGACGCCCTGCCAGCAAATGCCCTGGAAGCACATCCCCTTCATGCCCCTGGCAGTCATCTAATGTACACACAAGATCAAAGCAGCTCTCAGGTGGCCTGTTGCAGGGCACAGCACAGTTCTGCCTATGCCAAGGCAGATGCTGGGCCCTTCCCTATTGTGTTCAGCACGCACCCATTCTCCAGGGCACCTTTTCTGAGCATTAATTTATCCAGTCAGTTAATATGGATTGCACAGCCTGCTATATGCCAGGTACCATGTGGACCCCATCACCCGTACCCAATGCAGGCCCCTCTAGTGGGCAACCCTTGCTCCACACCTCCCTGTTGGGCTGCTCGAGACTGTCAGGTCGGGCTCAACCTGCTCTCCAGCCCTGTTTCCTTCCTATCCCTTTCCTGAGTGTTAGTTAGCCCCAGTAAATCTTTGGCCCTGCCAACTCCCTCTCATGGTCTGCTTCCTGGAGGACACAATCTGAGACAGTGGGTTCCAGAGTGGTCTGAGAAAGCAGGTGGTAAAATGGGGTCTTGGTACAGGATTGCCCCGCATCTGCCCAACTGGCAACAAGGTTCCCATCTTCGGGAGTAGGTGGCACGCAGGCGGCTCCAGGCACAAGATGGCAGGCTAGTTGCCAGACCTTTGGTGTTAGAACTTTTGCTGGGATGGCCGGCTTGTGGAGAGGAAGTTCCTGGCAGGTGAGGAGATCCAGGCAGGGCGGATGCCTGGAAATGAAAACTCAGAGAACAGACAGTGGTGAGTATATTTCCTGGATGACCCACAGGGGATTAATGAGAGGCCAAGAGCAATTAACAAACATCTAAAAATTAAGCAGAAACACTGGAGTCTTCCTGGTGGTTTACAAAGTAGCCCCCGATCCAGGCAATGGGCGAGCAGCAAAATCTGAAGAACAAACCCAGGACTTGCTAAGGTGGCTGAACTCCGAAGACGGGTGAACGCTCAGCCAAGGCAGGTCTGTCATGCCAATGACACCAGCCCTGTTGGGAAAACCTGTGTCCCTGATACATGGAACAGGCACATCTAGGAGAAGGTCTCTGAATATCTGGTCTCCCCAGATGCCCTTGAAACTTCTGAGCCCGCAGCATCAGCCCACCCCCTCCCATGAAGCGCTGCAGGCACCCTATCCCGAAGGAGAAATAAATAACACAAGAATTTTCCCCACAGGTGTCCTCCCTCCCAGGAGTGGCCCTCACCTTATCACTGGCTGCCAGGTAGGGTGACCAACAGTCCCAGTTTGCTGAGTGAATTGCAGTGCTAAAAGCCGGCGAGTCCCAGGGAAGCAGGACGAATTGGTGAGCCGACTGCCAGACCCGTGACCAGAGTGAAGGTGCAGCGCAGCGCCATGCAGGCAGGGTGTGCTGGGTCTGGGAAGGGGGAAAGCGATGACACCCTCGAGGAGCTGCAGGATCAGCATGCACCTGCAGCGGCCAGGGGGGGTCCCTGTGGGATGGGACCCGGATGCAGCTCAACCAGTGGGGACTTGGAGGCACTCTGCTGCTCAACACAACTGAATGCCCTGGTAGGGAGCCGAAGGGATGGGGCAAACCTGTTGATGGCATGGGATGGGCAACAGTGATGGTCCAGGCCTGAGTGACAGTGAAAGGCCCGAATTGTCACAGCAGACAGTGAAGGAAGGGATTCAAAGGCTAAGCAAAGTGAGCTTGCTGGAACTGGACAGAAGAGGTGAGGCCAGAAGACACCCCGGAGGATCAGGTTTCAGGAGAGGACCCAGAGGACACATGTGTCAGCAAGGGCATCAGGAATGTGCTGCAGAGAGGGCGCCAGCATCCTTCAGAGATCCAGCGCGGGAATCCTCTGCAGGCCAGGGCTGACCACAGGAGAGTGTCTTGCAGAACGGGGCGCACCGAGAACTGGAACCTGATAAGGGTGATGCAGCTTCGTCCTCCTCCTCGTTTCCTTCTCCTCCTCTCCTCCCCTCTTCCTCCTCTCCTAATTCTCTCTTCCTCCTCTCCATCTGCTGTCCTTCTTTCTTCTTCCTCCTCATTTCCTCCTCTTACTCTCCTCCTCCTCCCACCTCCTGCTCTCCTTCTCCTCTCCTCCTCCTCATCCTCTCCTCTCTCTCTCCTCTTCTCTCTTCTTCCTACTTTTCTCCTTCTCATTTCCTTCTCTCTTCCTCTCCTCCTTCTCTTCTCTCTTCCACCTCCTCCAACTCTGTTCCTCCTCCTCTCCTCTCCACTCCTCCCCCACCCCCTCCTCCTTTTCCTCTGCTCCTCTTATTCCACTCTTCCTCTTCCTCCTTTCCTCCTCCTCCTCTCCTCCTGGTCCTCCTTTCTTCAGCCTCCTCCTCTCTGCTTTCTCCTCTTCTCCGCCTTCTCCTTTCTTCCTCCACCTCTCCTCTTCCTCCAAATCTCCTCCCCTTCCTCTCCTTCTCCTCCTCCTCTGCTCCTCCTCTCGTCCTGTCCTCCTCCTCCTACACCTCTCCTTTCCTCCCTCCTATTTCTCTCCTTCTCCCTTCCTCCCCGTCCTCCCCCCTCCTCTCCTCCTCTTTTCTCTCACTCCTCCTCTTCTCCTTCTCCTGTTTTCTCTTCCTCCTCCCCCCTCATCCCTCTCCTCTCCTTTTCTCCTCCTCTTTCTCATTTCCTCCTCTCCTCGACCTCCTCTCCTCATCTGCCTCTCCTTCTCCTTCTGTCCTTCTCCTCTCCTCCTACTCCCCCCTCCTCCTCCTTACTTGCTCTTCTAGTCCTCTTCCTCTTCTTCCTTCTTTGCTGCTCCTCCTCCTCTTCTCCGTCTCCTCCTCTCCTCTTTCTTCTCTTTTCTGTGTCCTCCTCTCTTCCTTCACCTCTTGTCCTTGGTCTCATCTCCTCCTCCTCTCCTTCTCCTCCTCCTTCCCTCCTCCAACCCACTCCCTCTCCTCCCCCTCCCCCTCCTTTTTTCTTCCCTCCTCCTCCCTTCCAGCTCCTATTCCTCCACTTTACCTCTCTCCTCCTGCTACACCACACGTTCACATGACCCTGTGTGAGTCCAGGGCAGAAAAGTAAAGCTAAAAGGCGGACAAATGAATGCAAGAGAGCAAAAAAGGGAACCCTCTCTAATCTAATGGGCAGGGCACTGGACACATGCGAGCACCTCCTCTGTGGGAGAGGGGTCACTGCCTCCAGATGGAGGGGCAGTGGGACACTCCATGACCTCTGGGGTTACTTACAATTTGGAGTGCTTAAGTGAATACTGACTTCAAAACAGCCCTGCAAAAGATGTAAGAACAAGCCCCTGAGCAGACGAGGTCTCTGAAATACAAAAAGCCAACATGGGGTTAGAGGCAGAATTCAGAAAGAGCTCCTACAACTCCATATCAACAAGGCAAGTGACTCAATAGAAAAATGAGCAAAAGCCATTTCCTAGACGAGGAAAGCAGGCTGACCAAAAAGCATCTGAAGGGAAACCATGAATCAGGGTCAAAGCGGTCCCAGACTGGCCGTGCCCCGGAACACTAGGCAGGATCAAATGTGAACCATCTCCAGAGAAGGGCAACTTCCTCCTGGGCCTCAGAGTCAAAAAAGCACAGTGAGGAGAGGTGGCTGCACTCTGGAAAGTGTCAGTGGGGAGGCAAAGGAAGAGGAAGGCGGTGACAGGCTCAGAAAACAGGAGGAGTTGCACGGAAATTAGGCTGAGCAAAAAGAATGCTTCTCTAGGGGAGCATGTGGGCAGAAGAGAAGGACTGCACAGCCGGGGATGCTGAGCACGGAGAGGCAAGGTGATGGCAAATTCGCAAGGGACAGCTCTAGCCAGGGAGGCTAGCCTGCCATGGAGGGAGAGGACAGAGCAGGAGAGGGCAGGGTTGGGGGCAGGGGGTGGGGGGGCAGGGTAGGGTAGGGAAGGGAAGCGGGGAGAGGGAAGGGGAGGGGAGGGGAAGGGATGGGAGGGGAAGGAAGGGGAGGTGAGGCTCAGAAGGCCACCGGGATGGACTGGGAGCTCTGCAGGGGGCTCCCTGGTGATGAGGAAGGAAGGAAGACCTGAGCGGGGGCTGTGGTTTCAGGAAGGAGGCAGTATCCTGGGGGAGGCAGGCAGAGGGTACAGTCAGCTGCAAAGCAGGATCTTTGGAAAAGGCAAGGACTTCCTAAAAGAGATATGATGTGTGGCACGATAGGCATGCAAGCAAGGCCTGAAGAAGCAAGCAGAACTTGAGGAGACACACCGCTGGCCCCAGGAGTGGGGGTCAGTTCAGTGTGTGCTACTGGGGTGCAGCCAGGCACAGTGGTTTCAAGGGAGCACAGCAAGGAACCCAAGAAGGCCCCGCATGTCTGCAGTTGGCTGACTATTGCCCGGGACTCCAGAGCATCCATGGAGGGCCCCACAGGGGAAGGCAGGAGCAGGACGGGTCTAGGGAGGTGAAGGCCGACCTGACCTGCTAAGAGACGAGAAGAGAGGGAGGGGAAAGTCTTGTTCCTGCCAGGACATTGTTAATGAGAGGAGTGAGAAGGCAGCAGGTGAAGAGAGTGTAGCATGGAAGGCAGAAATCAGAGCGTTTTTGGGTTTCGTGCTGACCTGCTATTGGGAATGAAAATCAAGACTCAGGTGCATTCTGGTCCCTTTCTCAGGGTTAGCCGAACACCACCCGCATCCCTGCCTGGCCTGTTGATGCCATTCTTCCTAGGCCCACTCACCGCTGCAGCTGCTTTACTTGCACTTCCTCTCCTCATCCGACCACAGATCAGACCTCTGCTTCTCGCTGCCGCCCAGGGAGAGTGTGCACCTACGTGCACATTGCACCCCACTGCCCAGCACACCCAGGAGTGAGAGTGAGGAGCAGCTGAGAGAGTTGGAAAAGGGAGCCCTTATGTGGCCACCAAGGGCTTCCCTGCTAGCAGCCACACGGTGGCTATCCAGCTCATTATGCGAGTTCTAGTTCTTCAAACAAGAGGCCACGGGAGGAGCAACGGCCACCCACCATCCCGGGGATCCTCATTCATGATTTGAAACCACTCTAAGCAGGTTCTGGGGTGTTCGGCAGAAGCTGGCAACCATTCTTGTGGGGAAGGAACCCAGGAGGGGATGCTAGCATGCATAGGAATTGGAACTGGTGATCTGAAGGTCCCCTGCAGCCCTACGGCCTACATCCCATAAAGAGGGACCCTCTCCTCCTCACCTCATCTCCAGCATTCCTGCTTCCTCGAGCTTCTCCAGGGAGAAGTAGGCGCATCTCACTAGAAAAAACAAGAAAGCAGCCCTTTGCTCATTCAACACTTACTAAGCAGATACTGTGCCCTGGGCACCCAGTTTCAGAAATGAGTAAAACACCGGCCTTGCCTTCAAGGAACTCAAGAGACCCTGCGGCAGCCACAAGTCTTACAGAGCAATTACCACCCTGGGTTGCAAGAGCCTAACGTGGGGTGGGGACGGGGGAGGTACAAAATGCTATCAGAGCTGGAGACGAAAGTCTCTAATACTCGGAGTGGGGCTGTGAAGGTGACTTTAAAGTTGTGCCTTGAAGGAGGCCAGGAGCGCACCAGGACAAGGCCATGGGAACCGCCGGTGCAAAGCAGGGAGACCTGGAACAGCAGGCTGGTGGGGACCAGTGACTGAACAGCACAGCGTGAACCCAAAGAGTGTTTGGCTTAAGGGTGGGGAGAGCTGAGCCGACTCCCTGAACTGCTAGGACTTAAACCTGAGAAGGCCCAGCAGCGTTTTCACTAGAGGATTGCTGGGGACAGATTTGTGACTTAGAAACTGAGCCGATGGAATGTGGACGACAGACCTGAGGGAAGAAAGACAGAGGACTCCAGGTTGCTCAGGAGGCTCATGGAACAGTGCAGGCTCCAGACCACGAGGCCTGAATTCTGGAAGTAGCAGCGGGGATGCAGGACGAGGAGCCGTTTTGTCTCATCAGGCACTCCAGAGGCAGGGACCCAGAACTTGGTTATGAAGTCAATGCGGGAGACTAGATAAGGGGAGGGACAGAGGAGTAAAGCATGGCAGCACTACAGAACCTGAGCCCGTGACTGAGAGAAGAGAGTTTGAAAAGCAAGTTTGCCAGGGAAGTTGGGCTGTGTGCTGGGCGACTTAGGTCGGAGGAGGCAAGACATTAAGAGTGGGGATGTTTCTCATCACCTGCAAAAGAGACGTTAAAGAGACGGTTCCTCCGGACCCCACTGGCAGGCACTGACAGAGCGGCTAGGACACAGGAGAGCAGGCCTGGGGGGCTCAGCCCTGCAAGACTCAGCCTAGAGCTGCATAGACCCCAGTCAAGTGTTCCCGCCCTTCTTGCTGCTTCCGTGCCCTATGGGGGTAGACACTGGAGGTGCAGTTAGGTCGCTGCGGGCAAGTTTTGACTCTTGCCTAAGGGTGCATCACAGAAGGGCCTCAGCTCCCTCCCCCAGCTCCACCCACAGCTCCACCCCCAGTTCGGCTCTGCTTCATTTCACCAGCATCTCCACCCCCAGCTCCTCCTCCGGCAGCTCCGCCCCAGCTGTTCCGCCCCCAGCTCTTCCTCCTCCCAGCACTTAACCAGTTCCACCCACAGCTCTTTCCCACAACTACGCCCTCCTCTTGCAGGCGGCTCCTCCAGAAGCTCTAACCCAGTTCCTGCTGCAGCCCCACCCTGCTCACCCTGCATCTCCAGTCCCAGCTCCGCCTCCTCTAGCCCCGTCCCGCTTCTCCTACCCCTCTGCCCACCCCAGCACCTTTCAGCTCTTTCCTCCAGCTCTGCACTAGCTCCTCCCCCACCATTCTCACCCGCCAGCCTTACTCCAGCTTGGCTCCCCCTTCTCCAGCAATTTCCCGCAGCCCCGCCCCATCTGCTCCCACACCTCTTTGCCACAGCCCCGCCCTGCTCCTCCTCCAGGAACGCCCGGCTTTCCCTCAGCTCCACGCTGCAGCTGAGCTGTGCACCAGGCCCTCCCACAGAGCTTTCTCGTGATTCCACCCTACACCTCCCCAAGCCCCCGCTCCCCTAAGCTGGTTCTCAGGAGTCCGAGGGGTCCTCCCGCAGCTGCTCCTCGCTCAGTTCTCCCATTGCCCCGCCCTGCTCTTCGCGGGGCTGCTTCCAAAGCCCCGACCTCAGCCAGCAGTTTCTCTCAGCCCCGCCCCTCCCTGCCCCGCCCCTCCCCTCCCTGCCCCGCCCCGCTTCTCCCGCGGCTGCTCCCAAAGCCCCGCCCTCGGCCCCCTCCCCAGCAGTTTCTCTCAGCCCCGCCCCACCCCGAGCCCCGCCCGCAGCCCCGACCTGCTTCTCCTGTGGCTGCCTCCAAAGCCCCGCCCCCAAACCTTCCCCAGCATTCTCAGCCCCCCCAGAGCCCCGCCTCTCCCAGCCCCGCCCTACTTCTCACGCAGCTGCTTTAAAAACCCCGCCCCCAGCCCCTCCCAGTGATTTCTTTCTCCCCCTCCCTCCTTCTCTCAGCGGACACCTGCCTCCCCCTGCTGATTCTCAAGAGTCCGCGAGCTCTTCCTGCAGCTTCTCCTCGCTCAGCTCTCCCACGGCCCTGCCCACAATGGTTTCTCTCAGCCCCGCCCGGCCCTGCCCCACACCCCGCCTCTTATCTCAGCCCCGCCCTCAACCCAGCCCCCAATTGTTTCTGTCAGTCCCGCTCGGCCCCTCCCCCAGCTCCGCCCTCCTCCTCTCAGCCCCGCCTCCACCCCCTCCCCAGCGGTTTCTCCCAGCTCCTCCCTGCTGGTATAGCAGCTCTGGGCCCAAAACTCCTGCCTGGTGTCCTCGTCCCACCCTTCCACTTACTCTTCCTCCCTCCCGTTCCTTTTCCTCCTTCCGGTTCTTCGTCGAGGCTGCCGGTCTCGAGGTCCCCTGGCCTTGGCCTGGTTGGCTGGCGCGCATCAGGGCCAGGTAAAGAGAATAGCGTCTCCTAGCAGCCAGGGCGTGCGTACGTGCGTGATGTCGTCAGTGCGTGTCTTCGAGAATGCGAGATTCATAATGTTTGCTGTCTATATGCATGGCTGAGTACGTGCCTCCCGCGTACGTGCGTGGTGTGCATACATGCGTGATTGCGCGCCCACGTACGTTCTTCGTGAAAGGGATGACGGGAGCTGTATGAAAGCGGAAGAGTTATAGACCGCTAACACCTGTCACTGGCCACTGGTTTCCCGGAGTTAGCGGCAACGACCTTGCAGCCTGGACACTAGCCAGGCGCTCCCTCTTCTCACAGCGGCCCACGTCTCCTTGCTTGGGAGCCCATCGTCCTGGCTCCGGTGGCCTCGCTGGGTCTCGGGGAAGCAGAGGACTGTTCATTCCTGTGGCGAAAAGCCGGAGTCGGCCCTAGACACCCACGACTCGCAGGGTCCATGGTTCCGGAGGCCGTGAGACCTGCCGGGGCTGACAGGTGCCAGGGCCCATGCTGCGGGAGCCTGTGTGCTCAGCCTTCTTGCGGACGGTACCTGAGGGCTGGGGTTTCCCTGGATGTGGGGCTGGGAACTCGTGCGGGGCGCGACCGAGGCGCCTTTTCCTGTCCCCTGCTGTCGGCAGGGTCTCGGCTCCGCTCCTTCTAAGCGCGTGTACCCGCGACGTGCGTCTGCGAGTAGAAAGCCCGTGTACTGCTCCACACACAGCGGCCCCACCTCAGTCCGGTCTTCCCTGCCTCCCGTTGGCCCTTCTGCTGTGAGCTCGCCTGGACCTGAGGCCGGGCGGTGCACAGCTCTGTGGCCTGTGGCGCCGTGCTCAGCGTGACCTACCCAGAATTAAGCTGAGGACAATGGGATTTAGAGTCCCAAACACTCGCCCCGTGACAATGGGAGGGGAAGTGTCATTTTTCTCCCTTCGAATGGAGCATGCTTGGCTGCAAGAATGCTGCTCAACATGGTGAAATGATTTTCTGCCCTGCGGGCTGGTGCACCCTGTGGTCCTTGACCCAGACAGGTGCGGAGGGTCCCACTGCTGTGATTAGCAGAACCAAACTGTGATGTGCACATGTGTGTTACTGATAAGACCAGGCCTCCCAGCTCTTCTTGGTTTCCAATGCCTGCTAAGTACATGACCTTCTTAGGGCCATTAACCAGCTTTGCTGTCTTGCACTTAATGACCTTTCCTCTTTATCTTCCTTGTTGTGCAGGTAAAGAAGCTAAGTGGAAGAGTGTTTCCTCCTCTGGCCGTAAAGCAGGTACTCTCTGCAGCACCAGGTAGGAGGGGACTCAACCCCCTTCTTGCCTTTTCAGTTACATCAGTTCCTACTAGGGATTCCACATACACACAGTTGGCGTCTGTTGTGATTTTGTGGTGATGACGAGAAAAGGGTTGGCTAAGAAACTGGGCGGCAGAAAAGAGGCAAACATTCACTGTAGCCATTTATCCCGATGGAAGTGGCCAGGCCCTGTGGGGGACATTCAGCCTCCATCAGAAGTAATCCAGAACCAAGGAACCTGGTTATCTTTGGTCACTCATCAGAAGAATAATCATGCTCAGGGGCCACAAGTGTGTGAGGAAATGGCACCATGGATGGGTTGGTGGAGGGTACACGGGTGAGTCTTTGTGGAAAGTCATTTGCTGGCAGATATCAGCATCTTAGATGGGCGTGCCAGGCGGCCGAGGCATTTCCTTCAGCATGTCTTCACACAGCGAGTGTTAGAGGTAATGTCATTTCTAGTGGCAAAAGTGGGAAGCAACTTGTAACTCTCCATCAGTGGAGGAATGGTCAGGCAAATTATGAGACGACCAACAATGGGATATCACCCAGGCAGTGAAAAACAAGGTAGATGAAGATTGTCAGGTGGAAAGAATGGGCTTGATGTGCTGTCAAATGGCAAACTCGTGCCCTAGCCTGTGCAGATGTGTTGGGAACAGCAGTTTGCCAAGATGGCTGAAACAAAGGACCATAAAAGGGCTGGCTTAAAGAACAGACAATCATTGTCTCGCAGTTCTGGAGGATGGAAGTCTGAAATCAAAGTGGTGGCCAGGTTCGTTTGTTCTGTGGGCTGTGAAAGACAATCTGGTCTGTCCCTTTCTCTTAGCTGCAGGCGGCTGGCCGGCAATCTTTGGCACTCATTAGCTTGTAGAAGCATCTCCCTTATCTCTGCGTTTATCTTCTCATGGTGTTCTCCCTGTGTGCGTGACTGTCTCTCAAATCCCCCTTTTCATAAGGACGCCAGCCACATTGGATGCGGGTCCGCCCTGATGGCTTCAGTCTCACTTGATTGCCTCTGTAATGACTCTGTTTTTATATATAAGGCCACATTTTGAGGTGCTGGGGTTTAGGACTTCAACATACGCATTTTAAGAGGACACAATGCAACCCATCACAACTGACAAAGGCTCTGAGGTAGAAACAAGCTTGGCATGTTCCCTCAGGGGATGGAAGGCCTGTGTGGCTTCAGGGTGGTGAATAAAGGGGAGAGGAGAGGACGTGGCTGGGGTGGGAAACCAGATCAGGAGGGACCTTGAGTGCCCTGAGAGGAAGTGTGGATTCTGTGCTAGTTGGGGCAGGGAGCCCTTGAAAAGTTTCAGTAGAGGAGTGACATAATCTCATTGTCCCTGTACCAAGATCATTCCGATGGCAGTGTGGTCACAAGAGTGCAGAGGACAAGTGCTGGGGGGGGGTGGGGGTGCTATCAGGAGACTTCTTCAGAAGGCAGGGGGTTTTAGGGGATTGGATTGGGATTGTGGCCATAGAGATTATGGAAAGGGATCAGATTCAATGTCGGTTTTGGACACAGTGCCACGGGATGTGGGCCGCAGATGTGGGAAAGAAAGGCAGGGCAGAGAGCAGCTAGGTCTGGGGCAGGAACGCTGTAGCTGGTGATGCCACTCACAGAGGTGGAAGGGAGGTGGACTTGGTGGTGATGGTTGGGGTCCTGAGTATGTACGGGCCTGTCCACCTAAGGCTGAGTCTGAAGGGGGGTGGCCTGCACCACGGGATTCAGAGCAGGACGGTGAGCAACGTGGGGGTCCCAGAAGGAGGGAAGGAGTGTGCCCAGCCATGCTGGGGCTGCTGAGCATGGACTAAGATGAAGACAGGACTGGCATGAGGCCGGCCATGGGTGCTTGTGGGGATAGGTCAGTCAGTGGAGTGGGTGGTGGGGGGGGTGGGGAATAAAGGGAGAAAGGTGGGGGTGGGGGCAGAAGGTTCAGAGAGGAAGTAGAGACTGCGCATGTAGACAGCTCTTCTGAGGTCTCGGCTGTTCAGGGTTGTAGAGAAGGGAGGCAGAGTGGGAGGCGCGCGTGTGCTCAGAGTAGGGATGCTGAGCGAGCATAGATGGTGGCTGGTGGCACCCAGGGCCCGGAGTGAGCCAGAGGAGCAGGGTCCAGAGCACAGCAGGCAACCGGCTCAGCTGAGGCAGCTCACCCCAGAGGCGGGAGAAAAGCAGGAGATCTGGAGCTCAGAAGGCTGCAGTGCAGACTGGGAAAGGAGTGAATACCAGGCAGCTTTGGCCCTATCAGGGCTTTGTCTCATGAGGGTGGGTATATTTTCTTAAAATCATAGAGCGTACTAGAGGTTGCGTTTATGTGTTGAAAGGAAGGACAGAGAGAGGAGTAGGGGCAGCTCAAGGGTGGAGTTCAGGGCCGGGGGCGGGGCCACGGGCCTGAGGGGTGAGGGCAGCCACTATTTCTGACTGTTCTATTAGGTGCCACGTACTGGGCTGGGTGCTCTTGGTGCCTTATCTCCCTTCCTCACAGCCATGTGGAAACTGAGGCATCTCAAGAGTCTATGACTGGGCTGAGGTTCTGGTTTCGAGCCCAGGGTTCCTTCCAAGGCACAGGGCCGTCCTCCATGCAAGAGGAGGGGACCCTCTCCCAAGCCAGACACGCAGGAGGCTGGGCAAGAGTTGTGGGAAGTCAGAGCCCGTGTGACTGTGGGCTGGTGCCTCATTCTCCTCAGCCATAGAGTGGGCCTCACAGTACCACTGACCCTGCTGGGTTACTTGAAGATTCAATTTGATGATCCGAGGATCATGCCATCCCAGAGGCTGGCACGTGGAAGGCATGTGTGTGGGGTTGCTAGTTGTTCTGATTATCATTCTTCTTTTCTCAGCTCAGATTGGGACAGGGGCATCTGCTGACAGTGGAGAGCAGTGGTAGGGGAAGGGGCTTGAGGAAGGTGGCACCCAGAGGGGTGGAGAGGAGATGTCTGACTGAGGGCCATCTGAGGTCACGGTGCATCCTGAGGACAGAGCTGAGATTGGATATCAACGATGTGGGCTCAGCAGCCCTGGAGTAGGAGCTGGGAAGGTCAGTGCCTTGGTGGCGGCAGGGCCAGGGCACTGAGAGTATTGGCAGGGCACAGCAGGGGAAAGGGAAGAGAAGCAGAGGGTGGGACTCTCCCTCTGTGCTGGAAGAGGGCTAACACCAGCCCGGACTCTCCACTCTGGCTAGGCCAAGGGGGCCCTCTGTCCTCTGTGTTGCCCTAGGGCTCGGTGACCTCTGTCATAGCACTGACCACATGGTATCCTGCCTGTGCCTTCCTCTAGCTGTCCCCGCCCTACTCCGGACCGCCCCAAAGACTCCATGGGATGGACCTGAGTCAGCCGAATCCCAGCCCCTTCCCTTGGGCCTGCTGTGGTGCTGGACATCAGTGACAGACGGAAGCAGGAGACCATCAAGGTCAGTGCGATTTAGGCCACCTGAGAGACACGGGGGGAAGGTCAGGCCACTGCCCATGAGCTTGGAGGGCTGGCGTGTGATGCGCTTCTGTGCTTCCGCAGGCTACGGGAGGCCCGGGGCGCTTGCGAAGATGAAGTTTGGCTGCCTCTCCTTCCGGCAGCCTTATGCTGGCTTTGTCTTAAATGGAATCAAGACTGTGGAGACGCGCTGGCGTCCCCTGCTGAGCAGCCAGCGGAACTGTACCATCGCCGTCCACATTGCTCACAGGGACTGGGAAGGCGATGCCTGGCGGGAGCTGCTGGTGGAGAGACTCGGGATGACTCCTGCTCAGATTCAGGCCTTGCTCAGGAAAGGGGAAAAGTTTGGTCGAGGAGTGATAGCGGGTAAGTGACAATGTACCAAATGCGCAGACAACGCCTAGGGCTGCTGCCCAAGATCTTGCTTGGGAATTTGGGGGCTTCTCTTGTCATCTGAACTGATTGGCGTGTATAACACAGTTTCCTTTGGCAACACACCTTCAAAGGGGCGGCAAGGACCTTGGGCTGGGGGTTGGTATGGCTGGCTTCCACGAGTTCTGGTAAATCATTTCTCCACTCTGGGCCTCAGTTCCTGTTTCTGATCTCAGTGAGAAGCCTGGTCAGGGCCATGTGCACATGGTGTTTGTGGTGTTTGGCTGTGTGTATTTGCACATACATGTGTGAGTGCACATGTGTGGCAGAGACCATGAAAAGCAGCCCAGCCCGCCGAATGGGTCAGGTGGCCTCTAGAGTTGGGCTGCCCGCCTGGCTTCATGAACCTGCCCCAGCCCCACCACTCACAGCACCCTGGGAAAGTCCCCTAACCTCTAGGTGACTGAGGCCCGACATCAGCATCTGTCCCCTGGTGACCTGCTCAGGCATCACCTGTAGCTTCCCAGGCAGTGGCTGGTGCCCTTCCAATCTGCAACCGCTGCCCTCAGAAGTCTGGCTTGGACCTGCCTCTTACTTGTGTGGCTTCATGAGGACAAGGCCCTCTCCTCTGCCTTTCTGGAGCCCTCCCCCTGCCTCTCCCAGCGTTTCCTGAATCGGGTTTGGTTCGTTATCAAAGCTACGGAAGAAGGACTTGACTCCCTTCTTGTCATTTTGCTGATGCTGTCTTACTCTCTATTGATTGTGACTTTGAGTAACTGTGTTGTCACATGGGCAGGCCTTGGGCTATGGAAGTGAAAGGCATTCATGTGTATCTCTCTTTGTGTACAGGACTCGTTGACATTGGGGAAACTTTGCAATGCCCCGAAGACTTAACTCCCGATGAGGTTGTGGAACTAGAAAATCAAGCTGTACTGACCAACCTGAAGCAGAAGTACCTGACTGTGATTTCAAACCCCAGGTGGTTACTGGAGCCCATACCTAGGAAAGGAGGCAAGGATGTATTCCAGGTAGACATCCCAGAGCACCTGATCCCTTTGGGGCATGAAGTGTGACAAGTGTGGGCTCCTGAAAGGAATGTTCCAGAGAAACCAGCTAAATCATGACACCTTCAATTTGCCATCATGACGCAGACCTGTATACATTAGGTTAAATCTGAATTTCCACTGCTTTGGAGAGTCCCACCCACTAAGCACTGTGCATGTAAACAGGTTCCTTTGCTCAGATGAAGGAAGTAGGGGGTGGGGCTTTCCTTGTGTGATGCCTCCTTAGGCACACAGGCAATGTCTCAAGTACTTTGACCTTAGGGTAGAAGGCAAAGCTGCCAGTAAATGTCTCAGCATTGCTGCTAATTTTGGTCCTGCTAGTTTCTGGATTGTACAAATAAATGTGTTGTAGATGACTGGTTAGTGTTTGAGGCTTTGTTCTATGTTTTCCCCTGATTTGTTCTGGTCAAAACTCATCAAATGTGTAACTAGCATCCAGGCGACAATACAGAAAGTCTGGGACCTGGCACTGAATGTTTGCCTGGTAGTGACTAGCCGTTAATCAACCGACTCATCCAGGATGAAGAGGACGTCAGACTTAGAGCAGCTGTCTGTCCTTTCAGGTTACTCTCACTCTTCTGAAAGTGTCTGTCAGTTTCTGAAGCATGTGTGTTACCTGCATCACACAGCTACTTCCTATCCTAGCAATACATCCAAAATACAGCTCTAGTAGAGTGAGGTTAACTTGGAAATGTGATCAGTAGTGTTGTTTTATTTTGTAGTAATTTTTTTTTTTTTTTGGTGATTTAGCAAAGTTTCTAGTTGTTATCCATGAGGATGATGGGCATTTCCCCCCAGGTATTGACTGCAGTGGCCCTTCTCTTCTGAGCCAGGATGTTATGGTGGTTGTACATCCCATGGCAGATGGGGTGGCCTGACTTTCAAGTGGGCCTCTTTGGAGGCCCCTGGATGCTAGGCTAGGGATGCTGAGCTGCTGACCAGACACTTCCTGGCAACATTGGGAGGGACCCATGAGGAAACAATCTCCTGTTTGAAGATACAGGAAGATATTGCCGGAATCAGGCGTCTATTCTTTCTCCTGACCAGCAGGCCAATCTCAGGGGACCAGGTCTTCCTGGGCTTGGCCTCGACACTTCCTAGCAACATCCTTTGCTGAGTGTGTGAAAATGCTGCTTCTCCAAATAAACAAGGACAATGGGGACCAAAGCCTGTCTTGGACAGGATTTCCAGCCTCCCCTGGTTTCTGCCAATGAGATGTATATAATATACAAGGTTAAAAAAAACACAGACAACAGTTCTCATTTAAATTGTTTATTATTTATTTCCATGGAATTTTGTTTTTCTTTATTAAGACCAAAAATGTGTTTCTCATTAAAAAATGGCAACTTTTATGGGCCATTAGTGGCCTGTGACTTCACGAATTTGCAGTGTTTCTGAACTGTTCACAGAGTCTACACTTGTAATCTGAGGAGCCTTCCTACTCCTCCTCATCGTCAGAGGGCTCATTTGGAGACATGACTGAGAGGGAGGCCAACAGAGCATAGTAACAGATATTGTACAAAGACATTACACTACCATTATCTGAGTAAACCAGACTACTAAGAATCCCTGTGCCTTCCATCCAGGTAGTAGCCGAAGATGTAAATGTGACATTCCCAGAGGTGCCCTCCCAACTTGGGCCATTTGGTTCCTGAGGGGGCCCATTTCCCAGGGGATGCCTAGTGGCACTCTTCTTGGACCACATGCCAGAGCGCCTGAAGGACTGGGTGCCACTGGGCCCCTGAACACTGGGGGCTCCCTGCTGACACATTTTGATTGCTTCTTTCCTGGCATTGATGTGATAGATACGTAGGGAGCGTCTTGTAGCTACCAGATTCTTTCTCTTTGGAGTTGGGACACGGGTCGCTTGCTGAGCGGTGTTTCTGAGGGCATCCTTTCTCTGGATATTCTCCAGGAGCCTGGGCTTGTCTCTCTGAAAATTGGAGTTGCAGTAGATCTGAAACAAAATGAAACATGTTAGTTGTTCTGGGATAAATTATTCCTTTCCCACCTCTCAAAATTATGATTTTGTTTTGCAATGGAGAAAAGAATGCTTTAAGTGGCAGCAAGTGTGGTTATGCTCTACAGCATGACCTGACTAAAGATAAACAATTCATAGATCAAGGCAGTAATATATAAACAGCATGGATTTTGATATTAAACTGCAACCCCGTAGAGGTAATATGCAGGTCTGCAAAATATGATGCTTACATTATCTCTAAGGGGGTTGTAGTTTAATATCAAAATCCATACTTTTTAAGTTCTATACTTTTCATCTTTCAATAAACAATATTTCACATTTTCAAATGCTATCCTTGACACTTAAGCTCTTACAGTATATTATTCAAATTGGTGTCCTATGAAGATATGTTTGAGAAAGAGAGAAAAGGGATTACAGAAATGCTTTCTACTTTACCATCATTTTCTTGTTTCCTGGAGAGTTGCTTGGGCGTGTTTTGCAGAATCCATAGAGGTTCAGCTGGCGAATGAAACTCGTCAAGCTGTCTGTTTTGAAGATCCTCTCTGCACCTTTCCGTTGAAGAACCTCCCTCTGGAAGAGATCCTTGTCGATGATCACGGCGTCTCCATCATCGTTCCAGCTCACAGACTTGAATGTGTCTTCCTCCACAATCGTCCAAAGCTTTCTTGGGAAGGAGAGCCTAAAAAGGTTGTGGTTGTCTTCCACGTTGACCACGCGTTGGTTTCGGTCTTCTGGTGGTGAGTTATCTTGGGAGCCTGGATCTTGGCTCATGGCTTGGTCCTCGTGCCTGTCCAAAACCTCGCTGGAATCTGGATTTGGATCAGGTGAAGAACCAGATGGGCCCCCGCTTGTTGGCTCTCCACCAACAGATGGGGCCAGCTTGGCTTCATATTCCTGTTCAGTGTTCTGACTCGCCATGGAGCTACACCAGAATCAGGAGCATTTTGTACCCAAGGCCCTTATCACTGTCCTAGCAAGTCCAAAATGCCTTCAGTCAGAGTAGGCGTGCCCAATAAATACTGTCCACAAAATTCTAGAGTCTCGGTATCAGGGCAACCAGTGGCTTAACTCATCATCTGCTGTATTTGTCACATGATGTCACAAAGGTGGCTCTCAGCCAATCTGGAGAGGGGGCCCTGGCCAGGTGTTGGGGGAGTAGACAGGTGGCATGGCCTTCAGCTTCTCCCTCTTCTAAAAGTATAAACAGGCATGGTTCAAGTTCCCAGAAAAGTCTCCCATCTTCTGACAGTCACATTGTGTCAAAGGGCCAGGCCCCAGATGAGCTGAGAAACCATGGCTCTATGGCCACTCCCAACCCTGAAGACAGGGGAGGCCATTTGCTGGCCTCTAATTTGCTCAAGAGCCAGCCCCTAGTTATCCCTAGCTTGGGTTTCACCAAGACTGCCTGACTCATATGGACCCCTCATGGGTGACTGCCTTCTAGGAGATGGTGGTCCCTACCAGGCTGTTTGGCCTGATCTGTGTGGTAGCACCCCTCTTTTCCAATCCCCCCATCTCCTTTCTGCTTTGGTCTCTTCCAGGTACTCCTAATGATTGGTTGCATGTGCTCCAGTGGGCCCAGATAAAGTGTTTCTTATTCCCCTTGGTCAAGTTGTCCCCAGAGTGGTGCTGTGCCTGAGCATGGTGGGAGCACTCCCCTCACTCGTCTACCACTGTGTTACCCAGAGCACCATTTGTGGTTGGATGGCCACATCCTCAGCTGTGCTTTGGAGTCTCCTGTGGAGCTCTGCTTGCCCTTGCATCTCACCCTCTTGCAGATCACAACAGGAGATTACCTTTAGTTTCATTTTTGCCCATAAATACTGTTTTCATTGCCCAAGACATGTTCATTTCTGAGGCCTGCTTTACACAGACTAGCCTAAGAAAAGTTTCTGCTTGTCTAGTTAGACCTGACTAAAGTAATCCAGCACAAAAGTTCCATCATTATGTATTTGAAAACAGATGAGCGTATGAGTGTGTGTTGCGGTGGGCAGGAGGAGGGAGAAAACCCAAATGAAAGCCATGTTCAACCCCAGATGAGAGGATACAACAGTCTTTCTGGTGATACATTTTCTCTAGCCATTAAAGACAACTTTGTTCTTAATATTCACTCTGTATAGGGAGACAGAGTGATACAGTGGAAAGGCACCAGACTGAAAGGACCCTGGGTCCTTGTCCCACTGAGTAGCACCCTTTGCCCACTCAGGGTCGGCCCTGAGTGCGAAGAGGGTTGGAAGAGGCTCTTCCAAGGTGCTTTTCAATCTCAGGGCTCTCTAATCCTTCATGGTGCCCCCAATGCCTGGATGCAGGCTTGGTTCATGGTCACCAAGCTTTTTAAACAGGTTTACAAAGGTTTTGTTCAAGGACTCAGTGTAACCTGTAGACACACACACTCTGAGGCTAAATATTAAAATAGAGGCCATTGGTGAGATCTCTAAATGAGGATCCTTGAGTATTCAGTTAGACAGCTGGTATCTTTCACTTACATACCAAAGTGCTTTTTCATAGGGGAATTCTTAAGACTGAGAATGACATTTTGTTGTGGCTTTTGCGAACTTATAAACTCTGCTGATTACTTATATAAAGGCTTTTGGCCATTGGGTGGGAGGGGAATTATCATGAAGAAAATTACTAGGGAAACTACACGGTGGCATTCAGCCAAGAGCTGGTATTGATTTGATTTAGTCACACTATGTCATGTGGCTTCTATAGGACCATTAGCGACCATTGTCCTTTGTTTTAAGTCACAGAATGTACACTGGGATTTCGAGTCTAAGACATCAAGCTCCTCTTGTCCCCTGGAGGGAATATTCAGGGCACTGACTTAAGTCTAGTCAAGAAGAGTCATGGTGGGAAATCCAGCCTCCTCTGGCTAAGCCTGCTCAGTCCCCAAAGATGAGCTCTGCAACTTTCAGCAACCATTCAGACATTCTTTATGAGTCACCTGCCACCTGCAAGCCACTTTGAGGAAAATGGTTGGTCTTCTCTTCCATGCTCCAAAAGCCCCTGAGATGGCCCCTCTGCGTTGCTGCATTATGAATAAAATCATCATGGTCAGGCGACCCAAGCAGAGCACAGCTGACTATGGTATGAGGACCAGTGGCCCTGTGGAAAGCGGTCTCAGTGCTGACTCGCTGCAGCTTCTTTGTAGCTATGCAGCAATCAAGAATAGTGCTGAGCTCTTGATGGTGGGGCCCCAAGGTATGAGGCCAGCCACAGGCCAAGACTTGCTGTGTAGGCCTTGCCTGTCACATGATCCGCCAGGCCCTCTTCATCCTCCCCGTGGCCTCTCAGGATCTTCTTCCCTGCTGATCTCTCCCAGGCTCCAGGATGTGTCCCTGCAGTTGGTTCATCCCACCCCAGAGGAGTCTTTCTAAACTGTGGCTCGGAACTTGTCAGTTGCTTAGGCACCACCTCCTCACACTTCCAAGGCCTTCCTTTCCCAGCCTCGTTAGCCACTGGGCTGCTCTTTCTCACACACTCAGGTATCCGCCATGCCACCTGCCCTTAACCCTCCTTCACTCAGCATTTGCTTGATGCTGGGTCCTGGGTAAGACAACTCTCAACCTATTGCGGGATCTGGCCAGCAGTCTGCAATGCAACGGTGCTCTCTCTTTGTTCCCAGGCAGATCGGCAGGTCGAGAAATAATAGACACACGCAAGATAGCAAAATCTGGGTCCAGGGGGGTCACCGCCTTCTGCTCCCACGGTGCCAACAACGCACTGGATATACCGGCATTTATTATTAAGTTTGGTGAGAGGGCAGGGGAAGGTTAGTGAGGGATTTAGGGTCATTTGATTATGAGGTGAGATGGTCACATGGGGATGAAGTAATTCTTTAACATAACATCTGTATGCAGAAGTACAGTATACAGGGATAAGAATTTATGATATAGTGTGTGCATCAGTAGTTTCTAACAGAGCCTTAAAACAGAAACACAGTCTTTCCATGACCTATGATTAGCAAGATATTAATCAGCAGTAACAGTTGCAGCAAAAGCTGGTTACAAACAATCCATAGAAACAGGATGTGAAGCTAGACAACCGGTTAGACCAGAAATTCTCAGAAGGGAGTATGCCTTAACCCTAAAGAGGCCTAGAAGAGCCGTGGCAAGATGAGGGCGTTTATAGCCCTATCTTATCCATATGGACAGGTGCTCCTCATGCATCCGTTTATAGGCTCTCCACAAGGGTCACATTCCATTCCCAGAGCTATGAACATCTGCTTTTCTAGGATAGGAATCTTGGTGATGTGAAACCTCCCTGACTGCACGTCCATTCATAGGCTCTCTGCAGGGGAAAGCACATCACGTGCTGTTGGCTCATTCTGGCAGTCCAACCTGGCATTGTCTTTACACAATCCTGCATGCAATTATGTATTTACAATAATCAGGAGCATTTCATCTTTTATTCCATAGCAATAGTTTCAGGGGGTCTCCCTACATCAACCTCTGGTTCCCTCTGGTGCTGTTTTCTGAGCACACTGTGAACTTCCTTGCTGGTAAGGGTGCTTGTGCTGCCTCCCCTATGGGAATGCCCTTTTCAACCCAGAAGTCACTCAGCTTGTCAGGGTCCAGGTCACTCCATGAGGTCAGCTGGCAAGGCTTATTCCCAGGGGCTGGCCCAGCACAGCTCTCCACCATTGGTTGGGTGGATCCTGAACTCCTATGAGGTTGGGCATGTTGATGAGCCATCTCCCCTCTGGACTAAGAGGCCCATGAGGATGGCGGAGACCACAGTGCAAATGTGGCCCTCAATACATGTTGGATGAGGCAAGTTCTATGTCACCAGGAGCTCAGTGGGGTTTAGCATCCTTGGACATGGCTCCACATTAGAACAGTGATAACAGAACAATTATTGTGAGCTCCTATTGAGACAGGAAAATAGGGTCTAGAAACAGGGAACTTAAGGCCACTCTGTGCTAACTTCCTAAAAGAGAAAACACCAGGGTCTGGAGGCAGGAAATCTAAGGCCAATTCACTCTGACTTCCCAAAGCTGGATCAAAAGGAAAATACCGGGGTCTGGGGGCAGGAAACCTAAGGCTGATTAACACAAACTTCCTAAAGCTAAACCAAAAGACAAAAACCCCATCTCTCCATGCTGAGTAACAAAGGATCAGAGGCTACTCTCCCTACAACCATCCCTCTTCCACCACATCTCAGATGGAAAGGGAGGGGAGGGTGCCTTGTTGACCATGGGCCAAGCAGGGACCATCCCTTCATCTGCATAGGGTGCCAGTTCACCTCAGCCTTTAATTAGCCACAGACCAAATCCTTCATCCAGATAAGGGGTAGTCATTAAGAACCTCAAATAGGGTACTTAAAGCCCAGAAAACTTTGTAACTGGGCCCTTGAGCCACTTGCTCAGACCCACTCTCACCTTGCAGAGGGCTTTCTCACTTTAATAAATTCCTGCTTTCACTGCTTTGTTCCTGCATTTCATTCCTCTGCTACTTTATGCATTTTGTTCAATTCTTTGTTCAAAACGCCAAAGACCTGGACAACTCATAGTCAATCTGCTGTGCTAAGTGCTCTGCTAGTCTGTGTCATTTACTGTGCACACCCATCTCTTGGGTGGATATTAGGAATGAGCCCATTTCTCCAATGAGCCAAGCTAGGCCATGGAGGGGTTGAGCCATGGTGCAGTTTCTGCAGTGAAGAAGCAACAGGGCCAGAATAGGCCCACATGGTCAGACTCTCAGACTTACAACCTTACTCAAGTACAATGAGTGTTCCAATGATCTGAGCAGAAGAAGTTGTCTTTGTAAGCAGAAAATGGCTGAAGAAAGCAAAAAGAGAAAACAGAGCAGATTAGTCATTGATGTGGTTTGGCTGTTTTGTCCCTCTAAATCTCATGTTGAAATGTGACCTTCAGCGTTGGAGGTGGGTTTAGTGGGAGGTGTTTGGGTCATAGAGGTGGATCTCTCATAAATGGTTTGGTGCTGTCCTTGTGGTAATGAGTGAGTTCTCTGTTAGGTACAAACCACCCCAAAGAGCTTCTTGGTACTGCCAACACTCCCCGCAAACCTCTCCGCGCTGCCCACCCTTCCCCCAAACCTTCTTACATTTCCAAGCCCTTATCTAGGCACCGCAGTGAAGCCAGCCTGATAGAAGACTTTACCTATCAGGCCTTGCTGCGATAAAGCAAACCCCAATTACAAACCATCCGGACCAAACGGGGAGGTTGTGGGAAGCATAAACAAACTTTACCTACACCCTCCAGTACCGTAAACATCACAAGGTGATATGTGGCAGAATTAACCAGCAGACAACCCCGGGATGCAGCCATACCAAAGGACTCCCTCAAACTCCCTGCCCCAATGTAAACCCCCTATTCTGTAAGCTTGGGGCTGCTTTCCTTGACTGTTAAGGGGGCAGCCGACAGGTTAATAAAGGCTTGCCTGAACTTGGGGCTCTCTCTCTCTGGTCCTTTCTCTCGGCTAACCTTACATTCTCACTCTCTAAGTTCACATGAGATCTGGTTGCTTTAAAAAGCCTGGCAGCTCTTTGTTCTCTCTCGCCATGTGATATGCTGATTACCCTTTTGCCTTCTGCCATGACTGCAAGCTTCCTGAGCCCTTACCAGAAGCAGATGCCAGTGCCATGCCTCCTGTACGCCCTGCAGAAGCATGAGCCAAAATAAACATTTTTCTTTATAAATTACCTAGCCTCAGGTATTCCTTTATAGCAATGCAAAACTGACTAACATATAAAATTGGTACAGGAGTTGGGTGATGCTATACAGATATCTGAAGATGTGAAAGCAGCTTTGGATCTGGGTAATGGGCAGAGATATCAGAAGATATCAGAAGAAGACAGGAAGATGCAGGAATGTTTCAAACTTATTGGAGATTTGTTAAGTGGTTTTGACCAAATTGCTGACAGAAATATGGACAATGAAGGCCAGGCTGATGAGGTCTCAGATGGAAATGAGGAATTTACTGGCAAAGGTCACCCTTGTTATATCTTAGCAAAGAACTTGGCTGCACTGGGTCCATGCTCTAGAGATCTGTGGAAGTTTGAACTTAAGGGTGATAAATTAGTGTATCTGGCCAAAGGGATTTCTAAGCAGCAAAGTATTCAAGATGTTCCTTGGCTGCTTCTAACAACCTGTCTCAGATGTAGGAGAAAAGGAAAGACTTAAAGTTGGAATTTATAATTAAAAGAGAAGCAGAGCATAAAAGTTTGGAAAATTTGCAGCCTGACCATGTTGTAGGGAAAGAAAGAGCATTTTCGGAGAAGAAACCAAGCAGGATGCTGAGGAACCACTTGCTGGAGAGCTTTGCACGACTAAAAGGGAGCCAAGTGCTACTATCTAAAACAATGGGAAAAAGCCCTTGAAGGCATTTCAGAAATCTAGGCCCCTCCCATCCCAGGCCCAGAAGCCTAGTGGGTAAGAATGGTTTTGGGGGCCAAGCCTGGGGCCCTGCTGCTCTCTGTAGCCTTTGGACACTGCTACCTGCATCTGGCTGATCCAGCTCCACCCATGGCTCAAAGTGCCCCAGATACAGTTCAGGCCACTGCCTTGGAGGACACAAGCTATAAGACTTGGTGGCTTCCCCATGGTGTTATGTCTGCAGGAGAACAGAATGCAAGAGTGAAAAAGGCTTGACAGCTTCCACCTAGGTTTCAGAGGATGTATGTGTTGAAAAGCCTGAGTGCCCAGGGAAAAGCCTGCCACAAGGGTCGAGCTCCTACAGAGAGACTCTACTAGAACAGTGCTCATGGAAAATGTGGGGTTGGAGCCCCTGCACAGAGTCATCATGGTACTGCTGAGTGGGATTGTGGGAAGGTGGCTGAGAATGGTAGAGCCACCAGCGGCTTGTACTCTGAACCTGGAAAAGCAACCGGCACTCAACTCCAACCAGTGAGAGTAGCCATGGGAGCTGCACCTGCAGAGCCACAGGGATGGGTATGCACAAGGCCTTGGCATCCCACCCCTTCCATCACTGTGCCCTGGATGCAGAATATGGAGACAAAGGAGATTATTTTGGAGCTCTAAGATTTAATGACAGCCCTGCTGGGTGTCAGACTTGTGTGGTGCCTGTTGCCCCTTTCTTTTGGCTGATTTATCTCTTTTGGAATTGGAATATTTACCCAATGCCTGGATCACCATTGTATCTTGGAAGTAAATAACTTGTTTTTTTATCTTACAGGCTCATAGTTGGAAGAAACGTGCCTTGAGTCTCAGATTTTGGAATTTTGAGTTGATGCTGAAATGAGTTGAGACTTTTGGGGAACTATTGGGAAGGGATGCTTGTATTCTGCAGTGCAAAAAGGATGTGAGATTTGTTGGGGGGTCATGGGCAGAATGAAACAGCTTGGGTATTTTGTGCCCTTCAAATATCATGTTGAAATGTGAACTCCAATGTTGGAGGTGGGCCTAGTGGGAGAGGTGTTTGGGTCATGGGGGTGGGTCCTTTATAAATAACTTGCTGCTGTCCTCACAATAATGAGTGAGTTCTCTCTGTCTGTGAGTTCACATGAGATCTGGTTATTTAAAAGAGCCTGGCAGCTTCTCCTTTTCTTGCTTGCTCTCTCACTCGCCATGTGATATGCCAGCTCCTCTTTTGCCTTCTGCCATGAATGGAAGCTTCCTGAGCCCTCACAAGAAGGCTATGATGACGCCATGCTTCCTGTACAGCCTGCAGAAATGCGAGTCAAAATGAACCTCTTTTCTTGACAAATTACCCAGCCTCAGGTATTCTTTTATAACAGTGCAAAAGTGACCAACACAGTCATTTCAAAGTTACTTTCCTTCTAGAGTTAAAAGATGAGGGGACACGCTTATAACACTG
This sequence comes from Homo sapiens, assembly GCF_000001405.40. Classification (NCBI taxonomy): domain Eukaryota; kingdom Metazoa; phylum Chordata; class Mammalia; order Primates; family Hominidae; genus Homo; species Homo sapiens. The sequence goes on from NC_000023.11 coordinate 149,557,733, forward strand.
ACTCAGGTTGACTGAACCTTCTGAGTATTTTTGTATTTTTTTTTAATTGGCCCCTTTGAAAGTTCAGTATAATTATGTGGCATTCGGCACAAGTGACCCCATTCTGGTTGGGTCTGGTCAGCCGGGGCTTAGGGAAGGAGGCTAGTCCACAGCAGTGGCATCCCCTGAAGTTTGTTTCACACAGGCCCCTGAGTTAATGAGTCTTTCTAAAGGAGGCTTTGCTTGGTTTGCTTATCAGCCATCTTTCCACTCTTACTGTAGACAGGGACACCTGGATGCTCATAATTTGCTTTTTTTTTTTTTTTTTTTTTTTTGGAGACAGAGTCTCGCTCTGTAGCCAGGCTGGAATGCAGTGGTGTGATCTTGGCTCACTGCAACCTCCGCCTTCCAGGTTCAAGTGATTCTCCTGCCTTAGCCTCCCGAGTAACTGGGATTACATGCTGGGATTATGTGCCAGCATGCCCAGCTAATTTTTGTAGTTTTAGTAGAGACGGGGTTTCACCATGTTGGGCAGAATGGTCTCGATCTCTTGACCTCGTGGTCCACCCGCCTCAACCTCCTAAAATGCTGGGATTACAGACGTGAGCCACCACGCCTGGCCGTGCACGTTTTTAAAAATTAATTAATTTATCCTGTTGCCCTGCTCAGAGTAAAATATGCTGGTTTTCTTTTCTACAGTATCTTAAAAGCCTTTTGTAACAATGTTTGTGAGCAATTGTGTTAAAATTATTCTGAATTAATATCTAATGCTTGAACACACACACTGTGCATGTCTGTGTGTGTGTGTTAAACTCAAGTATAGCACATAGAGCCTCTGTAGGTGATAATTCTTGCCTCTTGGGTTCCCTGGAAAAAGGAAGTCCATATGGAAAAGAGAGGCAGTCTCCAGGTAGAGATACATCTTCAGGGATTTTAAAGGAAGTTTTCAGCTTGTGTTCTATAAAAGCACCAAAGGTGACTTGTGTGTATAGCCCCTAGGTTGGAGGAAAGCCTTGCTGGTTTTTCTTTTTCTTTTTTCTTTTTTCTTTTTCTTTTTCTTTTTCTTTTTACCTTGCTGGTTTTTGCTGGTTTCATTGCAGCATTTCAGCTCTCCTGCAACACCACTGACATTTCTCTATTGTTTTTCTCCTCCACACTGAGACCTATTGGCTCAGAAGTCCACCAGCATAAAACCCAGATTTTCATACTTCTAAATTGTTTTCAACATAGCTCAACCAGGAAGATTGTTAGGCATTGGAGGCCTTCCTGGCTTTCATACCCTGGTAAACCTCACCCCACATGTGCTAACCATAGATAAGATGGAGCCTTGTGGTTAGAAGACCCCCAAGACACTGTCTAGCTGCTGAGAAACATCACTTAGACTCATAAGCTCCTTCTCCAATTTCCATCTCCCCCAGCAGTTCTCTTGCCTTCCTCCCCATTTGATGGTGATCCCACACCCATAAACTCTAGACAGTCTTTTACTCTGAGGATGTCCCCGCTTCTGCTACCCTATCCAAGCACCACCCAATAAAGTTGTTTGTGTGGTACTGCCCCTGGTTGGTCATAGCATTTTTCTTGATCAACCCCCTAATCCTGCACAGTGTGCAATGAACTCTGCTGAACTTGGAGTCTCGCACTTAGAGGTTGATGATTATCTGAGCTGAGGTGTGTGATTTTAGGGGGTCTGTTTGGACTGTTAAACTGATAAGGCCAGAAGGCCTTAGAAAAGCACACCAGGCAGGCTTCTCACTGGGACATGGAATGCTGCTGTTGCCTGGTCTTGAAGCATCTCAGCTTTCCTGCTGCAGTAGAAAACTCTCTGACTGTTTTGGAACCCAGAAGTCACAAATTACAATAGGCTTGTCTCGACTCTAAGCTAAAACCCAAAAATGTCCACTCTGGGCTGTTTCAGACTCATGTCAAGGTGTGCTGAACAGAAAGCAGGCATAGCTCGATGCACTGGAGGGGTCTTTGACCCTGTGATCCTGGTAGGTTTTGAACACCCCTCTCTGGAGTTAGAAACTGTCACAACCTAGATGCTGTCCTGGACTGTCTGCATCTCTTGCAGATGCCCATGATGAGGGGATTGTTCTCTGGTGGGGCCAGCGAGAGTGGAGCTGTTCATGAACACTGTATTTTTGATGTAGACAGGTTGCATTTTTTACTGGTAATGCTGTCAAAAGCTGCACATTGAGGGAGGGCACCCAACAGGAATTGTGATCCCTCTGCCCAATTGTGACAGATCAGTCTTAGACCTTCTCTCTGTGATGTCCACTGCTGGTGACTTGTGTCCAGCGATCCACATTAGTTTCAGTTTGGGAAAGTGGACAGACAGCCTGGCTACTTTCTTTCCTTGCTTCTGGCCTACAAGTCAGGCAGTAGGATTATCAAATGCAGCTGTGCCCAGGGAGGGATTATTATTTTTTAAATTGTTGTTCTACACTGCTCACTGCATAAATGAGCAGGATGAAAAGGAGTAAACCCATTTTGGAATCTTTTGGAAATGCGGGATTTCTTCCTGACTGCTTCCTAAACATGAGGGGCCTTTCTGTTCTCATGATGCTGTATGACAGTGTTTTTCTGTAAAAACAGTGTCATCTCTCTTTCATATAGCCCTGCCAGGCAAGAAGGCCAGGGGGAGGGTAAGAGATGACTGAAGCAATGTAAAGCTTTTATTGTTGAGTGGGCCATGCTGATTTTATAAGGATGGAGGAAAAAGAGAATGAGACATCTGTAGAGGTGTGGGAGAAGGCATTGTGATCTTGGTGTTTCAGAACTATTCCTGAAAGCTTTCACCTCTTGCTGAAGGAAAACACCCCATGCTGCCTTTGAAAGCTTCTGCAAGTTTTGTGTATCCAAAATGATGGCCATGCCTGAGACCACACCTGACCCCACCGACTAAGGGACAGAGGAGGTGGCCCGAGCTTCTCCATGTTTCCCTTAGAGCGCCTCCAGGTGTCCTCTGGATCTGTCATGCACAAGCCAAACTGTCTGCAAGGGAAACCAAGGATGGAACTGGACTATATAGCCTGTACTGGAAAACAGGCCACAGTGTGGTACTGTTAACCTGTGCTGCCTGACTTAGGTACACCCTCTTGTGTTGCCCAAACTATGGTACACTCTGAGTTTGCAGGGAGACCATGTGTATGCTCGGGTATTGTACAGCTTATGTGCCCTGCCTGTCATGACACTGCCTCAGCCCTGGATGGCTTCCAGGTCAGCTCGAACTTCCTGTCCAGAGCTGTGTTTTACCTGAATTGATGCCCCAATTGATTGAATTGGCCAAGTATAAAGAAAAAGTACTGAAATTTAAGAGGGAAGCCACGTGACTGTCTAAGATACATCTCTTTGGTTAATGGGGTTTGTGTTAACTGGTTCAGTACAGGACCCCTAACAGGCACAAGTGACATCTATATGCAGCTTGGTTTCCACCCTGTTGTGTCAGGTCCTATGATAATTTTCCTGTAATATGCCTTGGCCAGTGGGGTGCACTGTGAAGAAAAGAGTTCACACAGCAGGCCTCACTGCTATCTTTGGCAAAGCCTGCTGCTTTCAGTGTTATCCATTGGCTGGATTCTCAGGACTTGGATTTGGGAGGGATTCCACCTTTCTCAGAACTGATCAGGGTGGTTCACTATACCCAAGCTGCTTATGCAAACAAAAAGCTGCACACTGCTTTCCTCCTGGGAGTCTGGAATTTTGGTTCATGCCAGGCAGAACTGCTTATGTGACCAGTGCCAAGTTCAACTCATGGGTGATGAGGTTTTACTGAGCTCCGCTGGTTGGCAGCATTTTACATGTGTGGTCACACCTTGTTGTGAGGGAATTAAGTGCGTTCTATGTGACCCTACTGGGAGATGAGATGACTCTGGAAACTTGTGTCTGGTCTCCTGCACTTCTCCCTGTGCACCCTTTCCCTTTGCTGATTGTGCTTGGTATCCTTTCACTGTAGTAAGTTGTCGTCGTGGGTAGGACTATATCATGAGTCCCATGAGTTCTCCTAGTGAGCTACTAGACCTGATTCAGTGGTCTGGGTTCCCCCATTTCATTTTGGGGACCCTGACACACCTGTCCATCCCTTCCGTCTCCCACTCCAGGGAATTTCAGATTAGGACGCTGCTGAGAAGAATCATAATGGCCAAGCTTGCTTAAGTGCTTCTTAGGTCTCAAGGACTGTTCTCAATGCTTTGCAAACATCCATAGATTCTATTGTTCCACCCATTTTGTGAAGGAAACTCCGAGTCCTATCTATGCAGCTTTTCTGTAAATCCAACTCTGTTCTAAAACAAAATGGTTAGGTTTCTAAAAAGTAAATAGTAACAAGAGCATTGGGGAAAGAAACCAGACTTGAAGTAAGATCAATATGGCAGTGAAAATTCCTGTACCATGTTTTCCTGTTGTATCTCTAAGCCTGGAGTCACAGTCAGCCCAAATATGAGAACTGCACATGAGGTGTGGACAGGAAGAGATCTATGAGAAAGATTTTCCAGGAATCCACTGATAAATGAATGAATAAGAAAAATGTGATATATACATACAATGTTATATTATTCATCCTTAAAAAGGTAGGTAATTGTGGAATAGTATACAACATGGATGAACCTTGAGGACATTAGGCTAAGCGAAATAATTCAGTCACAAAAAAAGGAACTACTGTATGATTCTACTTACATGAAGTACTTAGAATGGTCAAATTCATACAGACAGAAGAAAGGTAGTTGCCATGGCTTTGGGATAAGAGGGAATGGGGAGCTAATGTTTAGTGGGTAAAGTGTTTCACTTTTGCCACAGGAAACAAGTTTTTGAGATGAACGGTGGTGATGGTTGCATAAAAATATGAATGTACTTAATACCACTGAACTATACCTTTAAAATGGTTAGGAGGGTCAATTTCACATGTGTTTTACCAAAATAAAAATGTTTTATTAGAAAAAAATGAAACCAGGCCAGGTGCAGTGGCTCACGCCTGTTAATCCTCACACTTTGGGAGGCCAAGGCAGGAGGATTGCTTACATCCAGGAGTTTGAGACCAGTCTGGGTAAAGTTGCAAGACCCTATCTCTACAAAAATTCAAAAATTAGCTGGGCACGGTGGCGCATGCTTGTAGTCCCAGCTACTTGGGAGGCTGAGGTGGGAGGATCACTTGAGCCAGTGAGGTCAAGGCTGCAGTGAGCTGTGATTGTGCCACTGCACTCAGCCTGGGTGAAAAAGTGAGACCCTTTCTCAAAAAAAAAGAAGAACCCCAAAATCCCCACTGTTACAAAAATGAAGAATGACTTTGATTAACTCATCAATAGACAGGACATGGCTAAGGAAACAAGAAGAAAGCCAGAAAAAAATGAAAATAGAAACTTTCAAAACTGATATGAAGGCAAAAAGGAAGGCAAAAGAGCAGAACGAGTGTCCCACATGCCCAACTGCCCCACATGCCTTAGTTCTCCAGAATCCCAACTTCCCCACAAGCCCCATTGCCCCACAAGCTAACTGCCACACAAGCCCAACTGCCCCACAGGCCTGATTGCATCCCATGCCAACTGCTCTGAAAGCCTGGCTGACCAACAAGCCTGACCACCCCACAAATGTGACAGCCTCACAAGCCTGAGTGCTCCACAAGCCTTAGTTCCCCACAAGCCTGAGTCCTCCAGAAGCCCAACTGCCCCAAAAGCTTGAATGCCCCACAAGCCTGAAAGCCCTACAAACCTCTGTGCTTCATAAGCCTGACTGCCCCACAAGCCAAGGTACCCCACAAACCCTAGTTCTCCAGAATCCCAACTGCCAAACAAGCCCAACTGCCCCACAAGCCCTAGTGCTCCAAAAGCCTGAGTGCTCCACAAGCCTGACTGCCCCACAAGCCCGAGTGTCCCACAAGCCAACTGCTCCACAAGCCCACCTACCACACAAGGCCTAGTGCACCAGAAACACAACTGCTCCACAAGCCTGACCACCCCAAAAGCCAAAGTATTCCAGAATCCCGACTGCCCCACAAGAACAAGTACCAAACGTGCCCGACTTCTATTATTCTATTTATGTGACCTTCTTGAAAGAGAAAACTGAAATGATGGTGTACAAATGAGTGGATAGTAGAGTTAGTGGTGGAGAGGTGGGATTAACTATAATAGCAGGTGGAGGGGGGTTTTGGGGGGAGGAATGTGATGAAATTGTTTGTATTATGATAGTCGTTTTGGTTCCATGAATTAACACATGGGCTAAAACCCATAGAACTGGACACCAAAAGAAAAGAAAATAATTTTAGTGTTGCAGGAAGTCAGGGACCCTGAACAGAAGGACCGGCTGAAGCCATGGCAGAAGAACATAAATTGTGAAGATTTCATGGACATTTATTAGTTTCCCAAATTAATACTTTTATAGTTTCTTATGCCTGCCTTTACTGCAGTCTCTGAACATAAATTGTGAAGATTTCATGGACACTTATCACTTCCCCAATCAATACCCTTGTGATTTCCTATGCCTGTCTTTAATCTCTTAATCCCATCATCTTCGAAAGCTGAGGAGGATGTATGTCACCTCAGGACCCTGTGATGATTGCGTTAACTGCACAAATTGTTTGTAGAGCATGTGTGTTTGAACAATATGAAATCTGGGCACCTTGAAAAAAGAACAAGATAACAGCAATGTTCAGGGAACAAGAGAGATAACCTTAAACTCTGACTGCCAGTGAGCTGGGTGGAACAGAGCCATATTTCTCTTCTTTCGAAAGCAAATGGGAGAAATATCGCTGAATTCTTTTTCTCAGCAAGGAACATCCCTGAGAAAGAGAATGCGTCCCTGAGGGGAGGCCTCTGAAATGGCCGCTTTGGGAGCGGCTGTCTTTTATGGTCACAGCTGTGCGATGAAATAAGCCCCGGTCTCCCATAGCGCTCCCAGGCTTATTAGGACGAGGAAATTCCTGCCTAATAAATTTTGGTCAGACTGGTTGTCTGCTCTCAAACCCTGTTTCCTGATAAGATGTTATCAATGACAATGCCTGCCCGAAACTTCATTAGCAATTTTAATTTCACCCTGGTCCTGTGGTCCTGTGATCTCGCCCTGCCTCCAGTGATATCTTATTACCTTGTGAAGCATGTGATCTCTGTGACCCACACCCTATTCGTGCACTCCCTCCCCTTTTGAAAATCACTAATAAAAACTTGCTGGTTTTGCAGCTTGGGGGGCATCGTGGAACCTGCCGACATGTGATGTCTCCCCTGGACACCCAGCTTTAAAATTTCTCTCTTTTGTACTCTTTCCCTTTATGTCTCAGACCAGCCGACACTTAGGGAAAACAGAAAAGAACCTACGTGAAATATCGGGAGTGAATTTTGCCTGATATTTTAGTATTTGGTACTTTACAGAATAAAATTTAAAAAGTAAGCTAGAGTGACTATATTACTTAATTTTTTACTTTATAAGAAGGAAAATTGCCATGGATAAATAGGGACATTATGCAATGATAAAAAATAGTCACTTAACAGGTAAGACATAATAATCCTAACTGTTAATTCACCTAAAAGCAGAGCTTCAAAATACACAAAACATCATCTGATAGAACTGAAAGGACAAATAATCAAATCTACAATCATATTTTGATACTCCAACACTCCTCTCTGAGTAAATGATAAATGAACTAGACAGAAAGTCCTCAAAGTTATGGAAAGACCTGAACAACAAAATGAACCACCTCGAGCTGATTGGCTTTTGCTGAATGCGCCACAGCAAAGCAGCAGAATATACAAGATTTTCAAGTATATGTGGAAGTTTTACCAAAATAAATCATAAATCAACCCATAACTAATTTAAAATAATTGAATATGTACAAAGTATGTTTTTAAAATCTGTAATGGGATAAAATAAAAAATATAACGAATGAGATACCTGTATTTTTTAAAATAACATATTTTTAGTGATCCATGTTTCAAAAAATTCTTGAGGAAAGTTAGAAAATATTTCCAAATAAATTAAAACGTAAATGTCATGTTTAAAAATTTGTGGAATTCAGGTAAAGTAGTGCCTATATCATTAAATGCTTGTATTAGAATGTAAGAAAAGATTCAAACAAAAAATCTAAACTTTGATCTTATATAATGAGAAAAGAAAAGTAAATTAACCTAAGGCCAACAAAAATATATGGATGATACCCAGCACTTTGGGAGGCCAAGGTGGGTGGATCACGAGGTCAGGAGTTAGAGACCAGCCTGGCCAAGGTGGTGAAACCCCGTCTCTACTAAAAATACAAAAATTAGCTGGGCGTGGTGATGGGCACCTGTAATCCCAGCTACTCGGGAGGCTGAGGCAGGAGAATCAGTTGAACCTAGGAGGCGGAGGTTGCAGTGAGCCGAGATCACACCACTGCACTCCAGCCTGGGTGACAGAGCAAGACTCCATCTCAAAAAAAGAAATATATGTATATATATTTTTTATACATATATATATATGGATGATATAGATAGGGAAATAAAAAATTTCAGAAATTATAGAAAAATAATAAATGAGGTTGATGGAACTAAATTTACTTTTTAAAAAATTTTTTGAGATAGAATCTCACTTTGTCGCCCAGGCTGGAGTGCAGTGGCACGATCTCAGCTTGCTGCAACCTCTGCCTCCCGGGTTCAAGCGATTCTCCTGCCTTAGCCTCCCGAGTGGCTGGGATTACAGGTGCCCGCCACCGCACCCGGCAAATTTTTTAATTTTTAGTAGAGACAGGGTTTCACCATGTTGGCCAGGCCAGTCTCGAATTCCTTACCTCAGGTGATCTGCCCACCTTGGCCTCTAAAAGTTACTTCTTTAAATAGATAAGACTAGTTGAAATGTCTGACATCAATCTGAGAATTTTTTTCTAAAAGTTGTTCAGAAGCAATGACTTTGAACAAAGCTTCAAATAGAGGAAAGTATATGTAAACTATAATTTTCTTGTGATAACACTCTTCGTTCTTTAGAGAAGATTCTGAGAAGACAAGATTCTCCTTGAAATTGTCTTAATTTTTAAGTGCCTACTATGTGGCAGATTTTTTTTTTGAGACGCGGTGTCGCACTATTGCCCAGGCTGGAGTGCAGTGACGTGATCTAGGCTCACCACAACCTCCGCCTCCTGGGTTCAGGTGATTCTCCTGCCTCAGCTTCCTGAATAGCTGGGACTATAGGCGTGTGCCACCATGCCCGGCTAATTTTTTTGTATTTTTAGTAAAGACGGGGTTTCACCACATTGTCCAGGCTGGTCTTGAACTCCTGACCTCGTGATCCACCCACCTTGGCCTCCCAAAGTGCTGGGATTACAGGTGTGAGCCACCACGCCTGGCCGTGACAGTTGTTTTCAAATGCATTAGCCCATCCAATTTGAAGAGCATCCTGTAAAGGTCAGCAGAAAGAGTTCACCTTCTTCACTCCATAGCATTTACTGCACTTCCTTTTGCAGTGCCATCTGTCATCTCAGGAGGCCGAAGATTTCCTCCTTCCATCTGATGCAGGGGCAGAATTTTGCTCAGAGTCTTTGATACCTTCCACATAACCATTCTTGCCTGAACACCTGTACAGGCACCACTAGTCACACTGAAAGCCAGTATGTTCCTGGGGAGAGATGCCAGACAGGAGGCAGTGGAAGGCTGATTAATTATTCTTTTCAAATTCTAGCTGGCATGTCAATCATGGAACCATTTTTCACCTCCTGGGAGAAGCCCAGGGTTTGTAGGAATTCAGACTCAGTTGATCGCTGTTCCTCTTAGAATTCTTATGAGGGGATGGAAGTTTTGAGCACCTAAGAAAGCCTGTCCCTGTGTTTGCCCGTTCAGTCCCCAGGTTCAGATAAGAAGGTCATTAAAATAAAACTGCAAATATGCTAGTGACTGGACAAACTCTCTGTCTACCTTCAGGCCTGTACCCTAAGAACCAGGAAATTATGTTTCAAATCATACTCTACTTGCAGCCCACTGGGAAAACAAACAGTATGCAGAGGATTTCCCAGAGGGAATACCAAGCGTCTAAAGTTGCAGTCCAGGGTGGCTGTGGCTGTGAGACAAGACCAAGGGTGTGTGGTGGCAGAGTCAAGGGACTTTTGCAGGGGATAGGATTACTCCATGTCCCAGGGAGGGGAGGTGATTCTGCACAGCCTCCAGGGGAGGCAGCAGTGAAGACCGGACAGCAGGCCAGTTCCCCTAGTCAGAAGGGAGGGCACATGAGGGTGACTGAGAAAGGGTGCTGTGACACGAGAAACTGTCGGGGCCAGAAACAAATCCTGGGAGTGTACTTGTCCCATGTGCCCAGGAAGGACAGGAATGCAAGATGTGGATGAGCACTTGAAGCCTCTCCCACAACCTGATGAGCACCCATAGTAGGTGCTCAACAGAAAGCATTCAGCCATGAGCTCCCAGGGGACTTAGCACATGCCACCCCCTAATGGTGTTTGATTCTCATTGTCACCTTTGTAGACCTGCTTTTAGTACCTTGGTCTCAGGGTTCTTTCTGTCACCTGAGAGACATGGCGCAGTGCTGAGAAGATGCAGTCAGGAGATGGGGCTCAGGCTGGGGGGAGGGGGAACAGCATAGGCTCTGGAGGAATTCAGACCAGGGGTCTTTCCAGCCCTGTCCCTTAGTAGCCACGGGATTCTGGGAAATACCCAAGCCCTGTGAACCTCAAGCTCTACGTCTGTGAAGCAGGTGTGACAAGTCCTTTCCACTAGGACTGTTGGAGTGTGTGCCATGCAAGTGAAGCACCTAGCTCAGGGCCTGGCGTAAATTACAAGTTTAAAGAACGGCGAATGGCTGTTTTTTCCTATATTATTTTACCCCAGGCCTTAACACTCTGGGATTTTGTTGTTGTTGTCATTGTTCTCCAGGACTTATCAGATAATATACAGCTTGGTAAGACATGGAATAATCAGTCAAAGAATGAAGTTTCATCTATAAAATTCAGTAAATATTTCCTCTTAGAGGACATACTTCAAACTTTGGTTGTTGGGGAGTTTTCCCAAGCCAGATGCAGCTCACAGCTCCTAGAATTTGAGTCAAGGACCAACTCCTTCCTTCTCTGCCCGCTGCTTTTCCATCCAAACCACTATTTTTTTTTCATTTCATTGCCACCCAAAATCTAGCCGTTGCTAAAATTAGCCAAATGGCACTTGAGATGACCTAATTAGAATGTCATTTTAATAGAGTCAGCTTTGGCTCCCAGCCAGGCAGAAGAGTACCTGTCCAGTGGCTTCTGGGCCTCACTTCCAGGGATATTCACCCTTATCTCTCAGAAAACACTTGCAGGTGATGCGTATCCATCACCTAGCTCTTGTGCTGTGTTCCACCTCACTGGAACAGGAGCACAGAATGCTTTCCATTCCTGCCCCAGATGGAAACTCCTCTCTGCTTTATCCACTATTCAAAAGGAACTGCTGAGCAGTTTTCTATTCCAGGCTTTTCTCTCATGCCTGAGAATCTGGCTCTGGCACCACACAGCTTCATTACAATTAGCTCCCCGAGAAGGAACTACAGTTTCCCAAAGTCCAAAAGGTTTTGGCTCAGGGCATGTACACTCAACTATTAATACTCTCACCTGTTGCTCCACACCCTCACCGCTCTCTTATTTTCCCTCCAGATCTTAGAAGACATCTAGCCACTTTAATTATGTGACTGCAGATCCTAGACTCTACCGCCCTAAGGTTAGGGGTGGATGTGGCTTACCTTAGCATCTCTACTATTAACCTAAGCCTTCCAAATAGCAGATGCTCAATGAATCTTTTGAGAAAAAATGAGCCAGTGAGCAGGGGGACCTAATTATTCATATGTAATTCTCTTGCATGATCAAATAAGCCAAGCAAATCTGGTAAGACTTCAGGATAGTGGGTTCCCTCCTGGCCCAGGACAGGTCTAAAAATGCCGTCCAAAAGCCAAGTTCTGAAATCAAGAACCCCAAAAGACAGCTTGGTTGTCTTCTCCACTGTGGGTTCTAAGGGCCCTCACTGAAACCAGTTATGTGAAACCACCTGGTAGTTTTCCTGAACCAAATCTTGTGGAAAATAAACTTATTAGGCTGTCCGCCAGGCACAAGAATTACCCTGTGAAAGGCATACTGGAAAACCTACCATCAGCTCCCCTCCATCTCCAGTTAGGTCAGCCTCACCAGATATTCTGGTACTAGAACTTCAGTTTGGCTGGGGGCTCTGAAAACAGCCCCTTAGGCAGGCTTCCCATGAGCTAAACCAACTGAAACTGAGCAGACCAAAGAATGAGCCAGATGAGGAATCTACCCATTCTAACCAACCAGCCTGTTTGTCTTACTCATCCACGTACAAAAGAAAGTGTTAGCAGCTGCACAGAGTCCTTCCTGTTGAGCTAGAAGGTTGCAGTTCCATGATCTAGTATCCCATCACGGGCTAAACTGAGGCAGGGAGTGAGGCCAAGTGGATCTTGAAGTCTGACTATAAAAGGGATCCCTAGCAAAGTTTAAACAAACAATTGCATCAAGGATGTTTCTAAATTTAGCCACTGGGTGGATTAAAGAATGTCTTGGGTCATGTAAAGATATGGGCTTGGCATGGGATATCCAATGTTCTATGGAAGCTGATCATTGTAAAATTCTAACTACATGTCACCCTGGACCCACACAGGTCTGAACTGCATGGGTCCACTTATGCATGGATTTTCTTCTGCCTCTGCCATCCCTGAGACAGCAAGAACAAGCCCTCCTTTTCTTCCTCCTCCTCAGCCTATTCAATGTGAAGTTGATGAGAATGAAGATTTTTATCATTATCCACTTCTACTTAGTGAACAGTAAATATGTTTTCTCCTCTGTATGACTTTCTTAATAACCCTTTCTTACCTCTAGCTTTCTTTATTGTACAAATATAGTACATAATACACTTAAAACACAAAATATGTGTTCATCCATAATATTTCCAGTCAACAGCAGGCTAATAGTAGTTATGTTTCTGGGGGTTCAATGTTTATACACAGATTTTTGACTGCATTGGGAGTCGGTCCCCTTAACCCCCACCTCGTTCAAAGGTCTAGCATACAGGTGTTATCTTGCCAAGTGAAAGAGGGAAGCATAAGCAAGAAAAAATTAAGAGGGATAAGGATGTCATTGTGAAAGGGAGTCTTGTTTCAACATCTTCAGAGAAGCTGTCTACAGGATGAAGTCATCGAGTTCTCATTCTGGCTTATAGCTTGAAAGTCTGCTTATGGCTTCAGGCATTGTGGTGAACTCTCTGAGTGGCTCACACATCAGGCGGGAGGGTTGTTTGTTGACGTTTACATGAGATGTTGAGCTGCAGCTTACAGAGGACCTGAGCAGTTCCCGTTAGTATGAGACTTGCAGCCAGATAATGGAGAAAATTAGAACAATTTAGAATCATGTATGGCCTGCAATTAGACTCGAAAACAACGAACAGAGCTACAAGCTAATAACAAGTATACCATAGTTTTTTTAATTTTCCTGAAACTTAATTTTTCTCTCTTCTGTCTGCATTTCTATCAAAGATAACTAGAGTAAGACTATTTTGATAAAAAAATAAGTTTAGTCTCATCAAACTTAGAATGATTACTTATGTAAGTGCAGCAAGGATCCATTAGCCACATAGGCTCTTTTAAAGTTTGCTTTGTTGGAACTTTTAGGGAGGATTCTCAGATTTCAGTTTTCAAAGCCTCTTTATGCTAGGAAGCCAAACCAAGGTGGACTTCAGACTTTGTCTGCTGCACCTATAGATTTGGGTGAATTTCTCTCTTCTCGGGGTCCCCCAAATATTTTGAGGTTCCTGGGCTTTCCAGGAAGTGACTTTTTTTCTCACTATAAATCTGGGAACACTTAAAGCCATACATTCTATGGACGTTCTCAAACATGGTATCGCAGTGACAACCTGGGTAGTATAACTAGTATTCCCAGTTGCATCCTGTTATAAAGAGAGCAGACTGTGATTGAACTTATGCAAACAACTTTGCCATAAAATCCAGAACACCCACAAATTGTCTCTGGGAGGCAAGTTTTACAAAAACCTTTTTTAGAAATTTGTGCACATGAATAGGCATCCATGTGGGGGCCTATTTCAGAGGGCCTAATTTTTAAGCACATTTTTGGGATGAACAGTATTGTTCATCTGAAATGTTTCACATGATGGCCATTGTAAGTCTAAATTATCCTTATGAAGATTGCACCTTTTTGAAAAGGTTTGCTGATTCTGCTGCGTAATACTTACGCATATAGAAAGCAGGCATAGCCAGAAGGTGGAGTACACAGTTGTCTGGAAAGCAAGGATCCCATTTTTATGTTGATTCAGAGATAAGATCAAAGTCTAAGAAGGAAATGCCACGGGATTGGGTCCTGGTTTGCTTTCCAGTGAACCTTGCTGCATGGATGCTGTCTTGAGGCTGACGGTGACATGGTATTTAACTTATTTGTTTCATGACCAGCTGATCCTAACACAGACGTCTTATTTTTAGGTGGCGAGTGCTCTAATCGCTCCTAAGTGCCTAAACTGGAGCCACCAGTCAGTCATGGCTATGGCTCTGAGCTTCCCCTGACTAACGTAGCCAGTGAATCTCTCCTACCGAAGCATACAAGCAAAAGAAACTGGAGAACCCACATCCCTGCAAATTTCCAAAAGCCAGAGTCACACACTGCATGTGATAATCTGCTCCTGCCATCAGTTACCTTTAAAACTACATGTATTGTCAGTGACTTGTTAGCTCCCACAAACCCCCAGGTCATGTTCTCTCTCACAGGACAAATGAATCCTGGAATCAAGAGCCAAAAGAGTCAGGGGACTCAATGCAAAAATCTGACCCGAGAGGAAATTAGAACACTTGTGTCTCTGTGAGGGTGAGAGGGGCCTCCAAAGCTGTCAGTGGCATCTTCCCTGCATTTGTCAAGGAGTCTCCAGAGACATCAGCTGTGTCTTTTGTGTCCCTTCATGGGTTGCCAGAAACTGCCAAGAGAATAAATGACATCAAATACGATTTGAAGATCGAGCTGGCTTTTAAAGTTTTTTCACAATACTAGAATTGGACAACACAACATTCTATAAAATAAAATGAGTGTTCCAGTGAACCGAGCAGAGGAGGTTGGCTTCATAGGCAGAACAGTGCTAAAGAAAGCAGAAATAAGAAAAAAAAATAGAAAGAAAGAAAGCAGATTGGTCATTTCAAATTTACTTTCCACTTAGGGTTAAAGAAGAGGAGACTTCCTTACTATGCTGACTCAGGTTAATTGGAAGATTCTGCACTTTTTTTTTTTTAATTGGCCCCTTGGAAAGCCCTGGATGCTTACGTGGCACTCAGCACAAGTGACCATGTTCTGGTTGGGTGTGGTCAGCTGGGGCTTAGGACAGGAGGCTAGTTCACAGAAATGGCCTCCCCTCCCCTGAAGGTTGTTTCACACAAGCCCCTGAATTAATGAGTCTTTCTAAAGGAGGCTGTGCTAGCTTTCCTAAACAGAACAGTTTCCCCCTTTTCAGTTGTTCTTGAAGAGTTTCCATATTTTGACTTACAGTACTTACCTATTCTTGGATATTATCCACTTTTTCCATTAGGGCCCACAGCGTGTTACTCATACTTGTCTTAAATTCCCAGTCAGATCATTCCAACATCTCTATCATATCTGAGTCTGTTTCTGATACCTGCTCTTTGTCTTCACACTGTGTGTGTGTGTTTTTTTTTTTTTTTTTTGTCTATTAGTATGCTTTGAAATTTCCTTTTGCAAACTTGCCACGATGTGTCAGATGAAAAGAATGGAGTTAAATAGGCCTTTAGTGTGAGGTTTACCTTCATCTGGCTGTGTTTACTGTTTGCTGTAGCTGTAGGTGTCAGAGGCTAAACCTCCCTGTGGTGTCCTTCACTTTTCCTCCTTGGCTGTGTTTGGTTTTCCTTGGAGACCTGCTCACTATGGTCTGGCACTCACAGTTCTTTCAGTTTCATTCCCCAGTTGATGTGGCAGTGAGCTGCAGAGGGAGGGGAAGACTTCTATCCTCCTATGACTACATGGCAGGCTTGAGTCAGTGTACACCGGGCTGTGGCTTTCACTAGTGCTTCTCAGTTTTGTTTTGTTTTCTCCTTGGACAGACATTAAGGGGCCAGAATGTTGTAGCTGGGTGTTTTCCTTACCCAGTGTTGATGAGAGTCTAGAAAAAAACCAAGTAGGACAGACTCTGGTAAAACAGTTTCTCTTGAGGGCAGACCCTCGTTTGAAGAACAGAATACTCTGGGCATATTTTCGAATGACTCCTTTCTCCCTCTGGTCCTCACTGGGGGAACCTGATAGGGCTCCCAGAGGTGAAACTCTGGAAACTGTGGTAGCCTTCTGGATGGTGCCCCCAGGAGTTTTTAGTTCTCAAATTTGTCCATAGTGAGCCCTCCACCATTCGTCTTATAAAGATGAGGTTTTCGTATCCTGGTCCTTGTTTCTGGGCATTCAGCTCCTGAGCTTCTGCTCTCCAAAGTTGTGGCTGACTGTATCTACTGTCTCTTCCGTTTTGGGTCAGCAATCAGCCCTATGGCCTCAGCTCTCTGAGGGATCAGAGAAAAGTTGTTGTTTTCCAATTTGTTCAGCTTCTTATCTTGTTTGCGTCAGAGGCAGAGAGCCATCTAGCTCCTTACATACCCGAGTGAACATAAGCATTTAAGAAAATTGGAAAACTTTTTTAAACATAGCAGTTTTACATAGGTATACATGTGGCATGGTGGTTTGCTGCACCCATCAACCTGTCATCTACATTAGGTATTTCTCCTAATGCTATCCCTCCTCTAGCCCCCCACCCCCTGACAGGCCCCAGTGTATGATGCTCCCCTCCCTGTGTCCATGTGTTCTCATGGTTTAACTCCCACTTATGAGTGAGAACATGCGGTGTTCGGATTTCTGTTCTTGTGTTAGTTTGCTGAGAATGATGGTTTCCAGCTTCATCCATGTCCCTACAAAGGACGTGAACTCATCCTTTTTTATGGCTGCATAGTATTCCATGGTGTATATGTGCCACATTTTCTTTATCCAGTCTATCATTGTTGGACATTTGGGTTGGTACCAAGTCTTTGCTATTGTGAATAGTGCCGCATGGCACGTGGATACCTATGTAACAAACCTGCACGTTCTGTACTATGTAACAAACCTGCAGGTTCTGCACATATACCCCAGAACTTAAAATGTAATAATAGTAATTTAAAATTAAAAGAGATTCCCTGGAAAAAAAATCCCATCTCAATCACTTTGCTCTTTTAGTATCACTTCTTGTGTGCCCTTTCCTCCTTTCCAAATAATCATTTGAGGCCCAGCTGATACAGCATATTATCCTCAAAGGCTTTGTTGACTCCAGCTACACTGTAGATTCTGTACTATACATTCTTGATTTTTTTTACCAAAAAAAAACCCAAAAAACAAAAACAAAAACAAAATAGCCATTTTAATAAAATTAAAAATGAAATGCTTTGGTATATATCTAACAAAACATGTACATATCAGGATGGTGAAAACTACAAAATGCTGATGAAAAATTCAAAGAAGGCCCAACTAAATAGACATAGCATGTACATTCACTGGAAGACTCAGTGAAGATATGTGATCTGTAACAAAGCGATCCATAGATCCAATGTAACTCCAGTAAAATACCAGCAAGCTTTTTTGTACTTGTACACAAGCTGATTCAAAAAGCATACGGAAAGGTAAAGGTTTTGAAATAATTAAAACAATTTTCAAAACACAGAGTAATTGCACAAATCGTACCACTCAATTTTAAGATTTAGCATAAGCCTAAAACAATCAAGTCATTATGGACTTTTCTAAGGGATACACGTATAGATTAATGGATTAAAACAGAGAATCCATAAATAGATCCACGCGAATATAGCAATGGAGGTTTTAGAAAGGGGTAAAGACAATTTATTGGAAAAATATTAGTCTTTTCAATTAGTGGTATTGGAACAACTGAACATCCATGTGTTATAAAAAAGACTTGACCAAAACCTCACATGTTATACAAAAATTAACTCAAAGTGGATTACAGATCCAAATGTTACATGAAATACTATAAAACTTTTAAAGAAGGCCGGGTGCAGTGGCTCACGCCTGTAATCCCAGCACTTTGGGAGGCCGAGGTGGGCAGATCACGAGGTCAGGAGTTCAAGACCAGCCTGGCCAACATGGTGAAACCCCATCTCTAGTAAAAATATAAAAATTAGCTGGGCGTGGTGGTGCGCACCTGCAATCCCAGCTACTCGGGAGGCTGAAGCAGGAGAATCGCTTGAACCCGGGAGGCGGAGGTTGCAGTGAGCCGAGATCCTGCCATTGCACTCCAGCCTGGGCAATAGAGTGAGACTCCGTCTCAAAAAACAAACAAACAAACAAACAAACAAACAACAACAGCAAGAAAAAACTTAAAGAAAACACAGGGTGAAATATTAGTAGCCTGATGTGAGGCAAAGAGGTCTTAAACATGACACCAGCAGTGTGATTCATAAAGAAAAGAAACAATAAATTAGACTTCCTCAGAGTTAAAACTTTTGCTCTGAGAAAGACACTGAAGAGACACTAAAAAGCCAAACGAAGTATTCACAAGTATTTGCAAATCATATATACACCAAAGGCCTTTTATGAAAATTGTATAAAGATTCCCAAAATCTCAAAACTTAGAACACATGTCAAAACACAAAGTTTCACCAAATTTTGTTCAAAGATCTAACTGGCTTTTCTTTATGATTCTTGAATGGGCATTTTTTCTCTCCGTCAACTTGAATGAGTGTCCCTATGTGCTGAGCAAAAGACGTTGGCTTATAGGCAGAAGAGGACGAAAAAAGTAGAAACAGGGAACAAAAGGTGGTTTGGTGATTTCAAAGTTGATTTCCTTGTAGGATTAAAGCAGAGAAAACTTTCTTATCGTGCCTGCTCAGGTACGGTGGGCTCCTCGTTATTGGTTGCTGTGACTATTCTGTTTTTAGTTTTTTGAGAACTGGCCCGTTTCAATGTTCACTTTGATGAATGGCAATTAGTACAAGGGACACTATTCTGATTTTGTCTGTTCTGCTGGGGTCTGGGGCCAGAGATTAGGGCAAAACAATGGCCTCCCATGAGTTCATTTAACACAAACAACCACATTTTTTAGAAGGGCAAAACATATCAATAGACATTTCACCCAAAAGGACATACGCATGACAAATAAGCCCATGAAAAACTATTCTACATCACAGCTATTAGAGAAATGCAAATTAAACCATGATCAGATGCCATAACACATATTTGAAAATGACTGAAATTTTTAACGAGATACTTGTAAGTGCTAACAAGGATGAAGAACAACTTGAAATTTCATACATTGCTAGTGGCAGTTATGAAACGGGACAACTGCAGAAAATGATTTGGTAATTACTTATGAACACATGCCATGTGACTCAGCGATTTCATCTAAGGGAAAAAGAAAAATTTATGTTCACACAAAAGCCTATGTACGTGAATGTTTATAGCAGCTCCAGTCATATTTGCCAAAACCTGGAAATTATACAAATGTATTTCCATGGGTAAATGGGAAATGAAATTTTGGGGCATCCTTACTTACTATGAAATACTTCTCAGCAATGAAAAAGAATGAACTACTGATACACACAACAATGTGTTTCAAACTCGAAGGTGTTTTGCTGTGTGAAAGGAGCCAGTCTCAACCAGTTACATATTCTATTATTCTGTTTACCTGGCATTCTTGAAAGAGAAAACTGAAACGATGGAGTACAGATGAGTGGCTGTCAGGGTTCGGCGCGCAGTGGTGGGTACAGCTATAAATGAATTGCACATGGAGGGGGTTTCTTTTGGGGAGAAGACGTAATAATCTTAACTATTAATTCACCTAAAAGCAGAGCTTCAAAATGCAAGAAACTACATCTGATAGAACTGCAAGGATAAATCGCCAAATCTACAATGATATTTGGAGATGGCAACAGTCCTCTCCAAGTAAATGATTGAAGTAGACAGAAATTCTGCAAGGGTGTAGGAGGAGCTGAACAACAAAGAACAAATGTGAGCTGATTAGATTTTAGTGAGCACTCCTCAGAACGACGGTAGATTATATGGTATTTTCAAGTGTGTGTGGAATTTTTACCAAAAGAGACCAGAAAACAACCCATAAAAAATTTAAAATAATTGGAATTGTACAAAGTATCTTTTTAAAATCTATAATGGAATGTAATTCAAAATATAACAAAGGAAATATCTGTAAAGTCCTTAAGTATTTTTAAAATAAACAACACATTTTTACTAATCCATGTTTAAAAAAATTCTTGAGGAAGGTTAGAAAATATTTTCAAATAAATAAAAATGGAAATGTGATGTTTTAAAATATCTGCAATTTAGCTAAAATGTGCCTAGGGGACATTTTATGTACTGAAATGTTTATATTAGAAAGTAATAAAAGACTCAAATATGTATATTTTGATCTCAAATAGCTAGAAAAGGAAAAGGAAATTAAACCTAAGGTGAGCAAAACGATGGGGATAATATAGACAAGAAGAGAAAAATTAATGAAATTGAGATTTCAGAAGTTTTAGAAAAACAATAAATAATACTGATGGAATCAAAAGTTAGATCTTTAAGTAGATCAGACAAGCCGAAAGGCCCGAAGTCAATCTGAGAAATTTAAAACACATGGGTTTGGGCCAGGTGCAGTGGTTCAAGCCTGTAATCCCAGTACTTCTTGAGGCAGAAGCAGGCAGATCCGTTGAGGCCAGGAGTTCAAGACCAGCCTGGCCAAGATGGTGAAACCCTGTCTCTACTAAAAATACAAAAATTAGCCAGGCGTGCGGTGCATGCCTCTAATACCAGCTATTCGGGAGACTGAGGTACGAAAATGGCTTGAGCCTGGGAGGCAGGGATTGCAGTGAGCTGTGATCTTGCCACTGCACTCCAGCTTGGGCAACAGAGTGAGTCTCTGTCTCACAAAACAAAGCCAAACCCCAGAAAACGTGGTTTTGGAGAAGCAACAGCGTTGAACACAGCTAGAAGTAGAGGACACTTTACAGAAACTATTAACTGTTGTGACAACAACAATGTTTCTTAGAGAAGTTTCTGAGAAGACCAGATTTGCCTTGAAATGCTCGACGTGTCTGCTATGTTACAGATGCTTTCAAACGTATTAACCCAGGGGTCCCCAACACCCCCGGCCATGGATAGGAACTGGGCTGCACAGCAGGAAGTGAGTGGTTGGGCAAGCAGGTGAAGCTGAACTCCACCTCCTGTCACGTCAGTGGCGACATTAGATTCTCATAGGAGCGGGAACCCTATTGTGAACTGCACACGTGAGGGGTCTAGGTTTTGTGTTCCTGATGAGAATCTAACGCTTGATGATCTGTTACTGTCTCCCATCACCCCCAGATGGGACCATCTATTTGCAGGAAAACAAGCTCAGGGCTCCCACTGATTCTGCACGACGGTGAGTATGCAATAATAATAGAAATAAAGTGCGCAATAAATGTAATGTGCTTGAATCATCTTGAAACAATGCCCCACCCCCACCCCGTGCTCATGGAAAAATTGTCTTCCAGAAACCGGTCCCTGGTGCCAGGAAGGGTGGGGATCACTGCATTAACCCATCTGATTTGAAGAGGATCCTGTAAGGTCAGCATGGAGAGTTCACCTTGTACACTCCATAGCATTTTCTGCACTTCCCTTTGCCACACCATCTATCAGCTCAGGAAGCTGAGGATTTCCTCCTTCCATCTGATGCAGGGGCAGAATCTTACCCATCATCTCTGCTACCCTCCATATGACTGTTCTTACCTGAACACCTGTATAGGTGCCACTAGTCACGCTGAAAGCCGGCATGTTCCTGGGGACAGATGCCAGACAGGAAGCAGTGAAAGGCTGGTTAAATATTCTTTTGAAACTCCAGCTGGCATGTTCGCCATGGAACCATTTTTCCCCTCCTGGGAGGAGCCCAGGGTTTGTAAGAATTCAGCTTCATGAAATGGCTGCTCCTCTTCTACCTCTTAGGAGGGGAATTTCTGAGCACCATCCGTCTGTTTGCGTGTTCTGTCCCCAGCTTCAGATAACAAACTCAATAAAATCCTACTACAAATATGCAACTGACTGCGAAAATACTCTCTCAATCCTGGGGGCTGCAACCCAACCAGGAGCTTATGGGTCAAATTGGACTCTTCTCACAGCCCACTGGGAATACACAGAGTAGAATTCTCCCAGGGAGGGAGGACCAAGTGTCTAAAGTCACCGTCCAGAATGGTTGCGGCTGTGGGACTGGACTAAGGGCGAGCCGTGCGAGAACCAGGGGACTACTTCAAGGGCTAGGAATGCTCCATGTTGCAGGAAGGGCAGGGGGGTCTGCCCAGCCTCCAGGGGGAGGCAACAGTGAAGAGCAAGCAGCAGGTCAGGTCGCAGAGTCAGAAGGGAGGAAACATGATAGTGACCGGGGAAGGGCACTGTGACACGGGAACGTGCTGATGCCAGACAGAAGTGCTGATTATGTATTCGTCCCTTGTGCCCAGGAAAGAGAAGATCAAAGATGTGGATGAGCATTTGTAGGCGCTCCTACAACCTGTTGCATAGTAGGTGCTCAACAGGCAGCACCCAGCAGACAGTTCCCAGGGGACCCCCGGCATGCCATCCCCAAATTGTATTTGATGCTCATTGGCACCTTCTTTAGGCCTGCATTTAGTACCTTGGCCTCAGGGTCCTTCTTTTTGTTGCCTGAGAGACATGATGCATTGCTGAGAAGAGGAATGAAGTGCCAGTGAGGAGGTCTGCCTCCGGCTCAGGGGAGTGGGAACAGCACGGGCTCTAGAGGAATTCAGATCAGGGATCCGGTTCCAGCTCTGTTCCTTACTAGCCACCTGATCCTGGGAAATACCCAAGTTCTGTGAGCCTCTGGTTCTTCATCTGTGAAGCAGGTATGATGAGGCCCTTCCACTAGGACGGTTAGAGTGCGTGCAATGTAAGTGAAGCATCTGGCTCAGGGCCTGGCATTAAGTTAGAAGTTTAAGGAATGGCGGATGGCTGTCATATCTAATACTATTTGACCCTAGACCCTAGCACTCTGGGATTTCGTAAATGTTGTTGTTCTCCAAGACTTACCAGAGAATATACAGCTCAGTAGGACATGGGATAATCAGCCCCAACAGGAAGTTTCGTCAATAAAATTAAGTATTTCCTCTTAGCGAAGGTGCTTCAAAATTTGGGTGTGCTGCAGTCTTGCGCAGCTGAATGCAGCTCAAAGCTCCTAGAATTTGAATCGAGGATCAACTCCTTTCCTCTCTCCCACCTGCTTTTGGATCCGAGACTCTGTTTTCACTTATTTTGTTAACACTCGAAATCTAGCCTTTGCTCACAATTGGTCAAATCCCACCTGAGATAACTTGATTAGAATGCCTTTTAAATACGATCAACTCTGGCTCTCCCAGACAGGCAGAAAAGCACCTGGCCAATGACTTCTGGGCTTCCCTTCTGGGAGATTCACCCTCATCTTGCAGGAAACCCTTGCAGATGATAGGTATCCATCACCTAGCCCCTGCACTGTGTTCAAGCGCACCGAGACAAGAGCGCGGGACGATTTCCTTCTATTCCTGCCCCAGGTGGAGACTCTTCTCTGTTCATCCACTATCCAAAAGGAACTGCTGAGCAGTCGTCCATTCCAGGCCTTTCTCTCATCCTCTGAGAATCTGGCTCTGGCACCACCCAGCTTCAATAGAATTACCTCCCCCAGAAGGAACTGCAGTTTCCCAAAGCCCAAAGGGCCCTGGCTCAGGGCATATACACTCGACTGCTGTCATCTAGAGCCCCAAACCCTCACCCATGTTTTATTTTCCTCTACTTCTTAGAGGACATGGCACCACCTTAATTTTAGGATTGTAGCCCCTAGACTTCACCACCCTATGGCAAAGGGGTGGGTCTGGCTTACCGAGCATCTCTACTACTAACCCAGGGTGTTCCGAATAACAGATGTTCAGTGCGTGTCTGAAGAAAAAATGAGCCAGTGAACAGGAAAAATTATTCTTTCAATTTTTATTTCTCTTACATGCTCAAAGAAGCCAAGCAAATCCAGGTATACATGTATATATTTTAATTTTACAGGAGAGAGAAAGAGGTATAAGGCAAGAATTAACTACATTTTCATTTCACTATTTCTTTATGAGCTCTATTTTGCTGCTAAGTTCAAGTTTCAAAAAAATTATTAATTCCTCTGCTATGTTATCTTGTCCCAATTCACAAAATAACAGGGATTTCCCCATGTGACTCAAAAGCAAGAATCTTACTCCTAAATAACATAAACAGCAATATGTGTGACTACTGTCATTCATTAACTTCGATGGTGAAGTTCATTAAACTGACCATTAAAAGAACATTTGAACAATTCCAAAAGGGAGCAAGGATAAATCTCCAAATCACCCAATAGACAAGGAACCCAGAGATGACATACAGTGTGCTCACTTCCACCCACTGCCACTGAGAACACTGATTGCTCTCTTCAAACACAGAGCCAAGAATGGGCCTCATGTCACATGGGGCAGGGCAGCTGCTGGATGGGGCCCTGACCCCACAAACTTTGGCCCCGGCTGCGGCTGGTGCTCAGACTCCCTCTTGCTCCTCTCCCAAAACCTCTTCATAAAGGGATGGGTAGCAGATGGGCTCTCTTGCATTGAGCATGACCAAATAATTTATGACCTTCTCATAGCTGGTTTCAGCGTGGGCCTTGGAACCCCACAGGAACTCGTAGTGCGCAGGATCACTGCCGGGCACCTGCCGGTACTCCAGGTAGTTTTCCTGCACCCAATCTTGGGTGAGCAGCTTCCTGGGCTCCCCGTAGAACATGTGCTCCTTCCCAACATACACCCCCATCACACTCAACGCTTCCCAGATAACCTCTTCAGGGGCGCAGTTGTCTTTGGTTAGGATCACACCCAGGACAATGATCAGGAGGGCGGCCTTGGGCATGCTATGACCATCACCCAGCATGCTATCGCACGAGAGGCCAAGAGCAGTGACAAGGATGTAGGAGTGGCCGGCGGGGTCCACCTCCTTCACATCAGTGCCAAAGATCACCTGCATGAACTCGGAGGCTTTGCCGAAGATCACAGGAAAGTAGCGCTTGTAATTTTTGATGACGCTCTCCAGCATTTCTGCCTTTGTGACCGGCTCCTTGACTCGATATTTGTGGAGCAGGAAATGAACCAACTCAGCCACCTTCAATTTCAGTGCTTCTTGGAACATGAACTCCAGCTGAGCTGGGTCGACCGAGGAGCTTGGCTCTTCCTCTTCTTGACTGCTGGAGCCCTCATCGAATTGGCTCCATAAAGTGTAGTAGACGGAAATGGAGGAGGAAGCGCCTCCCTGAGGACTCTGGGGAGGACTTGATGACCCAGCAGCAGACACCTCCTCCTCCTTGCTGTCAGAGGAGGAGGTAGTCTCCTCCTCCTCGCCTGTGGGTTCCTGTGCACCCATCAGGCCCAAGTCCTCTCCTTGGGCTTCAAGGTCTTCATCAGGCTTGCAGTGCGGACTCCTCTGCTCGAGAGACATGATGACTCTGGTCAGGGCAGCAGTCAGGAGCGTGGGCAGGAGCTGGGCGATGGAGACCCACAGGCCTGGGGAGAGAGGGAGTGTGTGAGAGACTTCAGCTGAGAACCGAACCTTGGAGGTTCTAACAAAGGCTGACTTACAGGTCTTCGTCAGTGCTGCTCTGGGGCCTCTTGGGGCTCCTGTCCTCCTGGTTAGCCTGTCCCGAGAACCTGAGGGAGGAAGTGAGAGGGCTACTCAGCGTGCAGCTAGCCTGCAGAGATCAAGGCTCTATGAGTGACAGTAGGGGGAATGGGGCCAGGTGCTATGGGGTCCCATGTGTGCTGGGGCAGGTGGGGCCCTTGGTGCACATTCAGGGTGAACACTTCACCTTCACTGCTGACACTGCCTGGGTCTCCTCTGCTCTGCGACCTGAGGACACTGTCTCAGACCAAGGCCTGCCTGCTTCCTGGAGCTCCTGGAAGAGGAATCGAGGGGCCCTTAGGCTGCAGACTGCAGGCAGAGCCCCGGTCCCTCAGTGCTGTCAAGAGGGCGGGCTGGACACTCTTGAGTTCTACACACTTTTGGGGTGGATGGTCCCCTCTGCGCTCACTCAGGGCCCTGACCTTTCTCCTGGCAGGGACTGGACTCTACTCCTCTACTTGCCTGAGAGTCTCTCAGATCAGGAGCTCACATCCCTGATATGGAACAGAAGGACATGCCCCAACCAACATCTGCCCACACCTGCCCAGGGTTTCCTCGGAAGTACAGTAAGAGATGTCTAAATTCAATGGGGTCCATGTGTCCTGGGGTGAGGATACTGCCTGGTCCTCATCTTGATGCCTGCAGGGTCTGGAACCCTCCCTCTGTTGACCTGAGGCCCTATCTCCAGGAGACACCTGAAGAGGAAGTGAGGGGAGTCCATCCACCCAGCGGCTTCCCTCAGCTGACACAAGGGGCAGGGTGGGGCTAGGTCCTCTGTGTTTGGTGAGTGGGGTCCCCTCAGTCTGCACCTGGACTCCTGGCAGGGCCTGGGACCCTCCCTCTGCTGACGTGAGTGCAGCCCCCTCAGACCAAGGCCAGCCCTCCCCGACACCAGTGATCCCAGGATAAAGGAGGGACCTCAGCAGACAGCCCTGCCCGGGCTCTCTGGGGTGACAGTAGGGGCAGGGCAAACTCTCTTGATCTGAGAGTTTCTCTGGCCTGGAGGTACCCTCGATCCTCCCTTAGGTTCCTCACCTGGACTGCTCTCCAATCCTGGGACCACTGTGTCTGTCGAACACAGGGCCTCCCTGTTTTGTCCACACACACCCTCTGAGAACAAAGTCCTCACCTCCCTGAGATCCAGAAACAGAGGTGAGGAGGCCCCACATATGTCACCCCTGCGTGGGGTGTCCGGGGCTGACCCCACCAGCTGAACCCTTCAGGTATGAGGTGGGTGTTCCAAAGTCCTCCTGCGGGTTATTCATCTTTACTCCTGCTGGGGCTTCTACTTCCTCGACCCTCAAACCCTTGAGATGAGCAGACATCTCCCTTTACACCAACGCCTCATCCCCCTGAGGGTTCCTCAACTTCCTGCCATGGTACAAATGAGCTTGCCACTTAGCACCATCCTTGATCAGGCCCCCCCCCGCCCCCAGATCTAAGAACAGAGTTCACCTAGACTCTGTGGGGTGGCTTCTTTCTGCGTTGGGGGTACCTCCATTCCTCATGAAGGGGGCACACCTTGGGTCCTGCTGATCCTGGGAGTCCTCCTTCTACTGACCAGGTGTGGAGCCCTCTGTTGGATCTCTCAGTGCCCCCTGGGATCAAGGTACTCACCTCCCTGAGACCTCTCACCCCCAGTCACGTGGGAGAAATGAGAGCATGCCTCATGCCATTCCTGCCTGGGGCCACCTGGGGCTGAGAACAGGTGACACCAGTGTCTGTGAGGTCCTTTCTTTTTTGAGAGCGTGGAGGTACCTTCTTACCTTCAGTCCTCACCAAACTTCCTCCCCGTCACTCCTGGAAGACCCTGGATTCCACCCTGTGCTGACCAGGTGTGGCTCCCTCTGCTGAGCTGAGGAAACCCCTCGGACCAAGGCCCCCACCTCCCGGAGACCCGGGAGGCAGAAGTGAGGGGCCACCTCATGGTCACTCATGCATGAGATACCCAAGGCTGACCAAAGGAGCAGGTTCCAGGGGGCCTCGTCGGTCTGGGTGTCCTCTAGGTATTCATATTTGCTTCTGACAGAATCTGGCCCCTTCCATTTTGCTGAACCAGAGGTGAGTCTTGCAGACCAAGGCCAATTTCTCCCTTAGACCCTCTTTGAGAAAGTGTGTGTTGGGGGTGGAGGGGGCACTTCCCTTCCTCACCGTCCTGCCTGGGGCCTTCCAAGACTGACGGCAGGGGCAGGTTTCCTAGGTCTGGGATGAGAGGTCTGGTGAATCCTTCCTCAGGCCTCTGGGACTCCTCCTTCTGCTCACCTGAGGCCCCACTCCTCATACCACAGCCCTGTTCCCATTGACACCCGATCCCACCAGCCACAATGCACCACATGCGGCCACCGTGCCCGGGATCGCCCAGGCCAAGATCCCCACTGAGCTGGACTCCGGGGTCCCCTCTGTCCTCCGTCTTGTTCCTTCCCTGGTCTCCTAGAGGGCTGGGCCCCACCCCTCTGTGGACCTGAGTCTCTATCTGTCGGATTCCCGAGGCTGAATGAGGAGGGGCCTCGGTCTCAGATAGGGGCGGGGTGGGCCCCTTGTCCTGGGGTACTGGGTCCCCTCAGGCCTCCCTTGTCTCCCAGCAGGACCTGGGCCCTCCCTCTGTTCTCCCGCGGCCACGCTAACGATACCAAGCCCCTTCCCTCGGTCAGCCCAGGATGCAGATATCACGATCCGCTTGCCTGACCGCCATGCCCGGAACTTCCCAGGGTCCACTGCAGGGGCAGTGACTCCCTCTATGGGGCCTCAGCCCTCCCTCAGGGTCCTGGCCCTGATGCCTGGCAGAGCCTGGCCCCTGCCCTCTCTTAACCAGTCCTGCCCTGGTCACACCAAGCTCTGACCCAGAGTCCCCTGGGGCTTAAGTGGTGGGGTGGCGAAGGGTGGCCCACAGCCTGAGAAGTCCGCCCCCGGGGTGGTTCAGGGCTGGCAGCAGGGGTGCTGCTGGATTATTTGGGGCCCTCTATCTGGGGTGGGGGCGTCCTCAGTCCTCCCTCAGCGTCTCATCTTGCCTCCTCACAGAGCCTGGGCCCGCTTCCCTCTGCCGATCTTCAGCCACCACTCAGAACCAAGCCCTTGCTACTCTCTGACCCCCAGTGCGCAAGTCAGAGGCCTTACATCCGGGCACCCGGAGCTTCCCTGGGTTGACAGCAGGAGCCGAACCGGATTCTGCCACGGGAGACTTGGGGGTGGGGTGGAGTGGGGGGGGGGTGAGGATGGAGGTGGGGAACCTGAGGCTGTAGGTCATGGTGGTGGTGGCTGGGTTAGGGGTGTGGAGGCGTTCAGCCCTCCCTCAGGGTTCTGACCTTGATGCCAGTCAGAGCCTGGGCCCAGCCTGATACGCCCGACCCCGCGGGGTGGTCCAGGGCTGGCACAGGGGCGGCGCTGTATTATTTGGGGTCCTCTATCTGGGGCGGGGGGTCTTGAGTCCTCCCTCAGGGTCTCACCTTGCCTCCTCACAGAGCCTGGGCCCGCTTCCCTCCACCGATATCGACCCGCCCCTCACAGCGAGGCCCCCGCTACTCTCTGACCCCCAGTGTGGGAGTCACTGGCCGTACATCCGGGCACCTGGGGCTTCCCTGGGTTGACAACAGGGGCGGAACCAGATTCTGCCGCGGGAGAGTTGGGGGGGTGGGGTGGAGTTTGGGGTGGGGTGGGGTGGGGTGGGGTGGGGTGTAGAGTGGAGCTGAGGATGGGGCTGGGGAACCTGGGGCTGTAGGTCATGGTTGGGTTGGGGGGGCCCAGCCTCCCTCAGGGTCCTGGCCTTGATGCCCGGCAGAGCCTGGGCCCTGCCCTCTCCTAACCAGCCCTGCCCTGGTCACACCAAGCTCTCACTCCAGAGTGCCCAGCAGCTTGAGCGGCGGAGGGAGGGGGTCGGCCCAGCCTCACAAGTCAGCCCCAGATCGGCCCCCGGGTGGTCCAGGGCTGGGAGCAGAGACGGCACTTGGTTCTTTCGGGTCCTCTATCTGGGGTGGGGACATCCTCAGTCTTCCCTCAGCACCTCACCTTGACTCCTCACAGAGCCTCGGCCAGCTTACCTCCACCGGTATCAAGCCGCCCCTCAGAAGGAGGCCTCTCCCTTCTCTCTGACCCCCAGTGCGCACGTCAGTGACGTCACATCCGGCCCCCAAGCCTGGAGCTTCCCTGGGTTGCCAGTAGGGGCTGAACCGGGTTCTGGCGGAGTAGGGGTGGGGATGGGGATAGGGGCCCTCAGTCATCCCTCAGGGGGTCCTGACCTTGATGCCTGGGTCTCGATCCCCATTCTCTGCCCATTGGGTCTGCTCCTCTCGGACCAAGTCTCTGACTCCCAGTCACATGAGGTGGCAGTGAGGGGAGGGGTGTGGTCGGGGTGACAACATTGCCAGGGTCTTCCAGGGCTGACAGGAAGGGCTGAGCTGGATTCTGTGGCCCCTCTATGTGGGGAGGTTGGACCTTCAGTCCCCTCTCAGGAGGGTTCTCCTCCTGGCTCCTGGCTCTTTGATGAAGTGATGTGTGGGAGATGATCTGTTTATGTCACCTTTGAGCATTTGCCCAGCTGCACGCGTTGCAGAGAATGGCTGCGGGTCCCAGGCTAGATGCTCCCTGGGGGGCTGCAGCACCTGTGATTGTAGGACCTGTGAGAGAAGATGCACACCATCCCATGGGGGCTCCTCCCCAGCCAGAGCTAGACTTTGCAAACCTTTTGTCCTAAAAGATTTATTTTTACACGGAAGAGGCTGAGCAGCAGCAAGAGATTTGGAGAAGCCATGTGTTTTGAAGGTATCGAACACAGCAGAGTCCAGATTAGCGATTTTCATATTTTAATTCTCATTCACATGGTAATAAATTTTACACTGTATGTGTACATTATATATGGTATTGTACATTTTGTTTATATCTACGTTTATATACATACCTGTTTTAGACATTATATACATCTATGCTTATATGTATACATACACGCATATATATCTTTATATCTTATATTTACTTACATGTATATATCTTTAGCTACATATTCGTTTGTATTTCTAGACTTTATACTATATATATGCACACATATTTTATTAATATCTACTCATAGTATGTGGCCTTCACACATACTTACTATTCTATTCCTAGTTCATTCTTTATATTCCATTAAAATAATAATTTTTTGGAAGGCTGGTCTTCTCCTACTAAGTTTGTTTCAGGTGGTTGTTAGCAGAACTCTGGAGCCATAGTGTCTCAATCAACTCAAATTTCCTGGTGTCCTGATATTACTCCAGGGCTACTGGCATCAGATTTTGTGGTGCTGCCTCAGATTGCGCGATGATGTGGGGTGGAATGTTAAACACTTTCTCCTATCCATCCTGTAATCTGCCATCTATGCAGGGTACAGACCTCCTCGATTTCCCTGCTGCTCCCTGGACCCAAAACACAAGTACTAGTTTAGCACAGTCTTCAGTCATCCCCAGGGCTTTCTCTGTTTTGATGGGTTTTTTTTTTTAATCTTTTCCCTCCTATATTTTTTCCGGGGTTGATTTGGGGAGCAGAGCACAGCAACCTGAGCTTGGTTGTCACTTTGGCAATGACAGTTAAGGCACTCACTCTGTATTTAATTTAAGTAGCATTTACATCTTTGCCATATTCTGTTCCCCATCAAGGAATATGGTATACAGATCCATTTACTTGAGATTATTTCCTGAGTCTATCAGCAACTTTGCACAGTTGCTTCCATAAAGGTCTTGTCAGGCTCTTCTTATTTACATTTTGGATTTTAATGCTGCTGTGAATGGTGCATTTTCTATTTTCTATTTTATATACTAAGTTGCTTTTGTGTGGCAAGGCTCTTGATTTTGCTTTAATGACCTTCTGTATGATGTTTTCTGAAGTCTTTTATTCATTTGAATATTCAATGTGTCTATTCCTTTGAATTTTCTATGTAGATAATCATATAGTTAACAAATACTCTATTTCTTTGCAGTCTTCATATCTCATTTTCATCTTGACATCCATAGCTCTGGCTCTTTTTCATTTTGATATTCACTGCAGATGTAGGTGGTAGTGGTGACAGCATATGTCAACGACTTGTCACTGCCGTGAATGGCAGAGCTTCTGACATTTCACATTTATGTATGCTTGCTGCCAATTTTAGGAAATGGAAGTTCCTTTTAATGTTAGTTTGCTAAACATTGTTAATTTGTACTTACATAGAATTCATTTCAGAGCCTTTTCCTGTACCCATTGTCATGACTGAATGTTTTTTTCTAGTCT
Organism: Homo sapiens; assembly: GCF_000001405.40. Taxonomy (NCBI): domain Eukaryota; kingdom Metazoa; phylum Chordata; class Mammalia; order Primates; family Hominidae; genus Homo; species Homo sapiens. The sequence goes on from NC_000023.11 coordinate 149,589,591, forward strand.
ATCTTGTATGCAGGGAGTTAGAATTGAATTTTTTTCTAACATTTAATCCTATTTTTATTCCATGCATACAGGCAGCTTGTTCGTTTAATCCACTGTTGTGTTGGATATGTGATTATCTGTTTATGACATTTGCTGCGATGTGTGTGAACACTTGCCTCACAAATTCTTTTCATGAGTGCTCGGGTGCCTTCATCTGTTTATGAATCTAGGAGAGCGAGCCTGGGAGAATGAGTTAAACAATTGCCCATTTTGGATGCATTGGAAGAGTTGAGATAAGATGGTGATTCATTTTCCCTTGCCACTTGGCTGAACTGGCCTCCAAAATTTCCTGTCCTGGAATATTTGAGGGTAGATTGAACTTTGAATACACTTTCAGTTTGTGGAAGTACCATTGGTTTTATCCATTCACCTCTTCAAGGACATCTTGGTTGGTGATTATGAATAAACTACTAATACATTCGTGTACACGATTTTCCATGTGAGAACCAGTTTCCAATTCACTTAGGTAAAACCTAGTAGTACGACTGATGGATCTAAAGGTAAGTCTATGTTTTACTACATAAGAAAGGGCCAAAAGGCCTTCTAGAGTGAATGAAACATTTTTCTTGTCTACCAGCTATGAATGAGAATCCCACATCCTCTCCAGAATTTGATATTCTCAGGTATTTGAATTCTATCCATTGTAATAGGTGGGTAGAGGAATCTTAGTGCTGTTGACATTTGCATTATTAATGAATAATTATGGTGATCATCTTTTCATGTGTGTATCTTCATTGGTGAATGTATGTGTATTTCTGCGTGTCTTCATTGGTGAATGTCTTCAAATCATTTACATCTTTAGTTGGATTCTTTGTTTTCAAAGGTTGAATGTTAAATGTTTGGTATTTATTCAGCATATGAGTTCTTTATCAGATATCAGATTACTAATATTTTCTCTCCATCTATATAGTTTTTTCCATTCTTCTAACAGTATTTTTTTTTTTTTTTTTTTTTTTTGGAGATGGAGTCTCACTCTGTCTCCCAGCCTGGAGTGCAGTGGCGTGATCTCGACTCACTGCAACCTCTGCCCCCTGAGTTCAAGCGATTCTCCTGCCTCAGCCTCCCAAGTAGCTGGGATTACAGGTGCCTGCCAACGTGCCCGGCTATTTTTTGTATTTTTAGTAGAGACAGGATTTCACCATCTTGGCCAGGCTGGTCTTGAACTCCTGACCTCGTGATCCACCTGCCTCAGTCTCCCAAAGTGCTGGGATGACAGGCGTCAGCCATCGTGCCCAGCTGAGATTCACAGGAAAACCACGATCGGAGGGGTGTAAGTTTGTAGGAAAGAGGTTTTTAAGTGGCAGCATCTTTGCATGATTCAAACTCTGGAGGCATATGCATAAAGTCCAAGAAACACATGAGAAAACTGTACTTCTTGGAAACTAAGGAGCTCACAAATGATGAAATGTGATTCACACCGATTTGTAAATGAGCACCCATTTGTAAGTGAGCAGGCCGAGACAGGGAGATCCACCTGCAGACCATGGCTGGACTCTGGATTAATCCATTCCCATGTCTGCATTCTCTTATGGCCTCTTCCCACGTCTCCCAGGACTCTGCCACCTACTGTCAAATTAAAAATCACAGGCAGGGATACCTCTGGGTTCTGGTGTGTGGGTGTTGGGGCTCTCTGCACGCCCTGATTTCAGAGCTCTTTTGATGTCTGTGCCCAGTTGTGTCTACGGTAAGAACTTGAATCTATTTCCTCTGATCAGTCAAAGAAGTTCGTCGATGATAGCATGTGTTCTAAGATGAACACCCCAAGTGAGCAGAAAAGGCTGCTTCCTAAGTTAAAACATGACATGACATCTTTTAAATTAATTTTTGACTCCAAAAGAAAGGAGAAGGAAGGAAGGGAGGGAAAGAGAGAGAGAGAGAGACACGGAAGGAAGGAAGGAAGGAAGGAAGGAAGGAAGGAAGGAAGCAAGCAAGCACAGAGAGAGAGAGAGATGGAAGGAAGGAAGGAAAGAAGGAAGCAAAGAGAGAGAGAGAGAAAAAAGGAGAGGAAAGGAAAGTAGGAAGGAAGGGAAACAAGAAAGAAAAAGTGGGGGCATAGTGGGGGAATCAAGGAAGGAAGTAAAAAACCCCACCAGATCCAGTACAGACATAAAAGCCAAACATAAATCCTGTCCACCAGACACTAATGAGCACCCTCTAAACTGCAAACCCGTAGGACTCCTTGGTAGTATGTGTCACCTCCACAACTATCAAGGGCACTTTTTAACCCAATGACAAAGCCAGACGTGATCTCATCTGTATGTAAAGTGAAGATCCTGTTATATAAAGGCACCGCCATGACAAGGAATGGCCAGTAACACAGAGTCATTGTGAACCCTAGGCCGGCAATGCTAGCAGCACAATTAGCACTCAGCGAGCAACTCCAGGTAATTTTTTTTTTTTTTTTTTTTTTTTTAGACGGAGTCCTGCTCTGTCGCCCAGGCTGGAGTGCAGTGGCGCGATCTCGGCTTGCTGCACGCTCCGCCTCCCGGGTTCATGCCATTCTCCTGCCTCAGCCTCCCGAGTAGCTGGGACTACAGGTGCCCGCCGCCACGCCCGGCTAATTTTTTGTATTTTTAGTACAGACGGGGTTTCACCGTGTTAGTCAGGACAGTCTCGATCTCCCGAGCTCGTGATCCACCCGCCTCGGCCTCCCAAAGTGCTGGGATTACAGGCATGAGCCACTGCGCCCGGCCAGCTCCAGGTAATTTTTAATGAGTAGAGGCGGGATGTCTGAGGGGCTTCCTAAAACCCAGCACCTGCTCGAGTATCTCCTGGGCACTTTTCCAGGGAGGCGTGTTAGGCTGAAGTCTCTATCATGCAAGCCAAAGATGTCGGAGGGGGGTACTGGACTGCAAAGAAAGAAAAAGGATGGAGACCATGAAGACTTTTTTGTGCAGTCAGAAAATTACTCATTTTCTGACACATTTATTGACCAGCACATATTCTGCCCAAATGCTGCCCTCTATGTGCTCTGGTCTGCGTAGTCTGGGTACGCCTGGGGCCCATCGCTAGCTGGCATGTACTGTGACGTGCGGTGGCTGTGGGGGCAATGGTGGTGCAGAGCTGGGAGATGGGGGAACATGACCATGGAGGCAGCAGGCTGTGCAGCCCCAGCAGCCACTAGGGTCACCGGTACCCAGAGATGGCAAAAGGGCAGCATGCCAGGTGCAGGAAGTCCTGTGGTGTCCATGGCAAGGGTACTACGGGACGCTGTGGGAAGGGCCACCACAGGCCCGTAAGAATTCATCTGAGTGGGAGATCCAGGGACATAGAGGAAGGGCAGCGCTGCAGGCCCAGGGACAGCGGCCACCGGAGTGACGTGAGCCTGGCTGCCCTCTGACCACTCGCCGGCCGGCTGGGTCACTGGACTGTTGTCACTCGCCACGGCGGAATCAGGCACCATCACAGGAGTTGCTGGTGGAGCAGAGCCACTCCTGATTTGGGTGTTGGGACCGGCCGGTTCCCGGTGTTGCGGTGTGACCTGGTCATTCTCATTCGGAGACGTGTGATCTTGTTGCTCAGTGTCTGCTGGTGCCAGACAGGATCCAGCAGCTTCTGGCTTGTCCTCCTCCTGATGTCTTGGTGCAGACTTGACACCCACTCTTCTCTTCATCCTCACGAGGAGGTGAGGGGAGTCTCTTTGAAAGTAAGGATGGCAGTAGAACTCTAACTATAAGTCAAAGTTTAAATAAACAAAAGGAAACTGCAAGTCACAAGGATGGACTACAACTACCAACCATCTACGCCCCTGTGCAAGAGAACTCTACTGGCCCAGGAGGCCTTTCTGGAAAAGGTCCCAGTCCCCAAAGGAAGCTGGGGACTCGCGTTCACATCGTCAAGGTTTACCAAGTTGTGGCGGGCCTTTCCGTCTTGGAAAAAGCCTCAAAATGGCAGATTAGGGTGTCCATGGCCGGCGGAAAGGGTCTTTGAAGTTGCAGACCAGGAGGGAAGAAGATTCTGGGCCTCCCCCATGCAGTGTCAGCTGGCAACAGAATGCACCCCGGCTGGGTTGGAGGCCCTGGGTACTGGCTCTTCCACACCAGGGGCCCACCTACCAAGGGCAGCAGGAGCATCTGCACCTCCTGCGCCAGGCGCCCTTCAGTGCTTCCACTTGAGCACCTCTCCAGACACCAGCTAGGGTGACAGTGGTACAAATACCAGACTCCCCTGGCCTGCTCACCTCACAGGGTAATGTGCTGTGGAGTCAGGGGGACACAGCAACCGCCAGATGACATGGCTGGCCCCGGGGAGGACGACACGCAGATACGGCTACTTGGCACCTGTGATATTTTACACACTCGAGAGGGGCCCGCACCATCCTCAGCCCTCTCCCCACATTCACTCTTAGTTCATGTCACCTCCACCCAGAGGGGGACACAGGCCCACAGCGATGGCCCCACACCCTGCCTGAGGTCGCCCACTTCCCAGGAGGCAGTCCTGGGACTTCCACCCGACCAGGCCCCAGAGCCCACCGACTTAACCCCTCCAGAGGCTTGTCGTTCATTACCTTATTCAAGATGGAGACCAGCCTTTTTGCGGAGAAAATGCGGGTGAAGGTCCTGAAAGTGCATTGACGCCGTTTTCGGAAGCCATACAAGTTTAGCTGGCGGAAGAAGCTCTTTATCGAAGTTGTGGCAAACACTTTGTGTGCGACGTCCCTTTTGAGAATCTCCTTTTCAAAGAGTTTTTGATTGATCACTCTACAAGCCCCACTGTCATCCCACCAGATGGACGAAAACTGGTTGCTGCTGACCAGTCTCCACAGTTTCTGTGGAAAGGGGAGGGAGAGGAGATTATCTTCTCCCTGGGGCGGGACGTCACCGTCAGGGTGCGGCCTTCTGAACGAAGCTTCCTCGGCCAGAGGTTGGAAAGCGATTTCTTCTGTCAGCAGCCTCAAGTTAGGGCTCCCAGTGGACCCCGGGTCGTCCCAGGCAGGGGAAGGATCTGCTGGGTGAAGGTAGGTCTCTGACTGCAACTGGGGAGGGAAAGGCACCCTTTCCAAGCCATGATCCTGTCCCCTCGAATTTCTTTCTTCACAGCGAGCCATACTCAATGATCGCTTGTCCTCCATCTGGCAAACTTGCTAGTGCAGTGTGGCCAGCAGCACCCCTTGGCAGTCATGTAACCAGCCCCATGACATCATAAAGGGGCTCTGACTGCCGGGGGGTGGCATCTCCACCCCCAGCAAGTTGTGTAATAAAGGGCCAAGGCAGACAAGTAGCTGCCCATCTGCATGTGCACATTCTGGTCCTCACAGTCATTTCAATGGGAAAGATGACACTAGTGCACAAGAGTGCCGAGGGGCCCTGCCACACCGTAGATGCAGACCTGGAGCGGTCCCCTTGTCCTAGAGCTCCTGAGCCAGGCACAACTACAGCAAAGCCCTGGCTCAGGAAGGTCAGAGCTCACCGTCTGAGTCATGGGCCCACAGACCCCAGCACATGACTGACACTCGGAAGCACAGAACAAAGGGTAGGACGGTGCCCATGGGTCAGGCTGTAGCCACGCCACCCTTTCCACCCTGTCCTAGCCAGAGGCAGCAATGTGCTCCATACAGATCCTCCTAACACACCCACACTGTCGGTCCCCAGCACGCAGATGCCCGACAGCCCCTTAGGCAAATGGCTTAGCTGACTGCCCCACCACACGCCGTCGCCATGCAGTCCAGTGGGGAGTCGGAGGCAGCCTCCTTCCTGCCTCTCCTCGGCCTGCACGTGTCCCCCCACCAGGCAGAGACCCTTCTACACCCCGGGTGTCTGCGGTCACATCGCGGTGGGGCATGCAGCTGTTGGCCTTCGAGCATGTTTTGTTTTCCTTGGCCAGTGTCTCCAGAGAAACGCACGTGGGTTTGTGTCCAGCGGTCCATCTCTGCAACAGTTGTTCCTTTGGGATTGGATGCTAGGAGGTCACGGGAGAGGTGTCCATCCAAAGCAGTGTCTGTGTCACACACTGTCCCCACACACAGGGCCACCTCTGCACAGACTCCCCCGACTCGATTCTGGGCACAGAGCTCAGTGACCTTCCAGAGACTGCCACGAACCGGTGATGCCTCCACGCTTGAGACATCCTGACCGCAGGGCCCAAGGCGCACTGGCTCAGGGGGTGACAGTGAGGGGTCTGCAAACAGACTGCTGATGCTCAACCCGGCCGCTGCCGAGCTGTGTGACTTGGGCACGTCACTTAACCTCTCTCGGCCTCTGTCTCCTCCCGGGGATAAGAGTAGTAGCACCTGCTTCCCGGGGCTGTGAGGATCCAGTGGGACGTATAGGAACTAGCGAGGCACCGGCAGTTGGGTCAGAGCTACTGTTGTCACTTCACAAGGCATTTTCTTCAACAGCAAGTCGGAAATCTCATGAGCCTAAGGCAGAATCCACCTGTGGCCTCTGGTTACAACCCACAGGACTGAAAATCCTTCCAGCCACAGCAACTGGTGAATTTCCTGGTCAATTGCCACAAGTCATGAGCTGAACCCCACTTGAGTTTCAGTTCAGGCAGAACTCTAGAGACGACTAGGGCAAGCTAGACAGCGACTGCAGAGCCTTTTGTTGCAGCGTGAGCAGTCCTCAGCTGTTGACATCACTGGGGAGCAAACGAGGACCAGGAGCGGTGAAAGGACAGTGTCTGCTGCAGATTGTCGTAGCACCCAAGGAACACTCCAGAAAGCCTCCTAAGCAGTAACAAGTGTGGCAAGGTGTAGCCCAGCCAACAGTGGCATCTGCGAGGCGTCCCCTCCTTCCTCCCACTACCCCGTATACCCTGGGACCTGTGCACTGAAGGACTCATTCTAAAGGCTGTGCCCCTGCAGCCGCCAGCCTCACTCACTGGCTGCCTGTGCCAGCTAGAGATTTCTTTCCTCTGAGGCTGGCTGAGAGGACCACTCCAGTTTCCTGGCCCATCCAGCAAAGAAGATACACATCATGCACGTGTAAAATGAGGAACCGGTTTATTGAACAGCTTAAGGAGAGCAAAAATAGTGGCTTTAGCTACATTTTTTACACACTGAGCAGGAAAGTCTAAACCATCCCGTTCCCCTGTACCCCAAAGAGAACAGGGCTTGCTGGAGGCCAGTGCCAAGGGCGGAGTCGTGCTCGCAGCAGACTTGAATTAACCCCATGTAGGCCGGCGAGCAGTTGCCCGCGTGAAAACACCACCCTCTTCTCCTGGCTGAGAAGATCAAAGCTCTTTTTTTACCCTCTTTTCAGCAAAGGACCTATTTGTTTTCAGGCAGGAGGATGTTAAACTTGCAGCCTCTGACACACGGTGGAACCTGCAGTGCTTGGAGAAACGGCACGCACACGTGAAAACATCATGCCTACTCCAAAGCCTTCTTGTTGCTGGCAGGAGGGAAGCTTGAGACTTTCCCACGCATAGTCGTGACCCGCGTGGCCGTTTCTGCTCTCAGCAACATTCTCTAGTGTTCCGGCTTCAAGCAGCGCTTGTCAGGTTTGAAGCTAGCCACTATTCTGAGAACGTCAGAAAAGCATGGACCATCTCTTGCTTGGTGTTGCCGTTGTGGCAGTAGCAGCTACTACGTACCTGCACGAGTTCCAGGGCAGAAGTGGCAATGTCCCATGAAGGCGTGGCACCCCACGGGGGGGGGGGGAGTGTGCCACGGGCGTCCACTTCTGCAGCAGAAGGCATGTGCCTACAGCACAAGCTTGTAAAAAAATACTTGAACAGAATATGCTGTACAGAACTAGGGGTTAACACCGCATATGAAGATGCTAAAACATTTGTATAAATACTCTGTATACAAGCATGGAGTCACTCCCGTAGAAAGGGCTCATCCGTGAGGCTATGAAAAACTGCTGTCAGCATGCCCAAAGAGAAACTACTTCCACAGTAGGAACAGAAAAAAGGACTGTGCTGTGTCTAAACACGTGGTGCATCAGAGACATAGTTACAGTTCCTACTGACTGCCCCAGCCACGACCTGGGAGTGCTGAGGACCTGGGAGTGCTCAGCGAGCTGCAGGAGGTCAGCCCTGTGGAGAAATACATTTCTAAACAATACTTTTGATTGGGATTTCAGCACCGTATAGACAGATGTTCCTTCTGGGGGCCTGGCAAGCAGCCATCTCCCAGTGGGTCTGACGGGGAAGAGGGGTACCTGGAGCCCCTCCCAGACAGACGGTAATCCCACCCCTGTTCTCACACTCTTCCTGGCATCCGCATCTGCTGGCACACACCCCCGTCACCTGCCACTTCCGCGTCCCGTCGTGGTGAGTGGCTGATAGGCGCTGGATGCAAACAAGGCATGAGATGGACGTACCTGGAGACCCAGCTCCAGTACTGGTTCTGGTCTGCGGGGTGAACGAGGGGGCAGAGGAAGGCGGAGAGAGTGCGTCCCAGTCCACTTAAGCTCTGTCCCCGGAAGTGGCATCTAATCTGGCATTTCGATATTTAATTTGGGAGGTGGGAGCACATACTTCCCAGGGCTCTGGGTAATGACCACCCTGGCCTTCTTTCGAAACATGGGTGCGATTTTAGGGGGCTCCGGAACTGGGGTCTCTTCGGTTTCTTCATTATCTTCGTGATGGAGATCATAGGAAATGTTTCCATATTCTCGTAGAAATGGGAAGATTTCAAGCAGAAACTGACAGAAATCTTTGCGGATACCAAACCACCCTGAAAAATAAGAATTTTTTATTTCACACACGAGGCTCAACTGACCTTCCTGTTAACTTTCTTTCCGTAACAAGAAGTTTCACTCCTACAATGTCATAACATACTTTATCCAGACTCCTGAGTCACAAAGCCTGAACAGGGCTTGAGTACCCAAAATGGGGAAGAAGTGCAAATGCTAGCTCTGTGGTGCTTGGAGTGGGGTTCCCGGACCGGCAGGGACAGCGTCCACGGGGCCTAGTTAGGGATGCCATTCTCGGGCCCCAGCCCAGACCTCCAGAAACTGAGTCGGGCTAGGGTGGGCTCCAGCGGTCCCCTTTTCCTGGCCCTTTTGGGATTCTGCTGGATGCCCAAGTTTGAGAACTACTGCTCCAGTGAGTCTCAAAATATCTGTGGTGCGCAGACTACGGTGTCTTCCGCTAATCTTCTCCAGCCAGGATAAACTCATGGATGACAGTGCCACCCAAGAACAAGATTTCTGTCACCCTCTGGAATCCGTGAGGGCGGTAGTCATGCACGGGTTGGCCAGGAGGGGGCCTGAACTCATGGAGCCACCTTAAAGCCACTTTCCCAGTCCCACTACTCCTCTCTGTAGGCTACTGGAGTGTCAGCTCGGTGCAAGCCCTCCCTGCTCCCGGGTGCGGGGTAGGGGGCAGAGGCACAAACAGCAAGCACAGCCCGGGCTGCTGGGCTGCAGTGAGGCCCTGCCCCCAAACCCACTGGCTTTCCGAAGGGCAATGCTCTGGGCTTCCGTGCCATGGAGCCCACAGCCTTGCCAGGAAGGCACCCTCTGCAGAGATCGTTTTGGAAGTGTCTGCCTCAGCAAGCAGGTGGAGGGGAATAGAGTGTTAGCAAGGCAAGACAGGCAAGACTCGGGTGATGGCAGCAAGGATATGGGGGAGGCAGAGCGGCCAACAGGGACCTAGGATGAATCCCAGGTTTGGGTGGGAGATGTGGATTTTCCATCAAACCCTCCCGGGCCTGGGAAGAATCTGTCTTGATCCCCATTTTGCAGAGGAGGGAACGGGATCTCTGAGAGGTTGCCTGCCGTGTCTGGTTCTACCTCAAATGGCAGCGTGCACTGCGAGAAAAGTCCCGGTGCAGGCCAGCAGAACACCAGAGTTACGGCATGCCCTTCCCTTAGAAGGTCCCAGAATTTCCTCAGCCCTCACTTTCCCACACAAGCTTCTAAATTGGGGCCCTCGGGGACTCATCCCTTCCTAGACTTCTATCCGCCACCCCCCACCCCCTGGTCCCCCCCCAGACACACACCAAGGACTTCTGAAATGCTGAGTACATACAGTGGTTTCCTCCCTTCTGTCCAAATGTGGTTGCCATCAGCGTGATCAACGAGAGCCAAAGGGGGACAAAGATCGGGATGCAGGAGAAGGCGTTGTGGCCATCCAGTTTGTGAACCAGCAGAATCTAAAGAAAGAGACATAGTCCCGGTTGATGCCAGCACCGAAAATGGGCAGAGGCGGAAGCCAGACTTCATTAGGCAGTTCCTCCCCACCACCCCACCCCCGCGTGAGCTCCCACAAGAGGGAACATCAGCACCGCCAGAAAAAGGCAGGAAACCACCTATCCCTGGGGAAAGCTCGAAATGAGCTTTTATGTCCCTCTTCAGAGCTCGGCAATAGCCTATCCACTTGAAAAGTTCCCAGTGCCAGCAGTTTTATGGCAAACTCCTCCGGGTGTTTGTTCTAAGGAGTCAACAGCTCCCATTCTAGAATTCTCCACGTGACTCCAATACACAAATCTGACATCCCACTCTGCTTTCCCCAGAGTGGAAACTGGAGCCATACAGAGGCACCATGGCTAAAAAGGTGCACTCTTCTCCCTGCCAGCCCCACGTGCTGCCCCCAAGAGAAAGGAAGGATGCTCTCCTTTCACCGAAGCTCCCTCTCGGAGATGGCTGTGTTCTCTCCCCTCTCCTGGAGTGGGCTCACTGTGAGCTCGAGGGACAGAGGCTGCCTTTCTAGGGGTGCAGAATCCTGTCAGGGGAAGCGCAAGCTTCAGGGGCTGAAGAGGCTTCCCGTGGAACGCTTACCTCAAATGTAAGAAGGGGCACGACGATGGTCATCCAGCTCAGGGCCATGGTTATGTGTGTCCTGCGCTGCTCCGCAATCACATCCATAGAGCGCAAGAACAAGACGGACCACACAATGTAGTAGAGGACCACCAGGCACAGAAAGGACATGAGAATCCACAGCGGGACACACACAACCTGGGGGTGGGTGAGAGAACAGCAAGAGAAGTCTCTTTAGAGCTTCCAACCTGGCCTCTGATGGAAGGCATCTTTAGCACCTTGCTGTGTCTGTCCAGTTAAGGCGGTCCTTCCTGTGAGCCGAATAAGGACCGTTCCATCTCCCAGGACTGCTGGGAGCATCGCTCAGGACAGAAAAGGTATGGTATGTTCACTATGGGGCCTGCTGCCACCAGGGGACACACACGCTCAGTGAGTCATCAGTCCCTCTTCCTTTGGGTGACAGACAGCCCTGCACCTGGCTCCGCAGCCTCTACTCTTCCAGAGGCCCACTCTCCCACACTCTCTCAGGCTCCTCTAGGTTCTGCTGCCATCACAGCTTCCCGGGAAATGGGACACAACTGTCACCCTGTGCACACACACAAGATCTCACCCCAACAGACTCTCTTCACAGGCAACATTCCCACAACCTGCTGGGGGTACTTTGGCAACACAAATGGGAATGGGCTCCCCAGAAAGTCTGGCTGCCTGGGCTCCTAAGGATCCCTAACCTCACCCCTACCAAGTTAGTGAACTTGGCGGGTTGATGCTGGATACAGGTTGATGCTGGATACGTAGCGCTGCCGGGTCCCCGCCTCCACGGCAAGGGCGCATTCCCAGTATGTCCCTGTCGTACCAGGTAGACCTTGTCTCATCCACACACAAGCCCAGAGGACGAGTTCCGGGGGCGCCACTTGGCCAGGCTCCCCTGTGACACGTCTTCGCCCTCCTGCCCTGCCTCCTGGGACGACACTCCTCCGTTCTCCCTTTTTATTAATTATCTATCATACAGTAGGAAAAGTGACCGTCTTCCTTTGGTGTGAGTTCCCTGAGTCTTCACACAAGTAGATTCACACAGCCGTTGGCAGGATGCAGAAGAGGTCTGTCACCCTGCAAAACTCTCCGTGCTGTCCCTTCACTATCACACCGTCCCCACCATTAGCCCCGGCAAACACTGATCTGTTCTCTCACTGTACTTTTGTCTCTGCTGGAACTTTATGTAGATGGCATCGCGAGACAAGTAACCTGTTGAGACTGGCTTCCCGCCATCCACATAATGTCTCTAATGAGATTCATCCAAGTTGTTCCCTCCCTGTATCCACAGGTCGTTCCCTCTCAGATCTGAGTGGTATTCCATTGTATGGATGCCTACAGTTTATCTGACTGTCCGCTGAGGGTGGTTTGTGAAAACCAAACAAGGCCGCTATCCAAAATGCAAACAAGACTGCTACAAACACTGGTGTGTGGGTTTCTACAAGGCTGCGCGCTTTCACTTCTCTGGGGGTAAATCTTATACCCAGGAGTGGGGCAGCCAAGTCCCACGGGAAGTGCGCTTTTAACTGCATCAGAGATGGCCAAACCATTTTCTACAGTGCCCGTACCACCTGCCTTCCCGCCAGTAACACTGGAGTGTCCCAGTTCCTCTGCATCCTCCCAGGCACGTGGCCTCGTCAGTGTTGCTGAGTTTCACCATTCTGAAGCCATGTGTTTCGGGCCCTCATCCTGGTTGTAGTTTGTCTTCCCTAACCTGTAATGGCGTTGAGCATCTTTTCCTGTGCTTTTTCGCCATGTGTATATCCCCTTCGCAAATTGTCAACTCTTTTGCCAATTTTTAGGTGTTTCTTTTTGCAGTTTTGAGTTTTTAAGAGTTCTCTGTATGTTCTGGGTGCAAGTCAGTGTTTTGATGTGTGCTTTGCAAATATTTTCTCCCAGTCTGTGGCCTGTCTTCATTTCATTTTAATTTTGAGGAAGTCCAAATTTATGATTTCTCTCTCGTATGGACCATATTAACAGTGCCATTTCTAAGTACTCTCTGCCTAATTGCAAACCCCAAAGATTCTGTCCTATGTTATTTCCTAACAGATCTATAGTTTTACATTTTCTTTTAGATCTATGATTTGAGTTGGCATACGAATTTTACTTCTCCTGACCAGTTCTTGATTGTAGGTTTCTCTGCAGAGTCTATGCACAGCCTTTCTTCCCCGTTCCCCATTCTGTGATGAGATTCTCCTTTTTACTGAAGTTCCCTTCATGGGTGGAATGTTAGATCTCAATAGGCTTCCTTGTTTTCTCTTGCTCACTATGGGAAACATGTACTCAGACTGCTTCATCAACTGGGATCTACAGAGGATGAAGGGCAGAAAAAATCTTTCTTCTCATTTGTGGAAAGCTCTCAAAATTACTAATCTTTTTTTTCCCTGACAGTATCTTATACGAAAAAATTTGGTCTTGTTTAGATATGTTTCCTTCACGTCACAACAGAAACAGTTTTGAACCCAATGACCATTCTCCAGATACAGCACTGTGAAGTTGTAGGATGAGTGACTGAATATTTTTTATTATGAATGTTTTATCAAAGACTTTGGGCAGAAGTGATTATTCCCATCTTTAAATATGGAGTATACTTAGGTTCCCTTCATTTCTTCTCTGCTCCCAATTCTTTACTATACTTTTCACTTTTTAAGGGTAGCTATATTTAATACATAAAATATATTGTATGCAAAATTATACATCAAACAACAGAGAAAATAAAACCGAACAAAAACACTAGCATGACCTTACCTCCCAGTGGCAATGGAACTCTTCTGCCTTTAGTCTCCATCTTTTTTCCATGCATTTAATAGTGGAATCTATACTGTGTTCTCTAATTTCTACCTTGCCACTTATCTTTCTATCTCTGCATCCATCTACCCATTTATTCACAGTTAATTTCAACCAAATGCCCAGTAACTGAAGTCACAGTTTAGAAGCATGACATAGATGCCACCACCAGCAAGAGTGTAAATGGGTATGGCTTTTTTTTTTTTTCTTTTGAGACAGGGTCTTGCTACATTGCACAGGTTGGTCTCGAACTCCTGAGCTCAAGTGATCAGCTCACCTCGGCCTCCCAAAGTGCTGGGACTGTAAGTGTAAGCCACTGCGCCTGGCCAGGTATGGCTTTTGGAAAAGCAAGTTGGCAGTGCAGTATACGTATATAGGAATCTCAAATAGTTCCCAACCTCTAGCTCAGTAACACTATTTCTGGACTATTTCCTAAGAAAACAACCAAAAAACAAAAGGCAAAAATTTTAATGCATAAACATATATACTGCAGTATGATTTAAAATCATTCAACACTGGCAACAATGGAAATACCATATTTTAGAAATAAGAGGATGGTCTGATACATGCACTTGAAGAATATTTTGTATCAATTAAACTTTAGAAGTCATGTTTATAAAGACCTTTTATTAACATGATAAAATGTTTATGATACAACATTAAAACAAAAAAATCAGGATACAAAATGGTGCACACAGTTATATCCAAACTGTTTGTATAAAACACAGACATAAAAACACTAACCATGTTATCTCCCCATGGTGGGATTATGGGTGACTATTAGGCTATTACTTCTGCTTGTCCGTCTTTTCCAAGCTTTGTACAGTGAATATGAATTACTTTTATAATAAAAAAGAACTTTATTTAAGGATTTTAAAAGTTACATACAAGCCAGGGCCAGTGGATGATCTTGTCCAGTCTTAAGGCAATGAATATAAACTGGAGAATGTTGACAGAACACAGGATTTCTAACTAAAAATGAAGAGAAGAATCAGTTAAACAAAGTATAATTTGCATTTAATACTGCAGTAATTTGGTTAACACACTAAAAGACAATACACATTATAATACAGTGTAACTTGTATAATATTATATTGCACTGGAAACTCCTGATTTTCGGTACCAGAGGGGCACAGCAGTATTATGGCAAGGGGAAATGGGGCTCAGCCTGCTGCCTTGCCCCTCTGCTGCCTTGCCCTTTCTGGCCTGAGGCCTGAGCACAGATGAGAACCTTGTTTCCAGGTTCACTGGGAACACAGGCTAGCTGCAATAGACCACTAAACTTCCTTCATGTCCCTACCAACAATACTGTCTACTCGAAACCATCCTTGTGCATCCTTCTTCTCATACCTCGGTTTTGCCCTTGGACCCCACCCCTTCCTTTCAGGCTCCTTGAGGACCTTGTCACATCAAGCCATCAACTGTAGATTCCGTACTGTATCTTTAACCCCACCTATTCCATTGATCCCTCCTAGCAGCACAGAAATGACTCCTTCTCATTAAAAACAAAAGCCCCGAAACCAGATAAACCCACCCCATCCTTTGATCCAAGACCCCTCTTAGCCTCAGGTTTCTCTCTGCGAGACAGTAATGAATATGCAAGCCCCTACTATCTCATCTACCATTCCCAGCTTCCTTGTGATCTGGCCTCCACCCCCATGACCACCAGAAGACAGCTTTCATCAAAGTCACCGATAACCGGGAGGCAGCAAAAACACTTCAACTGGCATCCTACTGATACTGTGGATGACTCTTTCCTTTTTGCTCCCCTCCTCCTGGCCATCTAGATCCCACCATACAGTCTTGGAGCCCTCTGGAGTGTTCTGGTAATTCCTTCTGTCTCCTTTTCCCCCTCCTTAAATGGTGATGCTCCGCAGAGCCACAAACTCAGTCTTCTCTCCCGACTAGGAAGACAGACACACAAACACACATATTTTCACTCACCCGCTGCACCCTGGACTGGGGGAGAAGAAATTTCAACCAGACCCTTGGTCTGCATTATTACCTCCTTCATGGTTAGTTCTCACATCTGTCTCCAACTTAGCCTTCCTGCTGCATAGCAGACCCAGCTGTGCATAGGCCACTCGGCTCTCCTAAAGGCACCTCAAATGAAGCCAGTCCCAAATAGAGATCATTATCGCCTGCACTTAGAACCTTGTATCTCCTCTTTCTATAGCCTCCCATGTCACTTTCTATGGCCTCCCATGTCACTATGGCCTCCCATGTCACTTTCTATGGCCTCCCATGTCACTTTCTATGGCCTCCCATGTCACTTTCTATAGCCTCCCATGTCACTTTCTATAGCCTCCCATGTCACTTTCTATGGCCTCCCATGTCACTATGGCCTCCCATGTCACTTTCTATGGCCTCCCTTGTCACTTTCTATGGCCTCCCATGTCACTTTCTATGGCCTCCCATGTCACTTTCTATGGCCTCCCATGTCACTTTCTATAGCCTCCCATGTCACTTTCTATAGCCTCCCATGTCACTTGGAGGCACAACAGTGGTCTCATTTCTCAAGCCATGAGCCCGGGAATCACCCTGCATTCTTTTTCCCACACTGTCACGTTCAGTCACCACATCCTGTCCACTGTAAAGTCCAGATTTCTCCTGAATCCCGTGCCCACTTCCTATCCTGATGATGACTGCCTAGTGAGGCCTTCTTCGGCACCATCCGCCTACCACTTCAGCAACCCCTTACTAACCTCCCGCCTCCAGCCCAAACGCCCTGCAGGCTGCTCCTCACTCTGGTAAAGTACATTCTTGCCCACAAAATTGAAATCTGGGACCAGGCCCAGAGCTTCCCAAAAGTTCTCAGTACATAGGTACATGGGGAATTTAGTAATTCCTCCATAGACCTCTAGGCCAAAAGAAATCCCTAATGTGGCTGGGAATGCCAACAGTTGCACTGATTTAAGTAATTACATCTAACTTAGTAAGTATTTCTAAGTAGCCACTAGAAAAAATAATTCATATAAATCTAAAGAAAAATGTTAATATTATTCTTAAATAACCAAAACTAATTCCCAGTGGGATGCGTGTGCCTGTCAGGTAGCTCACCATTTCCCACGCCTTGGAATCAGACAAGGTGCTCCCACTCGTTACCTGTTCTTCACCCGGATTTTCACACAGCATTAGCCTTTTTTGTTTTCACAGCAACTGCTGAAAACCCAGCTTCTTAAAGATACGACGTCACTGAAAGGAATGCAGTGTGGCCTAAAAATAAACCTGTAAACTATTTCAAGCTAGTAGTTTGTATGGTGTCCCAACAAATGTCAGGTATTACTGTTTTCCTCAAAATGTCCACTATCCCCTGGTGCCCTGTGAGTGCACTGGGGTGCCTGGGGCACTTCAGCACATGCTCTGTGGGCTGAGGACGTGGCCCCTATTTGCCCCAATCCCTCTGTAGAGGCTCCCTCTCTTCTCAACTCCCACAGTTCCTTCCTTTCCACCTTGTGCTCCCGTCGGATCTGAATCGCCACAGTCCACTCAGCTGATGGAGTGTTTCCTGCCTCTAGGCTTCAATGTGTCCCAAAAATGCCATCCCTTCCCTCCCAACACAGGGCTTCCTGGCAGACCCTCAACTCCTCCTTCCCATCTCTGTATGAGCCTACTCCAGACCACCCCCTCACCAACATAGGTACTGTTCTTGCATCACAGGAGGAGGGAGCTCAGCTCCTGGTATGTTGTTTCTTCCAAGGGCAGGAATGCCTAGAGTGTGAATATATGAAAGACTTACTTTCTGTAATTCAGGCCCAATGCAGTCCTAGTCCTTGTATAGTTGTCCCTCAGTATCTGTGGGGGATTGGTTCCAGGACCCCCTGTGGATACCAAAATCCATGGATGCTCAAGTCCCTGATATAAACTGGGAATTGTAGGGAGGGTGAAAGTGGACCATCAGATACTCTCCCTCCACGGCTCACTCCTACCTACCACTATACCCATGCTGTGGCCTTTCCACCAGCATGAAAATCAGGGAATAGCTCCCCTTGTTCAAGGCCAAACCCTTCCTGGTGCTCTAGGTCCCATTCTCCCTGAGTCCCACAGGGCCTTGCTCCATCACCGTCCCTCTGTCTACATACCTTCCCCTCACGCCCATACCTGGGGTCTAGGCTTATATGCCTGACCCACCCTACAGCTGCTATGTTTACTTCCTAAGCCAACTGCAGTCTTCTCCCTTCACTCTTCATCCACACGGCTCAAAACCAGGCATCTACAGCCTCTAGTTCTCCCCTCAACCCATCAGTATTCAGCTTTGGGCCCTCAGCTTCTATGCAGTTATGTAGTTATGTGCCCGGGCTTTAGAGTCGGGCTGACTCAAACGGAATCCTGGTCCTGCCCCTTCACATGTGGCCATGAACAAATGACTTATCTTCTCTGGACCTACCTCACAGAGTTAGTTAGTAAGAAAACTACCACATGTAATGTGCCTCGCACAATGCCTGGCACACAGTAAGTGCTCAATAAACGTTATCTGCAATTACTTTCATTACTATTATTACTAGTCCTGGTATTTTATTCATCTGCATATCCTCTATGCTTAGGGAAAAAGGGCTTGGCATCTAGTAAATACTTGATAAATGTTTATTGAATGAATAAACAAACACAGGGGCACATCAGGATAAGCTAACCAGACAGCAGGGGAGGTGCTAAATCATGGGGTCTGAGGTGGGGAGATGGTCAGTTTTGAGTGTCAACTTGGCTGGGCTATAGTACCCAGTTATTTAATCAAACACTAAGCTTGCTGTTGCAGTGAAGGTACTGACTTTGAATAAAGGAGACTACCCTCCATAGCATGGGTGGGCCTCATGCAATCAGGTGAAGGCCTTAAAAGCAAAAACTGTGGTTTCCTGGAGAGGAAAAAATTCTGTGCCAGGACTGCAGTGTCAACTCCTCCTAGGTCTCCAGCCTGTTCACCTGCCCTGGAGATTTCAGACTTGCCAGCCCCACAGTAATGTGAGCCAGTTCCTTAACTCTCTTTATACATATATCTGTATCTAACCTATCAGTTCTGTTTCTGTCTGATTGATACAGGATGTGAAGCTGGGAGAAGGCTGATGTCCTGGGTGAAAAGCTAGTGTTCTAAGTGAAGAAAGAAAAATTGTTATTTCCATCATCTTTTGTTGCCTTGTTGTCTCATGATGTAGAGTTGGTAATGATCAAGCTCTTCCTAACAAAGGGTAAGAAATTGACATCTGAATAACTGAGCAAAATATTTTACTTTTGAAAACATTCTTTTTTTTTTTTTTTAAGACGGAGTTTCATTCTGTCACCCAGGCTGGAGTGCAATGGTTCAATCTTGGCTCACTGCAACCTCCGCCTCCTGGGTTCAAGAGATTCTCCCGCCTCAGCCTCCGGAGAAGCTGGGATTACTGGCGCATGCCACCACACCCGGCTAATTTTTGTATTATTAGTAGAGATGGGGTTTCACCATGTTGGCCAGGCTGGTCTCAAACTCCTGACCTCAAGTGATCCACCTGCCTTGACCTCCCAAAGTGGAAAACATTCTTAAATATATGAAATCTCACCTCTAGTGACCTGTCATGTCGAAAGCCCCAAACGCAAGCTGCAACAGACACCGGGGAAACAAAGAACAGCGGCATGAAGACCAGGAGCCAGAAATGGCTTCCTCTCTCGATTCTGTCACAGACCAGAACTTCAAACATCAACAAGAGCAAGTGGATGCCCACTGCAATCAACATGGCTTTAAACTCCACACACGTTTCTCCTTCTGCTCTAAAAAAGGGAGAGAAGAAGAAAACACCCTCAGTTCAGAATCTCCACTATAAGCAAGCAGTTCAGGGCAAATACCAACTTATATTTATACTTTGAATTTTACTTGAAAATTTGACAAAAGCAAAGGGAAATCAGGTAGAAAGCTAACTTAAACCTAAGCTTTGGTAGGCAATCTCTGAAACATCGAAGAACTACTACATAATACAAAATGAACATTACAACCAAACCAGAATTTAATGTTTTAACCGTATAAGGATATTCTCAAAAGTAATAGCCAGTTCTTATTTCCCTGACAATGTACATAAACACTTCTGTTCACATCTTTAAATTCAACAACAAGAGTTACTTCCAAGATTATTCAAGCTGATTTGCTTCTGCTGCTAAAACCAGGCAAATACCCCTTAAGTCTCATGATCCTCATTTTTCAAGAAACCATGTAAACCACCCTTCACACAATATTATAAAAATAACTCTAGTTCTATGAACAAGTGCCAGTTATATTTCAAGATAGTAGTAACTATTGTTAGGTGCTATTTTTAAATGCAAATAAAACGTATAAATGATTTTCATTTTCCTTTCTATTCCATTAAGATAAATTAACACCTGCACATGAAAGAGAAAGAAGAACAAGAGTTAAAACTGTTCTCAAACAAAATCAGTTTAATTAGCTAAGTATCATGCACAATAACCTTAACAGATCTACAATTGAGCAATGGTAAGGCCGCTAATCAGGAAAAGGCTCTATAATGCATCTGAAAGGCCTACAATGTTTATTCAAAATACAGATGAACATTTATGATATACATGTATTGTGGGTGACAAATACACCGGAAGTTAGATCATAGAGAAAATGCTATCAGAGGTTATTCCTGTAGGACCCAACCATGTTCCACTGGTTAATGTTAACATGAGAATGACCACGCCTGTACATTCCTTACATTCAACCCCACATACACAATTCCTTTCCTTGCTCAAAACATCTTAAATAAGACCAACAAAGAGAAGTTTGAATATATTCTAAATATCAATTAGTAGAACCTAAATGTTTATTTAACTTTGCATTCTTTGAGAAGCAATTAATATTAGATATCTGAAAATATCTCATAAAAAAATAAAACACATACAGCCACACAGGTCATCAATCTTTCAAAAAAAATCTAAGAACTCTGAAACAGCTATACATGAATGTCCCTCACCTGCCAAGGCTCTCTGTGTAACTGTTTTACAGTTCTTAGACATGTATGTGATATGTAATTTACACAATCTGAATCATTTTCATATTTAGTAAACAAAAATTTAAAAAGTTGATGTAGTGGCCGGACGTGGTGGCTCACACCTGTAATCCCAGCACTTCAGGAGGCCAAGGCGGGTGGATCACCTGATGTCAGGAGTTCAAAACTAGCCTGGCATGGTGAAACCCTATCTCTACTAAAAATACAAAAAATTAGCTGGGCATGGTGGCAGGTGCCTGTAATCCCAGCTACTCAGGAGGCCGAGGCAGGAGAATCACTTGAACCCGGGATGTGGAGGCTGCAGTGGGCCGAGATCACACCATTGCACTCCAGCCTGGGCAACAAGAGCGAAACTCTGTCTCAAAAAAAAAAAAAAAAAAAAAAAAAAAAAAGGTGCGGTAGTTTCAACTTTACACTTTTCCCACATGAGCAGCTGCCTTCTGGGAATTCCTGTACTCCTCATTTTCCCAGTGGAGGTTCATAATAGCCTCCCAGTCTTAAGTCCCCCTTTTTCCCTTTATGTAGTTACAGTCTCTGTGGCAGAGAAGGGAAAGACTCTCGCAGGTCCCAGCAACAAGCAGGTTGCATGCTGGCGTGAGCCAACTCCCAGGAATTTGGGCCAGCGGAGGCATCCAAGAGCAGGGAGGGCAAGAGTTGGAAACGGTAAAGGGTACCCCTCTCCCCTGCCCCCAAAGGCTCTGCTTTCCTTCTCGGCATCCAATCTTTGACTTTCCTCATTCCCCAGCTGCTGTCTCAGGGACTCATGGTCTCCTGGTCAAGCCACCTCCCCTACACTGCTAATAGTCCTAAAGCTCTGGGACTAGGAGGGTGGGACAAGGGGAGCCCCAGTTCCAAAACTGTATTGGAGAAAGATCTTTCATGACCAAACATAATATGAGTGTCTTTTCCTAAAAACAGGGTGGTTTCATGCTGCTTAGTCTAGTATGGCATACCAGTTCTGTATTTTGGGTGCATTTTGGATTATATAGGCATCTGTGAGCTGGCTGGCAACTTACCCCCAAATGGCACTGCTTTTGTAAGAAAATACATACCAAAGACTAAATTTTCAAAAACACAGAAGAGATCTGTTAGCTTATACTATAGTTCTAAGACCCCAGATAGGTAGAAAATAAAATGGTCCTTACTTCATCAAAAGTGAGAAAAGTCAAGATATTGCTCCCTCATGCTAGAGACCAATGGGTTGTATAAAGCAGTATTACCGATATTGAGGATTTCGTGCCCAGACTCCAGTTCCAACTGAGGCTCCAACAATGACCATTAACTTCCACAGCCATATTGGAGCAAAGACAGCCCAGTAACTCCACTGTATGATGCCATCCAAACGAAGGGCCAGCAGCACAGAGAACAGCAGCAGACAGGCATAGATGAGGAATTTACTAGGAGAAAAGTAAAACGATTAAGAAGGATTCACTTTTACAAATATGTGATACTGAAATGGGGAGTAATAAGAGCCACATTTGTCAGCATGTAAAAGGAGTCACTAACTCAATAATCATTTATTGAAAAGGTCTATGGGGCAGACATAATGTGTTGGGAATAAAAGAAACATAAAGAAGACTAAAATAAGTCTCCTGCTTTCCAAGGCTTCCTCATAGAAGGAAGACCACACAGAAACATATAATACAGCACAATGTTTGTGATGAGAGCTTGGAAGAGGAAATACAGACTGTGTCTGAGGAGGCACTCAGAAGCAGAGATGTGGTGACCCTAGAGCTGGTTCCAGAGGGCAAGTAGGAAGCTGCCAGGCAGGAAAGCAAGTGAGATGAGGAAGTATTCCAGGCAGAAGGAACTAGCTATACCAAGACACAGAGACTGGAAAAGGCTGACATGCTCTGAAAATGGTCAAGTTCTATCACTAACTGATTCTATTTCTAAAAAGGCAGCCATCTGTCATATTCATATGGCATGAACATTTTAGTGTATGTATTATACTTTCCATGAATGAATAAATTACACATACACACATGCTCACGTCTCATATAAAAGGGAATTGCTACAGAGGATGTCCTTGAAATAATTAGAAATTATACTCTTGAGGACCTCTATTTCCAGCCTTGACTTAATAATAGGAATATAATTTACCTTCCCGCCTAAATAAGAAGCTTGATACAGTCTACAAAAGAACAGTTTTCAGACATTGACAACAGGCAGTGGAGAACAGGTGAGAAGGAGGAAATAAAGGAGGTAAACCCTACTATTGCCCCAGTTTGCAGATCAGAGGCAGTTTCCAGGCTGCAGCAAGAAAACAGTTAAAACTCAACCCTGTCAATAACTATATTAAATATAAATGGCCAACTGAAAGACAAAGATGATCAGATTGGATAAGTAAGCAAGACAACTATATGCTGTCTGTAAGAATCCCACTTTATCTATCTATAAAGACACAGATAGATTAAAAGCAAAAGGAAAGAAAAAGTTATACCAAATAAACACTAACCAAAAGAAAGCTGGAATGACTATATTAATATCTGTTTAGTCTTCCATTGCTGCTGTAACAAATTACCACAAACTTAGCAGCTTAAAACAACGTAAATTTATTATCTCACAGTTCTATATGACAAAAGGCGAGACGGGCTTGGTTGGTTTCTCTACTCAGAATCTCACAAGGCTGAAATAAAGATGTCTGTTGGTGGAATGCTTATCAGGGGACTCTGGCAGAATCTACTTCTAAGCTCATTCAGGTTGTTGGCAGAATCCAGTTTCTTGTGGTTGTAGGACTGAGGTATGTGTCTCTTTGCTTGCTGTCACGCAGCAGCTGATCTTGCGATAGTAGGGGCCTCTCCTGGGTCCTTGTAAATAGGCCCCTACATCTCAAAGCCAGTAACAAGCTATAGCATATTCAATCTTTCTCATGCTTGGGATGTTTTCTCACTACTTCTGCCATATCGCTTCTGCTTCCACTGAGAGAAAGTTCTCCGCTTTTAAGAGTTCATGTGATGAAACTGAGTCCACCTGGTTAAGCCAGGCTACTCTCCCTATTTTAAGGTCCATAACTGTGGTTGGTAGGCAGAATTCTAAAGAAGTTTCCCAG
Organism: Homo sapiens; assembly: GCF_000001405.40. NCBI lineage: Eukaryota > Metazoa > Chordata > Mammalia > Primates > Hominidae > Homo > Homo sapiens. Next base: position 149,613,119 of record NC_000023.11, read on the forward strand.
GATTCCTGTCCCCTGATTATTCAATCAAACACTAATCTGAGTAATACTGTGAAGGGACTTTGCAGATGGAATTAAGGTTACTAATCAGCTAACTTTACAATAGGAAGATTATACTGGATTATCCAGGTGTGCCCAGTGTAATCACATAAGCCCTTAAGAAAGCAGAAGAGTAAGTCAGAGAAATGTGGTGGAAGAGAGATGAGGCAGAAGTCAGAGAGATTCCAGACTTGAGAAGGATTCAGCCTGTTACTTCTGGCTTTGAACATGGAGGTAAGGAACCATGAGCCAAGGAATGCAGGCAGGCTTCAGAAGCTGAGAATAACTCGCAGCTGACAGCCAGCAAGGTAAATGGGACCTCAGCCCTACAACCCCAAGGAACTAAATTCTGACAATAGCCCAAATGTGCTTGAAAGCAGATTAATCCCTGGAGGCTCCAGAAAGGAATAGAGCCCTCCTGACACTTTGATTTTGACCCTGTGAAACTAGGCAGAAGACCCATCTGAGTTGTGCTGTACCCGGACTTCTGACCTAAAGAACTGAGAGTAATTTGTCATGGTAACAGCAGAAACGAATGCTAATAAATATAGCTTCAAAGTCCCCTTTGCCATGTAAAATAATAACATATTCACAGGTTTCAGGGCTTAGGGCCTGGGTATCTGTGTATTTGTGGGGGTGGGGCATTCTGCCTACCACAACATAAGACACAGTATATTTTTGAACAAGGACTATTTCCAGGGACAAATAGAGGTAGTTCATAATGATAAAGGGGTCAATTTGTCATATGCCTAATAACAAAGTTTCACAATACATGTAGAAAGTACTGATCAATCTAAAAGGAGAAATAAAAAAATCAAACTGTTATAAATGGAAATTAACATTCCTTTCTTAGTAACTAATAGAACACATAAACAGAAAATTACTAAGGATATATATGATTGTAGCAACACTATCAACCAACTTGACCTAATTAATATTAATGAGTTCCTCCCAACAAAAGCAAAATACAGATTCCTTTCAAACACACACGGAACATTCACCAAGATAGATTGAATTCTGGGCCATAAAACAAAGCTCAACAAATTTAAAAGGACTGAAATCATACAAAGTAAACAAGCACAATGGAGTCAAACTAGAAATCAACAATAGAAAAATATCTGGAAAATTCTCAAAATACTTGAAAATTAAATGCCACACTGCGAAATAATCCATAGGTCAAAGACTATGAAGAAAATTGAAAAATATTTTGGACTAAAGGCAAAAACACAATATACCAAAATTTGTGAGATACACTAAAGCAGTACTTAAGGGAAATTTTAGCATCAAATACTTACATTAGAAAAGATATCAAGTCAATAATCTAAGATTCTATCTTATGAAACTAGAAAGAACATGGAGGTAAGGAACCTCCATGTAAGAAACGGAAGGAAATTTGTAAAAAGTAAATGGAAAGAAGAAAATGATAAATGTAAGCACATTAATCAATAAAATACAGTAAAAAGGGATTAGAGAAAAAAATCAATGAAACTAAAAGCAGTTTCTTTGAGAAAGTAAGAAAATTGGTAAATCTACAGCCAGAATAATCAGTAAAAAAGAGTAGGCTCAAATTACTAATATCAAGAATGAAAACAGGGATATCACTACAAATCCTAATAATACTAAAGGGATAAGTAGGGGATATTATAAACAACTTTATGCCAGGAAATTTCTTGAAACAAAGACATGGAAACTGCAATTCTAGTTAAAACCTTTTTCAGAAAGAAAATGTCAGGCCATGGCAAAATCTACCAAACATTTAATGAGGAAATACCACCAATTCTTCACAAACTCTTGCAAAAAAGATGAGGGGGGAACATTTCCCAATTTATTTTATGAAGCCAGCATTACCCTGATAACAAAACTGACAAAGAAAGAAAACTACAGACCAATATCTCTCATGAACAGAGATGCAAAAATCCTGAAAAGATTTTAGCCAACTGAATTCAGCAATATATAAGGATACTACATTACGACTAGGTGTGGTTTAGCTAGGATTGCAAGATTGCAATCTTGGATTAACATTTGAAAATCAGTTAGCAACCTTCGTGGTATTAGCAGGCTGAAAAAGAAAAATCATATGATCATCTCAATAGTTGTGTAAAAAGCATTTGACGTAATTTGCTACCCATTCAAGTTAAAAGCGTTAAACAAATTAGGAAAAGAAGAGCATCTATGAAAAACCTGCAGTTATAATGCTTAATGGTGAGAGACTCAATACTTTCCCCTTAAGACAGGAAACACAGCAAGTATGTCCACTTCAACACATCTATTCAACATTGTACTAAAGGTCCTAGCCACAACAATAAGATGATAAAAAGAAATTAAAAGAATATAGTTTTAAAAGAAAGAAGTAAACCTGTCATTATCTATAGGCAACATGATATTCCGTGTAGGAAATCCTAAGTAATCTAAAAAAAAGCTAGTAGATCTAGTAAGTGAATTTAACAAAATTGAAGGACACAAGGTAAATTTACAAAAATTATTGCATTTCTATATAGTAGCTATCACAAATTGGAAACAGAAATTTAAAAATATGTATCATTTACTGCAACTTTCCTATAAATTTATAACTATTCAAAAATTAAAAGTTTATGAAAAAATCCACCATTTACAATAGCATCACAAATATAAAACACTTAGGGATAAATGTAACAACATATATGCAAAACCTATATACTGAAACCTACAAAACACTGGTAGGACTGTGGGGAAGCTAATAAACAACAGAAATTTATTCCTCACAGTTCCAGAGGCTGGAAGTTGGAGATCAGGATGCCAGCATGGCTGGGTTCTGGCGAGGGCTGCCTTCTGGGTGGCAGATGGCAGACTTCTCAATACCCTTCACATGGTGAAAAGAGAGTGAGTTAGCTCTCTGGTCTCTTTTTATAAGGGCACTAGTTCCAACCATGAGGGTTCCACCCTCATAACCTAATCACCTCCCAAATGCCCCACCTCCAAATACCATCACACTGGGGACTAGAGTCAACTTGTGATTTTTAAAGGGACACATTCAGTTCATAACTGCCAAGAAAAATTAAAGATCTAAATAAATGGAGACATATACTGTGTTCATAGAACACTCAATACTGTTAAGATTTACATCCTCTGTGTATTAGTTTCCTATGGGTGCTGTAACAAACTACCACAAAATTGGTGACTTAAAATGGCACACATTTATTATCCTGAGGCCAGAGGTCCAAAAAGGGTTTCACTGGGCTAAAACCAAGATGTCAGCAGGACCTACTCCTTCTGGAGACTCTATGGGAGAATCTATTACTTGTTTTTTTCCAGTTTCCAGAGCTGTATTCCCTTGGCTCATGGCCCCTTTCTCTATCATCAAAACCAGCTGCATAAAATCTTCAAATCTCTGTCTCTGTTTCCACCACACTGCCTTCTCCTCTTAATATTATCTCCCTCTTTTAAGGGAACCTGTGATTGATTGCATTTATTGCCCCACTTGGATAACCCCATCATCTCAAGATCTTTAACAGGTTCCATGGAAGTGGGTATCTTTGTGGGTCATGATTTAGCCTACCACACACACCAAATTAACCAAATTATTTTAAAGAATCAATGCAATCCCAGCGAAAATTGGGAGCCAGCAGGTTCTTCTGTAGAAATTGACATACTGACTTTAAAAGTCATATGACAGTGCAAAGGACCTAGAATGGGCAAAACAATTCTGAAAAAGAACAAAGTTGGACAATTTATACTACATGCTTTCAAAGCTTACTATAAAGCTACAGTAATAAACACAATGTAGTACTGGCATAAGAATAGATATATAGAACGTACTAGAGAGTTGGAAAACAGACCCATACATATAGAGTCAGTTAATTTTCCACAAAGGTGCCAAAACAACTCAATGGAGAAATAATTATGTTTCAATAAATGGTGGTACAACTGGATAAATGAGGAAAGTACACCTTGACTCTTAACCTTATAACATATACAAAAATTTATGTGACATGGATCATAGACCTAAATGTCATACACAAAACTATAAAATGTCCAAAACACATATGAAAAAAAAATACTTGCAACCTACGGTTAGGCAAACATTTCTTAGATGGGATATGAAATTGGACTTCTCCAAAATGAAAAACTCTTACTCTCCAAAAGATACCTATCATTAACAAAATGACAGCCAAGCCACAAACTGGGAGACCATACTCTGAAAACACGTATCTGACAAAGTAACCTGTATCCAGTATATAAAAAGGACTTTTACAACTAAAAAAATAAGTGAACAACCCGATTTAAAATGGCCAAAAAATTCAGAGACATCCCATCAAAGAAGGCATACAAAAAGCAAATAAGCACACAAAAAATACTCAGTATTTTCAGATGTTAGGACAATGCAAACTAAAACGACAATGAGATAAGATTACACACACACTAGATCTCTTATATATGCTGGTGGGAATGCAAAATAGTACAGCCACTTTAGAAAACATTTTGGAAGTTTCTTATACAGTTAAGTGTATACTTATTCTATGGCCCAGCAATCCCACACCTAGGTATTTTACTCAAGAAAAAGGAAAACGTATGTCCACACAAAGGCCTGTATTCAAATATTCCAAGAAGCTTTATTCATAATTGCCACTGGTAACAACTCACACATCCATAAACTGGTGAATGGTTAACTGAATTTTGATATATCCGTTCAATGGAATACTAATCAGCAGTAAAAAGTAACAAACTATGGATGACAACAACAACATTGATGAATCTAAAATGCACTATAAGTAAAATAATTCAGATGGAAAACACAAGATAGTGTACAATGCTACTTATTTGACATTCTGGAAAGGGCAAAACTCTAGACACAGAAAAACAGATCAGTGCGGTTACAGATAAGGAACAGAAAGCTCAGATGTTAAATAACTTGTCTAAGAGCTCAGAGTTGGGAGTCAAACCATTTGACTCCAAAATCCTTCTAATTGAGTATTATACTATACCGGCTTTACACTGATAAATGAACATGTTTAGAAAAGCATCTGTATAAATATCTGCTGAGCAGCTAACAGGTCTCCACTCGGGAAGATTAAGGATAGTCTTTATACTCTTTTGCTTATGATATCTGAGTTTTCTGTAAGGTACGTGTACTGTTTTTGTACTATGAAAAATAACATAAGAAACTTCGATTGGAAAAAAGGGAGGAGGGTTGTAAGAAGACTGGACCTACAAAATTAAACTTGGAAGCAAGCCTCCCAGAGAGAAAACTACGCTGGGAAGATCATGAGATTCAGAGGGGTTGCTAAAAAAATATACATAGCATCATTGTGTCATGGTATTCTTACCCATAAAGTTAGGGCAATAATATGTACCTCATAAGGTGGCTACGAATATAAGATAATGAGTATAACAAGTGCTTTGTATAAAGCACTAAATCAGTGGCTCTCAAAGTTTTTAGTATCAAAAATTTTGACGTTTAACTCTTAAAAAGAACTCCTTTTCAGTTCTAACACTTACTGAGGATCCCAAAGAGCTCTGGTTGATATGGGTTATCCCTATTGGTATTTAATATTTACGATACAGTTGTTATTCAAAAAATATCTACTCTTCGAAGGTAATAATAAACACATTACATACTAACATAAATAACATTATTTAAAAACATTTCCAAAACCAACACAAATTTAGTGAGAGTAGCGACACTGTTTCTACAGTTTAGCAAAATTTTTAATGTATGATATCATAGAAGACACCTAGATTCTAATATCTATATTTACATTCATTCTGTTGCAATACATTGTTTTGGTTCAAGTATACAAAGAAAATCTGGCCTCACAGAGATCTGTAGTTAGAAAAGAACTATTTTAATAGCTCTTTCAGATAATGGTAGACGTTCTTCAACAGGACACTAAAACTCAACAAGTGGTAGTTTCTTAAAGGTTAACTATGATGTGGAATCTGAAATCGTATCAATGACCTTTTTGTACTCTGCTACACTGAAATCCACTGGTCTCTCTTATACTTTCAATGAATCTTTTATCCCAGCATTATTGTATAATGCAATGTAGGTCGACTGGAAAATATTGGTTTACTGAGTTATAAAGATCTTTCAAATGTTGACACATTTCATATACAATAGCAAAAAAAATCACATTACTTACTATCTTCACCAACTTCATCAGAAATATTTTAATTACTGGGAGGTTGTCAAGCTCATGGTAGCAGATACAACTTTTCAAAAATTCTGGTTTTCCCATGAAAGATCAAATTTTACCATTTACAAAAAATACCATGAGTTGTTTTCCTTGAAGTTTTGCTTCCTGCACTTTCTTTTTTTGTGTGTGTGATAGAAGCATCTTTTATTATAGTATTTTTGTCTTTTTTTTTCTTTTTTTTATTATTATTATACTTTAAGATTTAGGGTACATGTGCACAATGTGCAGGTTAGTTACATATGTATACATGTGCCATGCTGGTGTGCTGCACCCATTAACTCGTCACTTAGCATTAGGTATATCTCCTAATGCTATCCCTCCCCCCAACCCCCACCCCACAACAGTCCCCAGAGTGTGATGTTCCCCTTCCTGTGTCCATGTGTTCTCATTGTTCAATTCCCATCTATGAGTGAGAACATGTGGTGTTTGGTTTTTTGTCCTTGCAATAGTTTACTGAGAATGATGATTTCCAATTTCACCCATGTCCCTACAAAGGACATGAACTCATCATTTTTTATGGCTGTATAGTATTCCATGGTGTATATGTGCCACATTTTCTTGATCCAGTCTATCATTGTTGGACATTTGGGTTGGTTCCAAATCTTTGCTATTGTGAATAGTGCCAGTTAGAATGTCAATCATTAAAAAGTCAGGAAACAACAGGTGCTGGAGAGGATGTGGAGAAATAGGAACACTTTTACACTGTTGGTGGGACTGTAAACTAGTTCAACCGTTGTGGAAGTCAGTGTGGCGATTCCTCAGGGATCTAGAACTAGAAATACCATTTGACCCAGCCATCCCATTACTGGGTATATACCCAAAGGACTATAAATCATGCTGCTATAAAGACACATGCACACGTATGTTTATTGTGGCTTCCTGCATTTTCAAGAAAATGTCTGCCAAACACCATAACACAAATAACCACAGTCTTGTCTGTCAGTTGTCCTTCCAAATAAAAATGATACTCCATGAAAACAGCAGCTTGTAACTCAGGCACACACGTTTTTCCTTGAGTCAACCATTGCACTTCAGCATACAACAGGCCTTTATGCATTCTTCCCATTTCATCACATGGAATATTAAACTAGATGTGCATTCAGGGGTCAAGATTAAATGAGATTAATATTTTTCTGCTTTATCAAGGACATTCGTAAGTGAAGCTGGCATTTTTTTTTTAACTGCAAGTCCAGCACGTGGTGGTGAAGAATCCAGTGACAGAAGACTAGTGCAGCTGGTGCCACTGTCCTGATTTGTGCTCCAGCACCAGCTGTTTGATGCACTACTTTTGTACCACCAGTGCCAATGTCGACCAAGGCAAAGAATGTCTTAGTATTATAATTTTGACTTTGCAGATACCTGGAAAGGGTCTCAAGGCCCACTCCCAAGGTCTGTGGGAAACAGTCTGATAACCAGCGTACTCAATACACATTAGCTAATAATATTAATACTCGAAAACAAAAACAGGCTTTTATAAGCTGCTACAAAGAAAGAACATTTAAAGAAACCAAGATAAAAATGACTTCATCCCTTAGACTTTGGACAAGAAGAGAGCCTGTGTCAAGGTGATTCACAAGTTAATAGAAATGGAGTTATCACCACAATTACAGTACACAATTAGTAGAGGCAGAAGTTTTCTCTCTTAAAGCAGAGGGAAATATTCCAAAATCTAAAAAAATCAGAACCAATTTGTCAACTAAAGCCTGTGGCTACAAATATAATTACCAGAAACAATGGACTTGAAAACAGACTATTTAAAAAAGAAATTAGTGGATTCAAACATTAACAAATGCTAAGATAATGACGACACAGGATTCATATGTAAATTAGATAACATGTACAGGTAATTTTTATCCTAAAGGATTTTCAGACTATAAATAAAAAGTAAATTGGTGGGGGGGGGTGGTAAATGCTGTAAGCTAACTTCATTATCCTCTGTAAAACAGTTTCCTTATTTAATAAAAAAAGAGAGTAGTGGAACTAAAGAAAAGAGAAGTACCAAAATGTTTTAAATGTTGGAAAAGGGATTATTTTATGTGGTTTTTGACATAATTTAAAGGAAACTTAAAATTTTATGTCTATTACATGAAAAATAGAAAACAAGATAAACTTACAAAAGGACCCACAAAATATAATTCATGATTCAAATACTAGGGTTAGAAAAATATACATGAGCTGAATGTTCTCTTATTAATTTCCTATTGCTGCCATTCAAAACTGCCACAAACCTAGTGGTTTAAAAAGCATAAACCTAGTGGTTTAAAAGGCATAACCCTTACAATTCTGGAGGTCAGAGTCCAATATGGGTCTCGCTGGGCTAAACTTGAGGTGTCAGCAGGACTATGCTACTGAAGGCTCTAGGAGAGAATGTTTCTTTGCCTTTTCTAGCTCTAGAGGCTGCCACATTCCTTAGCTCATGGCCCCTTCCTCCATCTTCAAAGTCAACAATGGAGAATGCAGTTCTTCTCATACTGAATCACTCTGACCTCCTTTTCTGTCTCCCTCTTCTATATTTAAGGGCCCTGTAATTACATTGGGCTCAGCCAGAGAATCCAGAATAATCTATTTTAAGGTCAGCTGATGAGCAAACTTAATTCCATCTGCTACCTTAATTCCCCTTTGCCATGTAACAGAACATATTCCCTGGTTCCACGGATTAGGATGTGGACATACTTGGGGGCGTCATTATTCTGCCTACCACAGCTCTGTAAAAAGAAAGGTTGCTTCCTAGATTAAGAAAGTAAACCTGTTACATTCAAGAGTTACGCTTGGAACCAAAGTCAAAAGTCGAACCAACTATCAGAAATCAGATGACAGAGGTTTAGCACGCCTGGATGAAGACAAGAGCAACAATTTACTATCTTTAAAATTAGATAAATTAGATTTCAAAGCCGAAAGTATTAAAATGCTAAAAGGACTAATAAGGAAAACCTAAATAACAAAAACCTAACATGACCATGGAATATGGAAATAATTTTACAATTTTTCTTTTTTAAGGATACACAGAAATATTTTAATTGTGGGCTTCCTCATGCTACTCTTAAATCATGACAGATAAAACAGACAAAGTTCCTAAGGAAAATACGGAAATGAACACAAGAGTAGATTTAAAAAACAGCAAGGTTATATGAAGAGAATTAAGTAGCAGAACGAGAAAATTTAAAAAACAGCAAGCTTATATGAAGATAATTACGTAGCAGAACAAGAAAACATACTTGCTTTACATATATATAGTTTTTCCAGGGAGAAAAAAAGGATCATGGGGCAGCAATACACAATAAACACACATCTAATTTACAATTGTTAAAAATATTTGAGTGCCTGAAATGTGTGAGATACATAAAAAGGAGCAACAATGCGTTCGCTCAAGATGCTCAGACTAATAGGAACAGAGGGAGATGATGTATCAACAAGTAACTACATATGGTAAACTAGGGGACTTGGAAGATTAATTTCCCTGAGAGAGATGGGAAGAGAAGTGGAATCTGGGCAACAAGTTGGGAATAAGGAATTCCAGACAAAGGGAATAAGATGTTTTCCAATTTTTTAAAAATTATTTTTATTTATTATGGATACAAAACAGTTGTGCCTATTTATGGGGTACACGTGATACTGTGATGCAAGCATACAATGTGTAATGATCAAATCAGAGTAACTGGGATATCCATCACCTCAAGCACTGATCACTTACTTGTGTTAGGCACATTTCAATTCCACTCTTTTAGTTATTTGCAAATATACATTATTAACTATATTTGCCCTCTTGTGCTACCAAACACTAGATTTATTATTTCTATCTAACTGTATTATTGTACCCATTGCTCATCCCCTCTTTATCCTCCCCTCTCCAATTCCAGCAGACTGGAACACACAGAATACTTTCTATAAATCGTGGTGGGTAGGGTGCTGCAGAGACAGGAGAAAGGGTACTGGGGGGAATAAGCCAGAAGTTGGCTGTGGTAACATGGTAGGGGAATGTGAATATCAAGGTAAAGTCCTTGGAATTTATTAATAGGTAATATGGGGCCACTGCAGATTTTCTCAACAAGAGTGACAGAAGATACATATGAGTGTGTAAGGTAGATTGTAATCAGTAGAGACCAGAGGTAGACATTTTATACAATTCATAAAAACACTGACAAAAAATGGATCATTTTCAATACTGATTTGTTAAGCAGTTTAGTAGAGTTACTAAAATACAATTGAAACATAAAAATACCTGGGCAGCTGCCAAAACAAAACTCAAGAGAAAATGTGTTCATTTAAAATGTTTAAGTAAAAGTAGAAAACAAAGAAAAAAAAAAAGAGGCAAAAGAAAACTAGTAAACTGAGTTTCTAAGAAATTTGGGGAAAAAGCCAAAACATGAAAATAATAAAACTAAAAGTAGAAATATAGATATAAAAATGAAACTGATCAGTAATCCCAACAGCTAGCTTTTTAAAAAAATTAAACTACAAAGTTGATCAAGTAAAACAAAGTAATACAATCAGTAAGTTCAAAAGATGTAATTCATACACACTCCTAGTTGGGGAAAGAAAGAATAGTATCTTAACTATATCAATATATTTGCAAGCAAAGTCTAAAAGGTGACTGCATAGCCAAAAGGAAATATCAAGCCTGATTTGCAAAAGAATACACAATAATATGCAATAATACAGTGATAAGAAAATGTATTTACAAAAATAACTTATGGTCATAGCCTAAACTACTTTGAGTTACTTTTCAAGAAACATTCAGACCAGATTCCAAGTATAAAAATAGACTGCTTAATTCTCCACAAACCTGGGAGAAATGGGAGGTTCTGGTTTAACATTAATCACTACTTCTTAAAATTCACTTTTCCAGTTACACCTTTAGAATGGATTTATTCCACTCTCATTTGAATCTGTAGTGTTAGTATACGATGAATCACTAAGTAGTGCTACCTGGGCCAAAGCTAGTATCCTCTCTGAAATTTACATGGAGCTTTCTGCTCAGGCTCAAATTCCCTCTCTCCACTTTGCAGGGTTGGGAGAATAGGGAGGGAGAAAAGGAAGAAGGGAGGGAGAGAGAGAATATACTTAGCAAAGGAATGATGACTCTGAATGTAAAAGTTCTAGTATCTGTTTTCTGCATATCATAAGAATGCAGCTGGACTCTTTTTAGACCTATCAGTTTTTTTCCAGTGGAAGCTGCTGGCTTCACTGGAGCACATACACGCGCATTAACACATGCCTGCATGCACGTACACACGCACAAGCACATACACACACACAAACTTTGGATGGCACATCCCAGTCTAAAGCTTGACAGAATGGCTCCAAATGACAACCTGACATACTCACAAACTATCAAGGGAACTGCCCCTCTTACACCTTATTAACCAAATTTAAAGTCTTTTAGTGGAGACTTTAGCTGGTTTTATTAAGATAAAAAATGTTTAAGAGCATTTAACCAGTAGATACAAAAAAGCACAAAAGCCAAATAAAAGCAGAGCCCAGGCCAGTAGGAAGATCTGCATTTAAGTTCCTCAACTGCCATTCATCAGCGGTGTGGTCTTGGGTGAGTTATTTTCCCCCAGGTCTGTCTCCTCATCTGATTCCTCATATACTGATTCATTAAGACAAGGGTATGTGAAAGCACTGTGTAAATGATACATTTTACCCATTCTAGCTTTAGCAGTATTATGAAAGACAAAAGTTCTGCCACATTGTAGGTAATAATCTCATTTAGCAATCATTGTTGTCACTATTAGGTTGGAGCTGACAAAGTATGAGTCTCCACTTATAAAGCATCTATCTCCAGAGTTCGAGGCTTTTGTCTTAAATTCCAGTCATCTTGTACAGGCATGACATATCAGGCAAAATGATTAGAAAACTCAAGCTCCATATTAAAAAGCTTAACTTCTGGAGTCCTAGGAAACTATCTAAAACTCCTTCAATCCACGGTCTCTCCTGTACAACAAAGACTTCCCAGTGGTAGATGTCTATTTGTACCCAACATCCACTCATTCAGCACGTAATTCAGCACCTCCAAATCCTGGCCCTCAAAGAACACAGCTAAGAACAATGTGTGTGTAATTATCAAGTAATAGGAATGATACTTTTAAAACTGGAAATTATACATTCAAATGAGATTTCTCTCCTTTAACCAGTCCCCTTGGGAGGCAATGCAGTAATTCCAATGGTACTTCATTACTCAAATCATCTTTGAAGCTTTCTTCTTGGAAGCACCTTGAGAACCTGCAGTCTGATCTTCTGACTATCCCAAATGGTGCTAAATTTTCACTGAGGGTGGATTCAAATTTTGGAAATGGCAAACAGTCAGTCAGAGCCAAGGTTAGTGAATAAGATGTGTGATCAAACTAGGTGGAACTATTTTGGTTGAAAATGATAGATGATCATAAAGCAATGAGATGGATCTTCTTATGTGATATGTAAACTGACTTTAAAGGGAATTCCAGATGAGTAACAAGGAGTATGAACAATGGAATAGGTGTATACATTCTCTTTCCCCAAGTAACCTCTTTGAATAACAACACTCATTTGGATGTATAAGCGCCACTAACAGGTTTGTTTTGTTTAATCACTTACAATTTGTAAATAGAGGGTTCCTTAGCATACTGGATCTACAATGTCATGGAGGAAAGGAGTTGTCACTTAACTAGAACTATGGCATGGCACGCAGGAAAGAGCACAGGCTTCATGAGACTGACGTGGATTCGAATGTTGACTTAGATTCTTCCTGCCTATGCAACTTCAGGGAAGTCACAAGCTGTCAAGACTTTAAAATAAGGCTGATACCTAATTTTGCAGGGTTGTTGTAAAGATCATGGATAATGGATGCAAAGCCCCTACATTGGGCCTGGCATGTGGTGGGTACTCAAGAAGTCACAGCTATTATTAACAGCAACATCAGTAAAATCAAGACCATTTTCTGACTGTAGGTGGCTTGAGAGGACAGAACAACAGATAAGCAGTCACTTGAGTGGTAAGTAGTTCATTGACAGTACTGACAGTACACTCGTGCATTAGATACTGCTTTCTTAAAAACAATAACCTGTAAAAACTATTTGCAGTAACTATGTATTTTTAATTCATACGACACATATCATCTGCAGTGCTCATACCACATGGACCTCTTCACTACCTGAACATACCAGGCACTATCATGACCCCATGCCTTTGTGTACTTTGTCCCTTCTGAGATACTGAAAGGGGCCAGCCCCTCCACACCTGTGGGTATTTCTCGTCAGGTGGGACGAGACTGAGAAAAGAAATAAGACACAGAAACAAAGTATAGAGAAAGAACAGTGGGCCCAGGGGACCGGCACTCAGCATACGGAGGACCCGCACCAGCGCTAGCCTCTGAGTTACCTCAGTATTTACTGATCATTATTTTTACTATCTTAGCGAGGGGAGTGTAGCAGGGCAACAGGTGGGGAGAAGGTCAGCAGGGAAACGTGAGCAAAGGAATCTGTATCATGAATAAGTTCAAGGAAAGGTACTGTGCCTGGATGTGCACGCAGGCTAGATTTATGTTTCTCTTTACCCAAACAACTCAGTGTAGCAAAGAGTAACAGAGCAGTATTGCTGCCAGCATACTTCGCCTCCAGCCACAGGGTGGTTTTCTCCTATCTCAGAATAGAACGAATGGGAATGGTCAGCTTTACACAGAGACATTCCATTCCCAGGGATGAGCAGGAGACAGAAGCCTTCCTCTTATCTCAACTGCAAAGAGGCCCCGCTCTTTCACTACTCCTCCTCAGCACAGACACTTTACGGGTGTCGGGCTGGGGGGTGGTAAGGTCTTTC